>NC_000002.12:98701739-99004769 GCF_000001405.40 Homo sapiens
CATTCTAGACCCTAGTTAGGTCCTGTTTTAAAATTAGGTCCTTATTTATAACACCTGAAACATTCAAGACTCTTCTTTTTAGAAAGTCAATATGGCAAAAACTTTCTTATGCCCTGATGTTGTATGTGTATATTTACAGCTCAAAGAGTCCCAGGTGTGCTGGTGCCTAACCCTGGCTGCCAATCAGAATTACCTAGGGGCACGTTCGAGAACTTCCCAGGGGATGTCTAACTTCTAGCATAACAGAGTGAGAAGGCTCACAAATCCTCTTCCCACAAAGCAACTATAAAGCTGGTCAAGAGTCAAAAACAACCTAGTTGGTGCTCTGGAAAGCAAGCAAGACATTCAACAAACTGAGAAGTGTTTATTCATGAAACCCACTGGACTCCAGGTGAGAACAGCACAAGTCTGTGACTTTTCCTGCCAAGAGCTGCCCTCATCTGCCCTGCCCTCAGCTCTGTCAATTCAGAAGTTTAACAGGCGTGGGGCAGGCCTTGAAAACTAGCAAACTCACTGCCACTGCTGGCAGGGACTCATTGGATTTGCAGTGTTGTCAGTGAGAGCAGCAAGCCCAGAGGCAGGCAAGCAGCACGGAGGGCCAGAGGCCTGCTGCCATGAGGCTGCTGTTCTATCTGGGACAAGCAATGGACTGGCACACCAGCTGGAGACTTAATAGGGAGGCCTTGAAAATGAGATGGCTGTAGGGGGCTTATAAAGCTCTTCACACATCCCAGGTGGACTGGAGGCTCTGAGCATGCACAGCAGACAGCAGTGCAGGCCCACACCACCCATGCACACCTGGTCATTAGAGCCCATGCATGCACACACACAGAGGAGCTGTAAAAGGAGACCAGGGCAAAGTACAGCTGGGGCGCACTCGCAAACAGCTTGCAGTACCGTGTGCTCCACAGTCCAACAGGTCCTGAGCAGAGAAGGGAGCCCTACCGGCTCGAGGTGTTTGACTACAAGCACTGACCAATCTTTACTGAACACTATGCTATGCAGACACAGGGGCAACCTCTCTAGGAAACCAGGCTTAAAAATAAGAACTAATCAAAACGGAAGTACAGAGACATCCAGAGTCAGATACAGCCGGAGAGACAGACTTGAGATTTAGTCCAGTCCAGTTACTTAAACAAATAGCAAATAAAACAATCACCATCCACTTGAGTTAAAATGTAAAGAATCCAGAACTGCATCAATATATTACCTAAAATATATGGTGGTCAACAAAAATTCACAAGACAGCAAAGGAAAAAGAAACCAGGACTCATACTCGGGGGAAAAATAAAATTCTGGCAGTCAGTGGAAGTGGTCTCTGAGTATTCCCAGATGCTGGGTTTAGCAGATGAAGACTTCGAAACAGTTACTATAAATAAGTTAAAAGAACTAATGAAGCCAAGTTTAAAGAACTAAAGGACCATGTGAGGAAACTGACTCAATGAATAGAGAAAACGAAGAGACAGGAAATATAAAACAAAATGGAATTTAGTTGTTAGAGCAACTAAAATTAAAATTCACTAGAGAGGCTCAGCAGCAGATTTCAGATGGCAGAAGAACAGAAGAATCAGTGAACTTGATGTTAGATTAATAGAAATTATCGAGTCTGAAGAACAGAGAGAAAAAAGATTGAGGAAAACTGAACAAACTGAACAGACTGAACAGAGAGGCCCCAGAGTATAGGATACCCCCAAGCGTTCACAGAAGGAAATAGAGAAAAAGTAGTAGAAAAAAATATATGAAAAAGTAATGACTTTCTACAAACTAGGAACAGAGGGGAACTTCCTCAACTGGATAAAGAACACCTCCTTAAAGGCAGAGGAATCTCTGAAAAATGTCAATCAGACTGTGGTACACCCTCGGCATAAAGCTTCCCACTGAGGAATAAAATCCAAAGATGTCCCTGTGGCCTCCATATCCAGTGTGACCTGGCCCCTGCTTGCTTTTCCAACTTTATCTCCCACCACACCCCCAACACTCCCTACCCCTAACAGTGCTTTAGCCACACTAGCTTCCTTTTACACTCTCCTAATGTGCCACACTCATCTGGCCTCAGGACTTTTGTACTTGCTGTGATACTGCCAGGACCCCTCTTCACTCCAACTCTCTGGCTTCTTATTATTTAGGTCTCAGTTCAACTGTCACCTCCTCAGAGAGGCATTCTGTGACCACTCGCATCTAAACAGCCGTCATTCCCACCTCAGTCACTTGTCATCGCCTTAGCTTGTTTGGTTGTCAGTATTCATCCCTCTCTGAAATAACTCAGTCTGCCTAGTTGCTCAACTACGACTGTGTAACATCCTCCAACTTAACATCTCTGTAAGTAGGGTCTGTATGGCAAGGACATTACCTATCTTGTTTACCATGAAATCGCCAGTGCCTAGTGGATCACCACCTAGTACACGCTCAATAAACACTAGGTGAATGAATAAATAACTGAGCTGAAGAGAGAAAAAGCAGCAATACGAAGAAAGCTACTTCAGATCAAAAGCACTATGCCGGCCTATGTAAAAAGTGTAAAAGCTCTATGTAAGCAGTCGCTTACATCTGTAATCCCAGCACTTTGGGAGGCCAAGGCAGGTGGATTGCTTGAACTCAGGAGTTTGAGACCAGTCTGAGCAACATGGCAAAACCCTATATCTACAAACACTACAAAAATTAGCCATTTAGCCTGGGCAACATAGCATGGCCCCATCTCTACCCTCCAAAAAATACAAAACTTAGCAGGGTGCGGTGGCATGCTCTGTGGTCCCAGCTACTTGGGAAGCTGAAGTGGGAGGACTGCTTGAGCTCAGGAGCCCGAGGCTGCAGTGAGCAGTGATCATACCACGGTCCTCCAGCTTGGGACAGAGTGAGACCCCGTCTTAAAAAAGAAAAAATTAGCCAGGCATGGTGGCACATACCTGTATAGTCCCAGCTACTTGGGAGGCTAAGGTGGGAGGATGGCTTGAGCCCAGGAGGCAGAGGTTGCAGTGAACCATGATCACACCACTGCACTATAGCCTGGGCAACAGAGCCAGATCCTGCCTCAATTAAAAAAAAAAAAGTACTATGCCAATAAACCACTAATATCCTGTAACTAGGATTAGCAAATTTCCCTCAAGATCAAATTTGTTATTGCAGTAGTTTATGTGCTGAGACCAATAAGGTCAATGTTCAATTACTCCTCCACAGCTGAGCAAACATGCTTCTGGAGAGTACACCAGAGGCGCAACTGACATTGGGAACAAACATCCCTTAAGGCAGGTGACAGGAGGACATCTGGAGTGCTGCATTTCTACCTTATCATTAACCCTAGCTTTCCGATAAGGAAACCCAAGTTACTTACCTTGATTCCAAGAAGCTCCCCTGAGAAGAGGGTTTATTGAGCTTCTAGATCTTAATCAGCACACTGAAAGATTACCTTTCATTACTGCCCCAGCAAATGCCTGCCACCACCTCCGGAAATGCTTGCCCTCTCCCCATTTTAAGCACGGATTGCAATGCTGTGCAGGTTTCACAGGTGTGATTAATTCATTGGATCGTGGACTCTGTCAGGTACAGAGGTCATAATGATCTTAAATGATGGTTCTAGATCGCAGGGAGCTTCATTCACCAGCATGCCTAAACGAGTTCAGCAGCAGCATTCAGGTTCCTTGTTCCACCTGATCATGGCCAGTCATTCTCTACCACCGCCTCTCACTTCATGAACAGGGTGACTGCATGCTATCTTTGCCTAGGACGGTTCCAATTTACAACTGTTACCCCAGCATGACTGTCAACAGTACTCCCTTTACTCTCAAGTGCCCTGCTCTGGACAGTAAATCATATGATCACCCTAGCTACAGAGGAAATTAATATTGTCCATTTTAAAAGTATCTATAGTGGAACAATTGATTAGGTGATTGTGGAGTAGTCCGAACTTAATGAAAATCAACTAACAGGCCGGGCGCGGTGGCTCACGCCTGTAATCCCAGCACTTTGGGAGGCCGAGGCAGGTGGATCATGAGGTCAGGAGATCGAGACCATCCTGGCTAACAAGGTGAAACCCCGTCTCTACTAAAAATACAAAAAATTAGCCGGGCGCGGTGGCGGGCGCCTGTAGTCCCAGCTACTCGGGGGCTGAGGCAGGAGAATGGCGTGAACCCGGGAAGCGGAGCTTGCAGTGAGCCGAGATTGCGCCACTGCAGTCCGCAGTCCGACCTGGGCGACAGAGCGAGACTCCGTCTCAAAAAAAAAAAAAAAAAAAAAAAGAAAATCAACTAACAATAAAATTCCCATTATTGAACACAGCTCAGTGTGCCCAAACACTGAAAATGAGAAAACCAATGCAGACGCTGAACCGATTGATAAAAATAGTAACACAGAGGTTTTGATATTGTGCCCTAAATGCTATCCACCATGTATGTAGGGACAAAAAAGCTATTTCTACTCTTTTATGTCATGACCTAAACCCTAAAAGTTAAGCTTTTGAGTGAAGAAGAATGAAAATTCTAGACAATAGCCAGTTTGGATGAATTTGGACCAGAATCTTGCTAGGAACTAGAGAACGGAATGGTGTAAAAAGTGGCTTCAGAGTGACATCAGCAAAAATGGTAGAGGAGGGGCCACCGAGGTGTGTCCCTCCGCAGAAGTATCAAAATGATGTGAGTTTTATTTTTATTTTTATTTTTATGATCTCAGCTCACTGCAACCTCCGCCTCCAGATTCAAGTGATTCTGCTACCTCAGCATCCCAAGTAGCAGGGACTATAGGCGCCCACCACCATGCCCAGCTAATTTTTGTATTTTTAGTAGAGACGGGGTTTCACCATGTTGGCCAGGATGGTCTCGATCTCCTGACCTCATGATCCACCCGCGTCGGCCTCCCAAAGTGCTGGGATTATAGGCATTGAGCCACTGTGCCCGGCCTGATGTGAATTTAAAAAAAAAAAAAAGCTGTAGAATATACATGGCATACTGCTATCTGTGTAAATTTTTTAGATACATAAAATTATATATGTACATATATACATACATAAAAAGTGAATATTCACATCCATAAATCAACATATAAAAATGCATTACAGGAGTACACAACATGATGTGGTCTGCCTCAGTCTAGGCAGGGCAGCAGAGATGGAAACTGGCTGGGAGACTTTAGGGAGATCTGCCATGCTTTCTTCATTAAAAATGAAAAAAAAAAAAAAAGACTAGAAGTAAATATGAAAAATCTGGGCTGGGCACGGTGGCTTATGCCTGTTATCCCAGCACTTTGGGAGGCCAAGGCAGGCAGAACACTTGAGCTCAGAAGTTTGAGACCATCCTGGCCAACATGGTAAAACTCCATCTCTACTAAAAATACAAAATTAGCTGGGTGTGGTGGCGGGTGCCTGTAGTCCCAGCTGCTTGGAAGGCTGAGGCACGTGAATCACTTGAACCTGGGAGGCAGAGGTACAGTGAGCTGAGATCACGTCATTGCACTCCAGCCTGGGTGACAGAGAGAGACCCTGTCTCCATTTTTTTAAAAAATGAAAAATCTGAGTAATAGGAATATAGGTGTTTCTGTATCATTTAGTATACTTTTCTGTATAATTTTTTAAAATTTAAATGGGGTAGGGTGGCATGCAGGCATGGCCTCTGCCTCCTTAAGAAGCTCATTGTTTAAACTCTAGCCTAGTTTATTTTTGCTGGCTGCTAGCAATCACTGCTTCTTTTTATAAGTGCTCATGCTCACAAAACACCCAATGAATATCTGTCCCCAAATGTCAAGCTCTGCCATCTGCAATAGCCACTTTCTCGTCCTTTAATAACAATCATAATGGTATCTGCCTTTATTTTACCTCCTAGCACTTCTCCCGATGTTACAGCTCCTCTACAATCAACAGCGGAATGAGAGGGGAGAAAAAAATCATACCAGTCTCATGAGAGCTAAAATGACCCTCCCAAGATGAAAGAGCAAGCTACAAGAGAACCAAGGTCTCCAGACTCTAGCGTCTCCCCAGTGATAGCACAGCCATTATTCCTCAGGAAAAGAAAACCATGAACAGCATCTGGAGAGGTCAATCACTTCCACAACCACCCTGCCTGTCCCTTCTGAGAAGGGACCAAATCCTACCATTCCAGAGCAAGGCTGCTCATGTGTAATCTCCGGAGTCCTTTCTGGATCTTCTCTATGACTTAATCCAAACAGTGAGACATCTGTTTGAATTCCACCATTCCACAACATACCTAACCCTCAACAGGACTCGCTTTTAGAAAATGGTTTCAAAGTAACTTAAGTTCCACACTGTGAATCTACATTTTCTGGCTATTTATAAATTTGTTGCCAGTTGCCTCAAGTTTACTTTAATCAACTGTAATAGACCAAAATATATAAGTTAAGCCTACGACATCCTCCCCTATGATGCAGTCAATGTTAGGGGTATTTTAGTGAGCTCAGTTTTTTTTTTTTAAGAGATGGGTCTCACTATGTTGCCCAGGCTGGTCTCGAACTCCTGGTCTTATGGGATCCTCCCACCTTGGCCTCCCAAAGTGCTGGGATTACAGGCGTGAGCCACCGCACCCCGCCAGTGAGCACAGCTGACAACAAGCTGCTTTTCAGGTCCGTGATAAAAGGAAAATATTATAAGATTAATGAGATTTACTAATTAGATATACTCGCTGATAATGTGTTTTATTTTAATGAAAAGCCATGAGATTTATAAGTACCCTCCTCTGCATCAAAACAATAAACCTGAAATCCTAAAGTCTAACATTATGTGTAATTATTTCTAGAAAAAAAAAGTTATACCTGCCGTAAACTTTGGCATATATTTTGCTAGGAAGACACTTCAGCAGTTACACTTAGTAACAAAACAAAGATCCACTGCCTCACTCCAGTTAACACGTGCCTCTTCCAGAAATACCAGCAACCAGTAATGTAGATGCTTCCATTTAAAGGGAACGTTGCTGGAGTAAACAACAGATTTTTGCATGATTCAAGTATCCTTTAACTAATGGCAGCATGAACTGATTTTTCAACCTAAAAACAACAGTTAAACTGGTTGTTTAACCATCAGGTTAAACTAGTTTTTTGCCAGCTTTCTTAAATTGAAACTGTGCACTTAAAAAGAAATGCAACATAAACAATAGGGTGAGAATATAATTAAATACTAGCTAAGAAGATACAGTTTTGTAAAAAGTATACAAAGAAATCACATTGGGTGACAGACAACGTGAGCATCCCAGAAGCTCATCTGTGGAGGACTCATCCAGAGAACACGGCTCTACTGCCCTGGAGGCAGTGGGCATTCCCTGAGAGCCGATTCAGGCTGTACACCCCATGGAGTCAGACACACCTAGGTTCAGACCTTCTTTCTGAATTCACTTTCTAGTCATCTCATATAGCTGGATTAAGTACTTTGCTAATTGCCTGAGTGTCTTCATGTCAAACAGGGATATTAATACTCACTTCCTTCCCTAGAGCTGTAGTGTGGACTAAATGAGACCACGGAGAAAAAGGCGGTCTACAAAGGGTACTCTTCACTGCTCCCAAACACCAACTCTAAGCTTGTTTTCAGTCTATAAGCTACAGGCTTATTTCCCCTGAAATGACAGCACCATACAGCAATAATGGAGGTCCAATCGGTTCTATTATTTCTCTGCACAACTGTCTACAAACAAATGGGACTTTATTACTGATTTAAAAAGGGGAAAACAGGAATGGACAAAGGATAGATTTTGTCTATTTTAGGGAGAATGTTGCAGAATTACAAAAGAGGCAACAAGATAAATGCATATTATGAGGCGCAACAAAAATAAGACATTTTACAAGTCTTGAAGTTCAAGTTTTTAAGTTTAACTTACACCAACTTAATGAAAGAACAACCCAGTAGAAGGGAAAAACCTAACATGGTAGCCAACCACTGGACATCCAGTTCAGGAGTATGAGATTTCCTGGAACATTTACCTCCTTTTTCCACAACTCACACACAGGATTTGTGAAGAATGTTTTTCAAAATTTTTGGTACTTTGAAACAGCAACCAAGCTGCCAACAGAAGCCTCTCTACACACAAGCTTGCCAGGACAAACAAAGGGGTAAATTCAAGCCATGACTGGCCATCTGCCACAGCATAAAGCAAGAGATAAACTAGTTGGCAAACTCTTTCCCTAGCCCACAACACTTTTCACATTCTCCTTTAAGTAAGAAATTCAGGCTACCCAGTTTCCCTATAAAACTCCAGTCCTATTAGAACTTCACTTTAGTGAGCTGGAGTTCACCAACACAGAGCAAAGTCTTAGCCATCAATGAAATCTCACTGAAAAGGAGAGTAGAGCAACATGACTGGTTAAATTGGAAAAAAAAACAATCAATGACCATTTCCCAAAAACAACAGGAACACTTTTGTCCATCACTAACCCTCATAGACACCCAAATTTTGAAGTCTCTAAAACAACTCCTCGTGAAAGGAACTAGGATCTTAAGACATAGCTAATTCCACATCATCAGACAGGAAAATAAAAACCAGGATGGGTCTGCAAGCATGGAAACAGGGTAAGAATGCAAGAGTGCTTTCAAGGATGTCAGGGGAGAATGCAGAAGAGGCAAAGAAAACAGCCTAACATGGTATCCGGTAGCCAGGTTGTGACAATGTAGATATTAAAAGAAAACAAATTATATTTAGTGGATATACATTTGAAAACAAAAAAAGTTATTCCAAAAAAGTTGAAATGCAAAAATTTAAAGACAAGGAATATGATTAATTTTGTGTCAGTTTGGGTTGTTGTTGTTTTTTGTTTTGAGACAGTCTCACTCCATCACCTAGGCTGGAGTGCAGTGGCCCGAACTCGGCTCACTGCAAACTTCACCTCCCCAGTTCAAGTGATTCTCCTGCCTCAGCCTCCTGAGTAGGTGGAACTACAGGCACGCACCACCATGCCTGGCTAATTTTTGTATTTTTAGTACAGATGGGGGGCGGGGAGGCGGACAGTTCACCATGTTGCCCAGGCTAGTCTTGACCTCCGGAACTCAAGTGATCTACCAAAGTGCTGGGATTACAGGCGTGAGCTACTGTGCCCAGTAATTTTTTTCTGAATTTGAATAAGTAGAAGACAGTCAATACATTTGTTATTTCCTTCCTCTAATAAGTATGTCTGCTTATATAGAAAATTTTGTCTATCTGTGTGTACAATAATGAAGGAAGGAAAAAGGAAGTTCTGTGCAAACCCACAGTTTTGGAGCAAAATAAGAAGTATAAGAAGAACGGCGGGTGGGGAGGAAGATAAGCACAGTGGTCACATAAAGAAGTTGGGTTAAAAAAAAATCAGTGATCTGTCGTAAAATAACCAAGATGCTAGACTAGACCTCTTGTCTGAGAAGAAGAAAAAAACTCTAAGTGGCCTTCTAATCAGAAGATCCCAACAAGAAATGCTTAAGTTTGCAATCTCTCTACTAAGTCGATATAATGACAAGTGGTCGGTAAGGAATGCTATTCCATAGGGGAAACACCAGCCTGGGCAAAACTAAAATCTATATGATAAATTTGAGCTCAAAAGGCCTCATTAAACTAACAAGTTAATTTGGAAAAAAAAAAAAAAAAAAGGACCCAGACAACAAGTAACCTAGATTTAAATTACATCGGGGGAAGCAACCAGGTTCCTGGCCCCTACTCAATGCTCAGTCAATAATCCTGATCACATTTGACACGAATGGTCCCAGAAGACACTCACTTTTTTATTTTCCAGCTTGATGAGATTTCTAAAATCCCAGAAAGGTATAAAAATGAGAATTACTATTAACTTTAGGAAGGTTTAGAGATGAAGAAATTAATGAAAAAGCCCATAGTATTGCTAATTAATAATAAGTTTAAATATAAATATGGTAGTTTTACAATATTTGTGCTTGTTTTTATATTGATTGAGGTGTTTGAAGTTCAAAAAAAAAATCAGCTAACCACTTAAGTAACTTACAAGAGAAAAAAAGACATGTGTTCACACGTGCATAAGTACCACGTTAGCCTCAATCATGGCTCACTGCAGCCTCAACCTCCCAGTCCTCAAGCAATCCTCCTGCCTCAGCTTCCTCAGTAGCTGGGACCACAGACAAAAGCCATCACACTCGGCTAATTTTTACATTTTTTGTAGAGATGGAGTCTTACTTTGTTGCCCAGGCTCATTTCAAGGGATCCTCCTGCCTCAACTTCCCAAAGTGTTGGGATTATGGGCATGAGTCACCACACACAGCAGGATATTTTATAGCAAGTAAAATTTAGGATAAAGTAGTAACATAATGACACTCTTCACCAGAAATTCCTGCCGAGCCCTTCAGATCTCTCGTCACCTTTACTGCTACCATCCCTGCTCCCAGCTCTAACAGTCCCTGTCCCCTCCTCATTCCCTCAGTCTCCTCCACTCTTCTCCATCCTTCGTGCATCTGGACCTGTATTCATCAGACCAAACACTACACGTGCCCACTCCTTGGTTCAATCCAACATCCACCTTCCCTATTAACACAGCGAATACCTTTCTCCCCCATTAAATTCCTATCTTCTTTTCAGACCAACTCCAACACCGCTTCTTGTGAGAATCCTTTCCAGAATCCCTCATCTGAATGTGCTGTTTTTACCCCAGTGCTATCATAGCACTGTGTTCACACCTCCATGAATGCATGAGTAACACTACTGATTCTCATCACTTGTCTGGGTCCTTCAGAGATGCACCATGAGAAAGACTCCTTTTTAAAAAGCTGCTGACCCGACAACTGAAATAGTTGTGTACCAATATGTGCACCAAAATACAGGAAAGACAGGTAAATGCTGAAATGTTGTACTTCTGGAGTTTGTTACACAGGTGTGCCCCTTTGTGACAACTCATAGAGCTGTACACTTATGATTTGTGCACTTTTTACATCTTTCTTATACTTAAAACATTACTTAAGAGAAACTGCTCTGAATGCAATAAATATCTAAACCTGCTGAACTGAAGACGGATTCACACGCCAACCCCTCATCTTGGTTAGAAAATCATATTATCTCATCTCAACTGTGGAGGGAAGACAAAACCCTGACATGTGAACATTTACTATTATTTAAGCTGGAAACAAACTTTACCAAATGAATACTGACTATAATTTGCTTTAAGTTACTTTCTAGCTTCCTAGTGGAAATACACAGAACAGAGCTTCTTAAAAAATGCCCTTTTGGGCCAGGCACAGTGGCTCATGCCTGTAATCCCAGCACTTTAGCAAGCTGAGGTGGGAGGATTGCTTGAGCTCAGGAGTTTGAGAGCAGCCTTGGCAACACTGTGAGACCTCACCTCTACTAAAAATACATTTTTAAAAAATTAGCCTGGTGTGATGGCACACACCTGTAGTCCCAGCTAGTCAAGAGGTTAAGGTGGGAGGATTGCTTGAGCCCAGAGGCTGCAGTGAGCCTGGAGATGGAGGATGCAGTGGGCCGAGATCACACCACAGCACTCCAGCCTGGGCAACAGGGCAAGATCATGTCTCAAAAAAAAAAAAAAAAAAAAAAAAGCCGTTTATCTTTAGGTTTTGAAAAGTAAATATTAATAGACATGCAAAATATACTTCAGCAAAAAAAGATACAGAATCTACTTTTCCCAAATAAGTTATTTAAATCTAAATGTTAATCAAATCAACTCTATCCCCAGACTTTCATGTTTACAACATAATTGGCAACTAGAGTTTTCTCCCAAAAACTAAATTCTTGCTTTACCGTGGTTTGAATAAAAAAATTAAGGCTAAATCTAATCTTAAAAAAAAAAAAAAACAAACAAACCCGTAGGCCAGGCACAGTGGCTCACATCTGTAATCCCAGCACTCTGAGAGGCTGAGACAGGTGGATCACTTGAGGTCAGGAGTTCCAGACCAGCCTGGCCAACATGGCGAAACCCTGTCTACACTAAAAATACAAAAGAAATCCAGGAAGCATAAATCAGAAAATAGTGAGACTGAACACCTACAAGGGATGGATGGGTAGAAACAAGGAAGGAATAGAAATGGGACAGGAGGAATGAGAAGAGACACATCTCTCAGCATACCTTTTTTACTGTTCTGACTCAGAACCAACATGTTTCACATATCCAAAATGTAAATAATTGCAATTAGCATGACATGGGAGAAACCCAAAACAGAATACAAACAGTAATATATTGACCTAACAGATTATAAATAAATAACATAACCACACGGAAGAGGAAGTGACTAAAATGTAACCTAAGTAACTTTAGAAAATAGCATCTGTATATTACAAGACTAAATACAAAAAGAACTGTGCACAAATATTGAACCCTAGTAAATTTACTTTTCATTTGTGTATGGGTTAGAATTCTGAAACTACTGTACATATATACTGGGATTGAGCATAAGCAACTATATTGGGATAGTAAGAGCCATATTTTTTTTTCTTTGAGACGGAGTCTCGCTCTGTCACCCAGGCTGGAGTGCAGTGGCGCGATCTCACCTCACTGCCACCTTCGCCTCCCGGGTTCAAGCTATTCCTGTGTCTCAGACTCCCAAACAGCTGGACTACAGGCACATCCACCATGCCCGGCTAATTTTTTGTATTTTTAGTAGAGATGGGGTTTCACCATGTTGGCCAGGCTGGTCTCGAACTCCTGACTTCAAGTGATCCACCTGCCTCAGCCTCCCAAAGTGCTGGGATTATAGGCATGAGCCACCGCATCCTGCCAGAGCCATATTTTTTACTGTCGGAGGCAGGACTTACAAATGAGGAAAAGAGGAGACTAGCATGGACACCACAGTATTCAATTAAAATCCAAGGGATCACTAGGAATTCAAGAAACGCAGGTGGACGTGGAAATAGCTGAGGATGCTATGCACGCACACATGTATCCCCTTGCTCTGTGCACTGAGAGGGACTGGAAAGATGATGCCACGGTAGGAATGAGCACAGCAAGACTCTATTCTCCAAAGGAACTACAGGCTCCTTGGAAAAATGATTGCTTCCAGGACAGGGGTAGAGAAAATACAGGACAAGCCTGGAGCATGCTATGGCACCAGAAAGGAAAAAATGGCTCTAAAAATGATGGAGACTAGATAGAGGTGGTAGTTGCACAACATTGTGAATGTACTAAATTGTTTATTTTAAAAGGGTTAATTTCGTTATGTTAATTTCACCTCAATAAATTTGAAAAAAATGATAGGGGCACAACAAAAGGCTCAGAAGCCAACTTGAGGAAGCTCCTAATGGCCACCTCTGAGACAATTTAAACAACAAAATAAGTTACTGTAATAAAGGACCATAACCCCAGAATTAAATAAATATCCATGAGTTCATACTTATGTAAAGAAATAAGAAAGAAATACATGAAGGAGGGCTGGGCGTGGTGACTCAAGCCTGTGATCCCAGCACTTTGGGAGGCTGAGGCAGGTGGATCACCTGAGGTCAAGAGTTCAAGACCAGGCTGGCCAACACGGTGAAACCCATCTCTACTAAAAATACAAAAAAAAGTAGCAGGGCATGGTGGCGCATGCCTGTAATCCCAGCTACTCAGGTGGTGGAGGCACGAGAATCATTTGAATCCGAGAGGCAGAGGGTGCAGTGAGCCAAGATTGTGCCACTGCGTTCCAGCCTGGGTGACAGAGCTAGACTTCATCTCAAAAAAAAAAAAAAAAAAAAAAGAAATGAGGGAGAAGAGACATCTCTTCCTTACAGTGGAATTCCAATTAACTAATAAGTACAGAATGAATGATGGAAACAGAAAGTTACATTTGGAAAACACCACAGTAAGAATTGCTGCAGGTAGTCATAAAAAAAGAACGAGATCATGTCCTCTGCAGGGACACAGATGGAGCTGGAGGCCATTATCCTTAGCAAACTAATGCAGGAACAGAAAACCAAATACCCCATGTCCTCATAAGTGGCAGCTAAATGAGAACACATGGACACACAGAGGGAAACAACACACACTGGGGCCTTTTGGAGGGTGGAGGGTGTGAGGAGGGAGAGGATCAGAAAAAATAATTAATGGGTATAATACCTGGGTGATGAAATAATCTTTACAACAAACCCCGTAACACAAGTTTACCTATGCAACAGATCTGCACTTGTACCTTTGAACTTAAAATAAAAGTTTAAAAAAATTGCTGCAGGCAAAAATCATCAAAGGATGTTAACGTTTGTAGGTAAAAGTATGATAAGAAACAGGATATTGGCTTCCACAAAATGCTTATTAATTACAATGGCAAAAATAGTAACTTTACAATGGAAAAGCCTGTCAGACACCACTTCAACCAAGTGATCGAAGCAAACATCACCAGTAACAAGACACATCAACATCACACACCTCCTGATATAATGTGCTAACTGAAGAATACAGCCAGGGTGCGGTGGCTCATGCCTGTAATTCTAGCAGTTTGGGAGGCTGAGGCAGGAGGATCACTTGAGCCCAGGAGTTCGAGACCAGCCTGGACAACACAGTGAGACCCTGTCTCTACAAAAAATTTTTGCAATTAGCCGGGCATGGTAGTGCATGCCTGTGGGCCTTCCCTCAACTTCAGAAGCTGAGGTGAGGGTGACTGATTGGGCCCAGGAAGTCAAGGCTGCAGTGAACCATGATCACACTACTTCGCTCCAGCCTGTGTGACAGAGTGAGACCCAGTTTCAAAAAACAAGGTAGCTGGGCGTGGTGGCTCACGCCTGTAATCCTAACACTTTGGGAGGCCAAGGCGGGTAGATCACCTGAGGTCAGGAGTTTGAGACCAGCCTGGACAACATAGAGAAACTCTGTCTCTACTAAAAATACAAAACTTAGCTGGGTGTGGTGGGGTGCACCTGTAATCCCAGCTTCTCAGGAGGCTGAGGCAGGAGAATTGCTTGAACCCAGTGGGCAGAGGTTGCGGTGAGCCAAGATTGTCGATTGCACCACTGCACTCCAGCCTGGGCTACAGAGCGAAACTCCATCTCAGAAAAGAAAGGACATAACATCAACATCATTTCTGTGGTATTCTTGCCAAAAATGCATTAGAGTTGTCCCTTGCTATCCATGGGGGATAGGTTCCAGTATCTTTGAGGATACCAAAATCTGCAGATGCTCAAGTCTCTGATATATGACACAGTATTTACATATGACCTACACACAGCCTCTTGTATACTTTAAATCATCTCTAGATTACTTAAAATATCTAATACAATGTAAATGCTAGATAAATAGTTGTTATACTGTGTTTTTTAGGGAATAATGACCAAAAAAAACCAGTTTGTATATGTTCAGTACAGACACAAACACTGTGGACCTAACCACATTTTCCATCTGTGGTTGGCTGAATCTGTGTATACAGAGGGCCGACGGTGCCTCAATCTAACCAGATAAATCATCAGGCAAATTCAAATTAAGGGGCATTCCACAAAAATGTCGAGGACATAAAAGACAAAGAAAGGGCCAGGCATGGTGGCTCACACCTGTAATCCCAGCACTTTGGGAAGCCGAGGCGGGCAGATCACCTGAGGTCAGGAGTTTGAGAACAGCCTGGCCAACATGGTGAAACCCCATCTCTACTAAAAATACAAAATTAGCCAGGCATAGTAGAGGGCACCTGTAATCTCAGCTACCAGGGAGGCCGAGATAGGAGAATCGCTTGAACGTGGGAGGTGGAGGTTACAGTGAACCGAGATCGTGCCACTGCACTGCAGCCTGGGCAACATAGCGAGACTCCATCTCAAAAAAAAAAAAAAAGATGGAGGAAATTTTGCATACTGGAAGAAAGTAGGAGGACATGACAACTAAACGCACCATGGGATCCTAGATTGGACTCTGGCACAGAAGGACATTAGTGGGAACTCTGGTGAAATTCAAATAAGGTTTGTAGATTAGTTAATAATTTTAAATCAAAATTAATCTTTTGGTTTCGAAAATTATACTACTCTGATTATATATAAGTTGTTAATATTGGGGGAGGATAGGTATAAGGGAAATCTGTGTACTATTTTTGTACATTTATTGTAACTCTAAAAGTATTTCATAATAAAGTTTTTAAAAACATTTACTGCTGTTCAACTTACTGTTTAATTTACTGTTTTACTGTTCTGCAGCTCTCTCCTCCCTCCTCTCCTACACTACGGCAAGGATATTCCTCTAACATGTTCTAATGCTAATGCATCCCAGACCACAAACAGTGCCTGGCATGCCGAAGGCACTCAAAAAACACAGGTCGACAATTTTGGTAAGCCAGAATGATGACGGCGTATTCCAAGTCCTAGACTTAGTATTAATTTTCCTTATATCGTATTTGAAAGCAGCTTTGCTTATTCTGTAAAGAAAAACAAATCTAAAAACTTTTATTCACTGTTTATTTACAAATAAGAATCATAGTTTCCAATAAAATGCTTCGTCTGGTGTTTCTGTTATAGCTAACAGGATATGAATCTGATCTTTTCTTGCAGTAAGTGTTTTCTCAGAATATACTGTAGTCTACTGATTCAAAGGTACACATTTTCTCCCATATTTCAACATCTGAAATCAAGGTGACTCTTACACGTGATGGCATGTCAGTTTAATCAGCAGCTGCTTTTCCTGCTTAGCAGTACTTTACAATCATGGTGCATCTAATGGTGTATTAAATTTGATGAAATCTGGTAATGAATAAAGCATTTTCAAAATATTTTTGGAGCTCCACTTCCAACGCAACAGCATAAGCTCTGCTGATCCCCTGTGAAGTGAAACTAGTGAAAATTATTGTTTTAAAAACCTCTTAACAGGACCTGAAAACTGTCTCAAGGACAAATAGCACATGAATAAATGCCTATATGAGAAAATCTATAAAAATTCAGTGAGAAAGCTGAGAGCACAGTATTTGAACCAAGATCATTCCCCCCTCTTTTCTCCCCAACCAGTGAGGTAGAGACCTCACTCCAGACTACAGCAGCCAAGAACACAGGGCTCCCTTTGCTCTCCAGCTCCAAGCTGCAGGATTTCATCCTGGGAGAAGCAGGACTTCAACTTTTCTCCTGCTGCCCCCAAATGCCTGTAGCTAAGGTTAAGTCCCAGGCAAGTGCAATTGAGATGTGGGGGCTCTCTTACTCTACCCAACCCCTGCTGATGGAATGCAGGCTCTACATTGGGTGCATGCAGTGTGCTGAGAATATTAGGGCCCTGACAGCCCTTCCTGGGCTTGTAAGGCAGTGGTTCCACCCCTGGAATAGCACAGCCACAAGAACCTCAACCTCTTGGCCCCTCCACTTAGTGCTCAGCCCCTAGAGTGGGGCTGCCACTCAGAGAAAAACCTGTCATTATCCTCAGTCCCACCTCAAGACTCAGAAATCCTGCCTGGTACCATAAAACAGTTCCTGATCTCTTCCCAAAGAAGGGGCTTCATTTGCAACAGCGCCTGGAGAATTTTGGGCTTGTGGTGAGAGAATGGGGAGAATTGTGGATCTAGTGAAGATACGGCCTAGAGTGTGGGAGCTAGCTTGCAGGAGAGAACCTGCAAAAGAGGTGGAAAGGAGTCCTCCTGGGGTCAGAAAAATATCGGACACTGACCTTAGAAACTATTTCTTCAAAGGAATCACAATTTTATCATAGAATACATTATAGGTGGAAAAGAAAAAAAAGGAACCACCATTTAGTTTGTAGCAGAATTTATGCCCCAGGGCATTGGTGTAAACAATAAAACAATCAGCTGGTAATTAGTGTAGGAGTCTTAGAAAGAGTAAAGGGGTATCCCAGGGTGAGTGTGGGCAAACCAAGAGCTGAAGCTGCGGCCAGCCACTAAACAAATAAACCAGCAAATAACAACAGGTGAAGGGGACCTTAGTACCCCAGGTTGCTAAAATACATTTCTCTAAAATGTCCAGTTTCCAATAAAAAAATTATGAGATGTGCAAAGAAACAGAAAAATACAACCAATACACCAAACGGGGAAAAAAAACCAAGCAGGTAACAGAAACTGCCTGTGAGTACAACTAGATGAACTAGATGTTGGATTTATTTATTTATTTTTATTTTTTAAGATGGAGTCTAGCTCTGTCACCCAGACTGGAGTACAGTGGGGGCGATCTCGGCTCACTGCAACCTCCGCCTCCTGGGTTCAAGCAATTCTCCTTGCCTCAGCCTCCCCAGTAGCTGGGATTACAGGTGCCCACCACCACGCCCAGCTAATTTTTTATTTTTAGTAGAGATGGGATTTTGCCATATTGGCTAGGCTGGTCTCGAACTCCTGACCTCAGGCGATCCACCTGCCTCAGCCTCCCAAAGTGCTGGGATTACAGGCATGAGCCACCATGCCCAGCCAGGATTTATTTTTAAAAGGATTTCAAATCAGCCATTATAAATAAACTCACAGAACTAAAAGAAAATTTAATTGAAGAAGTAAAAGAAGGTATGACAAAGTGGCATCAAATATAAACTATTAATAAGAAGAGAGAAATTTTAAGAAAGAACGAAATGGAAATTCTGGAGTTGAAAAGTACAATAGAAGTAAAAATTCACTAGAGGACCTTGTGATGGTTAATTTTATGTGTCAATCTCACGGGGCTAAGGAATGCCCAGACAGCTGATAAAACATTATTTCTGGATATGTCTGTGAAGGTATTTCTAGATGAGATTAGTATTTGAATCTGTAGACTGAGGAAAGAACATGACCCTCACCAATGTGGGTGGGTATCGTCCAATCTACTAAGAGCCTGAGTAGATCAAAAAGGTGGAGGAAGGGCAACTTTGTTTCTGGTCTGAGCTAGGATATCCCACCCTCAGACATCAGCCCAGCTGGTCCTCGGGCCTTTGAACTTGAACTGGGACTTTCACCATTGGCTCCCTTATCCTCAGGCCTTTGGACTGAGACTGAATTACACCACCAGCTTTCCTGGTTCTCCAGCTTGCAGGCGGCAGATTCTAGGACCTCTCAGCCTCCATAATCACATGTGCCAGTTCCTATAATAAATCTTGTGTGTGCGTGCACATGTGTTTGAGTGTGTGTGTGTGTGTGTGTGTGTTCTGTTTCTCTGATGAACCCTAACTAATACATGCCTCAAGAATAGATTTGTACACAATGGAGAAAGAATTAGCAAACTTGAAGGCAGGTCGGTAGAGATTATATAAGCTCAAGAGGGAGAAAAAAATGAAAAATGAACACAGCCTCAGAGAAAGGTGGAACACCAATAAGCACACCACCACATGTGTAATGGGAATACCAGAAGGAAAGGAGAGAGAAAGGAGAAGAAAATAATTCAAAGAAATAATGACTTAATACTTCCCAAATTTACTGAAGAACAATAAGCTATTCATCCAGGAAGCTCAACAGACTCCAAACAGGGTCAATAAAAGAGACCCACAAACACATGGTGGAAATGAAAAAAGTCAAACACAAGAAAATCTTGAAAGCTGCAAGAGAAAAATGACATTACTTACAAGGGAACTTCCATAAGATTAATAGCTGACTTCTCAGCAGAAATAATAGAGGACAAAGGCAATGCAATCACACAGTGTTCAAAACCAACAAAAGTCCTTGTTAACCAAGAATCCTATGTCCAGAAAAGCTATCTTTCAAAAATAAAGGTGAAATAAAGACATACCTAAATAAACAAAAACTGAGGGAATTCATTGTTAGCAGACATGCCTTATAAGAAACACTAAGGGAAATTCTTCAGGCTGAAAGGAAGTTACCCCAGATGGTGGTTCAAATCCACACAAAAAGCAGCAATAATTATGAAATTAGAATATACACTATTAATGTATTTTTTTCTTCTTTCTGTTAACGATTTAAAAAGTCAATGGTATAAAATATTTATGTAATTCATTGCTGGGTCTATAACGTGTGGAAATATATCAGTAATATAATTGCCAGTAATAGCACAGAGGAGGTAGGTGGAAATAAAACTGTAATGGGCTAAGGAAATAATAACACATAAAAATAATAATTATAACAATATATTGTTTGGTTTGCAACATTAACAGATGTAATAAGTACAACAATACCCCCCAAAAGGGTAAAAAGGAACAGACCTACATAGGAGCAACACTCCTATATATTACTAAAATTAAGCTAGTATAAATCTAAAGCTGATTCTGTTGAGAGACTACTAAAAATACTCAAAAGTAGTGAAAAAGTCATTAATGAAATTAAAATGCTATATTAGAATTCAATTAATGCAAAAAAAAAGCAATAAGGGAGGAACACAGGAACAAAAAAGACATAAGGCACAGGAAAAACAAAAAATCAGATGACAGAAATGAATCCAGTTATATTAGTAATAGCATTAAGTATGTATGCATATGCAACCCAATCAAAACGCAGAGGGTGTCAGACTGGATTTTAAAAAGCATGATCCAATTATATGTTGTTTACAGGAGACACACAGTAAATTCAAAGATAAACAGATTGAAGTAAAAGTATAAGAATGTGTACAGGTCTCATCACTTTGAAAAAGTCTGGTAATTCCTCAAATGATTAAACATAATAGAGTTATGATAGGACCCAGCAATTCCACTCCTTGGTAAATACCCAAGAAAAATAAAAACACATGTCCACACAGAAACATGTACCTGAATGTTTATAGCAGCATTATTCATAATAGCCAAAACGTAGAAACAACCCAAAGTTCACCAGCGGATGGATGGATAAACAGTGTGGTACATCCATACAAGGGACTATTATTCAGCTGTAAGAAGGGAGGAAGCACACATCCTTTCTGTGTACGTGAAGCAACCCCACTGTGAAGTGATCTGCCACAACACGGGTGAACATTGCATAGATTACACTAAGTGAAAAAAGCCAGTCACAAAAGACCACATACTGTATGATTACATTTATCTGAAAATCCAGAATAGGGAAATCTATAGAGACAGAAAAATTAGTGGTTGCCTAACCCCTAGGAGGGGAGGGGAGGGAGGTAGGGATTAGGACAGTAATAGCTAAAGGGTATAGGATTTCTTTTTGAGGTGATAAAAATGCTCTAAAATTGACTGTGGTGATGGATACATATCTGTGAATATACCAAAAACCGACTGATTGTACACTTTAAATGGATGAATTGTATAGTATGTAAATTATATCTCAAGCTGTTTAAAACTGTTTAAATACATTTTTGCTGAAGGAATCAATCATGTATCTAACAAATGTTTACTACATGTTTACTAAGCATCACTGGATCAGGCACTGCAAAAATAATACCAGTCTCTGTCCCCATGGACAGGGACCCGTGACTGCTTCATCAATCTCACCCAGGGTCTAGATTGCGCCTGACCACAGCAGGAGGTCCATCAGGAGCCATGCTCCTCCTGGCAAGACAGACACGTAACTACTCCTGCCCCACTCTCACAACACCCACCTACAACTGTCCCAATTTGTCCATTCCACATAATTGGAAATCTGCCTCATTTTTATGTGGGAATCCAGTATACCCCGCTGAAACTGTTACTCTGTCTTGCACCACAGCTTCCCTGGCAGGATTCCTGAGATACTCCCCAACTTATGCCAATCCCATGGACCAGCTCATGTATTCTTTCAAGTGGTGAATGAGGACTATGTCAAAGCAGTACTTCTAGGAACTGTACTTGTAAGATTCTCCCCAGGGCCTGAAAGCTTAAGGAGATGAATAACTCCTCCCTTCTCAGGCCCAGTCCCAAGGTGCAACTTGCGCCAGCAGCATGCGCCAGCAAGATAGCAGAAGCAGGAGGAGAGCCGGCCGGAAGACACGTACCCCTGAAGATTGAGAGAGGGGTCACCTGGGTACAACGTAGCAGTTACGTCAGACTAGGACACTTCTTATTTACAGGAGACTATAAAACCTTTGCCCCATCCTTGCTTGGGGCTGACACCATTTTAGGCCTCAGCCTGCCTGCTCATTAAAACAGCATGTTGCTCCACACCTCCTCGTGTTGTCTGTTGGTGCGCTGTTGGGGTTTGAATCCATACAAGAACCTTGCAGTACTGTGATTACCAGCTAAACACTGAGAGGGCCTGAGTCCTATGTGCTGGTATTAACGAGCATCTCACAATTCCAAAGGATGAATACTCTACTCCCCTTCAGAACTTGTAGCTGCACACGCAGGTCCCTGGACCTGATATGCCCAGTGTTCCCCACTCTGCCTGGCTTGGCCTTCACATTCATCCTTCATATTCTACCTCCTGTGTAAAGCACCTGAAGAATTAGTAGCCTCTGCTTCTGCTTTTCTGAGCAACAGACCAATAGCTAGGAGCATAAGCTCTTGAATGAGGCTGCCTGAATTCAAACTTTAACTCCACTACTTAACATATGACCTTGGTAAGTTTCTCAGTCACTCTGCCTTGGTTTCTCCATTTACAGAAAGGGGATAATATCTCCAATTGTTGTTATGAGGATTAAAATACATATAATACACTTACAGGCAAGCACTGTTATTGTTTCTATCTAACTCTATCTGATGGTAAATTTGTTTACATGCATCTTTCCCTGACCAGTCCCTGAGCTGCTCAAAGGCATAAAATTACTTATTGCTTTTCTTATTAATAGCATATAATATAGGGCTAGGTGCAAGATAGGTACATGTAAGGGACCCATGAATGAATGAAAAAACAACAAAAAAAAACCATTAGTTTAGCAACATCAAAGCTTATAG
This sequence comes from Homo sapiens, assembly GCF_000001405.40. Taxonomy (NCBI): domain Eukaryota; kingdom Metazoa; phylum Chordata; class Mammalia; order Primates; family Hominidae; genus Homo; species Homo sapiens. Next base: position 98,724,252 of record NC_000002.12, read on the forward strand.
AAACCACACTTTCAAAATAAAAATCAGAGCACGTGGTTTATGGGTATATTAGAATTGAGTCTCTCAAATCAGGACTTCTCTGGAAAACCCAGGCTGTCTGACTGCCAGAACTATCTAGAAAGAATCCAAATGCCCAACAGTTTGAGTGGCTACAGAAACGATAACATTTAACACAGAAGATTTTATGTAACCATAACCAGAAACCTGTGTTGATACCTGGAAGAGTCTGGAAAAAACACCAAGTAGAAAATCAGAGCAGAAGTTTGCAAAGAAGAATTATGGAGCTATTCAGAGAATGATGATCAAAGTTAACAGACTGTATGTGTGCATCTAACACTGCGTGGAGAAAGAATCTTTATTTTTTTAATTAATTTTCATTCTAAAGACAGCTTAATAATTATGCTTATTATAAGGCCTTTACATAAGAAACAAGGAAAATTAAATGGAGATTCCAAGACTTGCCATCTTTCAAATAAGGCACAGTGAGAAGGGTCAAGTTTCTCCACTACTATAATTCTCTGAATAGGTAAGTTTCCTACAAAAAAAAAAAACCCATATACTTTTCTGCTCATCAACCCTCTTATTTCATAAACAGACTTTTAATAGCCAGTCATTTGTTTTGTTCATGTCAGGGACAATCAATAGTTTGATTAACTATTCAAACTACTTCTTGATTGGCCGGGCATGATGGCCTGCGCCTGTAGTCCCAGCTACTCCTGTGGCTGAGGCACAAGAATTGCCTGAATCCAGGAGGCAGAGGTTGCAGTGAGCCGAGGTCTTGCCACTGCACTCTAGCCTAGGCAACAGAGTGAAACTCTGTCTCAAAAACAAACAAAAACAAAGCACCTCCTGATTAAGCCTTCTCATTTAGTACAATAAAAACATGAATTCTAAAATGTACATATTTGTATATAAAGCAAAAAGGACCTTAGCAAGTTTTTCATTCATTTTCCCCCAAGAGTTCCCCCAAAATTAGAGCCCAACTCAGAGAAAGACAAAGAAGGGGAAAAGACTCTACTTGCTCAAAGCACAGAGCATGTTTTCACTTATATCAGATTTTTAACATATACATGCACATACAGATATATACATATGCAATATGTATATATAGACATGGATGTAAACACACATCAGAAAAAAATAAGGTTACAAAGCAATCTTTTCAGTTGTCTTCATGAGTCAATAAAACAACATCAGCAACAGCAGCTTCAAATAGCCCAGGTGATGACAGATATTCTAACAAACCAAATATGCAACCACCTCAACATTTCCATCTTTCTTCTCATCATCAACATTCCTTAGATTAATCAAAGGAAAGGAGACAAGTAAGAAGTATGGGTAGGAATTTACTTCAAGTAGTTTCTCTTAAAAAAAAAAAAAAGCAAATAAATCCATTATCCTAAAATTATATAAACACGGTTCAACAGTCTAAACATAATTAATTTTTAAAAAATGTTTTAATATTCCAATCAGAATTTCTACTTATCCCTTCTTAAATACTTTTGCCTAAGGAGTAATCTGTCAATGCATGCAGTTTAAATCATTAACTACATAGCACCCAATCATTAGCATAATTAGCATGTAAATCTCACGAAGGCACTAATTGTGTCCTTTTAAGTGTTTTATGCAACACTCGGTACAAGGAAGCTTATTAAACACTTAATTATGTTTAGTAAAAAGAACAAAATGCCAAAACGAAAGTCTTTATTATTCAACTTGGCTGTCTTTTAGAATATAAAACACTGATCAGTATCTGTTTCTCCAAGTACAATTATAAGAAACTGAAAACAAAACAAGCCCCACTGGAATTAGAAATTCTGTGTCCTCTGTCCAAGAATACTGTTTCATTTTTATATCAGAAAGAAACTGCCAGCAGATAGCATGTAACATGCAGATTGCCAGGGTATTTGACCTAAGCATTTAGGCACCTTAACCAAGCAAAAACCCTAGTACATTTCATGCACATTTTCCGAGTCATTTTCCTTACCTTTCCCATTTTGCCATGTAGTATACCAAGACAAAGTAAGGAAGGAAGTGATAAATGCTAAAGCAGTGGCTACAGTTCCATTGCGGAGCCTCATCTCATTTCACCATCACACTGGTCCATATGTTTATGATGACAACAACCAGGACTGTTTTCTTTTTACCCTGAAAGTCAACTGAATGCAGTACTCCTGGCTCTAGGCCAATAAAAATCAATAAGAGAGGTTCATTTCAGATGATCTGCAGGAGGAGCCTAGCAGCAATGCTGTTCACAACTGTACTCGGGATCGTCTTTGCGGTCTTCACACGCTGATGCCTCGGCCTTTTCCCTTCCTATTCAGGGGAAAAGAGAAAGTCAAGCTCATTCGGTAATGCAAAATGTAAGTTTCTTCATTTACTATTCATCATTATAAACAGACTTTTGGCAGGGCTAAATTGCATCTATAAAGATTATCCCTACATCGAAACTACTCATTTAACATACTGGAATTATATGGTCCTTCTCCTCCTGGAAAAAAATACAAAACAGCTTCAAACTATATTCCCTCCTCATTGGTTTTGTTTTGTCTGTAAAAAGAAAGTTATGGTGACTGATTTTAAAGGGAAAAGTGGAGCTCACAGATTCCAAGATGAGAACTCTAATGATCACACAATGGTTCCTGAGTAACATAATCTTCACTCTCTCCAGTTTTCCTATTGCACAATAATAGGAAATTTTTTTAATAAGAAAATTGACAGAATACAATATATAAGGGTCAAAAGACCTGGACCCTTGACCCAGCTCTGTCATTACTTACATGATTTGGGGCATGCCACTTATCTAGGTCTCAAGGTTTCATTCACAAAATGAGGTAACAATCTGTCCTGTGTCCTCTTTCACATATTGTCATAAATTATTAAAAGGTTACAGTTATAACTGCTGTTTATCACTGTCATAAAATAAATGTCGTTTTTCCAGTGACTAACCCACTCCCAGGGTGTAAACTGGAACTATTTAAGCATTTAGAAAATGCAGCAATCCAGCCAGGATACTGTACACCTTAGGCTCTATCACTCTGCATTGCTTTAAATCAAGAAATCTGGGAAATCACCACTGATCGAACAAAGCTGTTGGGAAAAGGGAAAGAAATGAAGTCTTAGAAGTACTTAAGCACAGCATTCAGCATATAATAGGTTCTCAAAAAATGTCAACTGTACTAAAAACCAAACTTTTTTGGTTAATTGAACAACAACAAAACCAGCCAGCTACTGGTTCCAGTCCACTCTATGCATGGTCAGTCTCAATCCCTGGAGGCACGCCAGGCCCTCCAAGATGTGAACAGATTCCTGGTAGCCTCAGGAGGTGCCACAGGATGCACCTGGTAATATACTGACACTGTAGTGGGGGAGTTAATATACCTCGAAAAATGGCCAGCAGTTCCAAGGGAAAATTCTCTCTGGGGAAGAGCACAACCGATTCAAGCAGCCATTTGCAGGCAATTCAGAAATTGCCACCACCACTGCTTCTTAACACTGAACACTACTAGAAATTCCCCCTAGTAAAGAAAGATCACAGGGGCATAGTACTAATAATGACAGCCACTACAACTTATGAAATGTTTCCTATGTGCCTGATCCACCACATGGTTTAAATCTTCACAAAATCGTTCCTATGAGGCAGGCATTATTAACCCTGTTCTACACACAAGGAAATGAATCCAGAGAAAGAACTCGAATTTGTTTGTCTCCAAAGTCCAAGCTCTTAGCTGCTACACTTTCCCTCTCAAATGAGGCCTCCTGCACCTGGCAATATGAAGAGAAGTTCCAGGGATACTCCAAGTATCAGGTAAAACTGCAGAATTATACCCAACTGTAAGTGTAAATTAAAAAAATAAATTATATAACACACACTGATCTACTAAGGAGTAAGTTGCAAAATTCATGGAAATTTTCAAAGTGTATGTTTATACAACTTTAAACAAATCTCCACTTCCTGTAGCTTTTGGCTAATACCTCACCACAACCCTCCACCAAACTATGCCTGTTAACCCTCAGACAGCAGCTCTACCTTCCACATAATATTCTAGAAGCACCTAACCTCTTTTACTACCTGAACACAAAGAGATCTAAAAATATTCTCATGCAGAAGTTATCATTGTTCTCTAAGATTGAACTTATTCACCTTCTACAGTTAAGACAAGTTAACATCAAACATGCCCACGTCTACAGTTTAGAATTAAAATCTTCACAGTGGCCAGGTGTGGTGGCTCATGCCTGTAATCCTAGCACTTTGGGAGGCTGAGGCAGGCAGATTACCCGAGGTCAGGAGTTCAAGGCCAGCCTGGCCAACATGACGAAACCCTGTCTCTATTAAAAATACAAAAATTAGCCAGGAGTGGTGGCAGGTGCCTGTAATCCCAGCTTACTCGGGAGGCTGAGGCAGGAGAATTACTTGAACCTGGGAGGCAGAGGTTGCAGTGAGCCGAGATCACACCACTGCACTCCAGCCTGGGTGACAGAGACTCAGTTTGAAAAAAAAAAAAAACTTCATAGCAAGACTGCTCTAATTGTCTTAAATCAATAAGCACCCAATAATGAATTCTGATTATAAAAACACGGGTGATAATTCTATGAATTATATAACTTGGAACATTAATCCCGGTGTGGCATTATATTAAAATACTTATAACTTTCAGCTGCTATCTACTTAGCCCTATTTTACTTGAGAAAGAATTTTGTTCTAGTAAAAGATCTAAAAAGCATACAGGTTATTAGAGTAAGCACTCAATTCATAATAACGGGGAGGTAGAGCGCACATCATATAGTTAAGGATATTTTAAAAGTTTTACTAAATACAAATAAAGCTTGTAAAAACATTCCGTAGAAATGCATAGAGACAAGTAAATGAACTCTAAAACCAAAGTAAACTATTGATATACTACCCCTAATATATGAAAAAAAAAAAATACTGGATCCAGTAAGTTATGAAACTCTGAAGATACTTACAATAAATTCTACTAGCAAATAAGCCCTGAAATTTTGCAAGAAAAATATGCGTGTTTTACTCAGTAAGAATGTAGTCATACATTTTTAATTAGGGTTTCCCAGCTAATAAGTTTAACTGCACGGCACAAGTGAAGAAACTCTTCGGACAAGAGTAAAACCAAGGATCTACTCACTCTTCAATTATGAGACATAATTCACAGGCTGGCTTGTAAGACACAGGTGACCCACATTTTTATTAGTGTCCACATTTGCAAAAATTTTAATCTAGCCCCTTAATATTCTCGGAGACTATAATCTAACACGTTTGAATCTTTAACAACAACAAAAAAAGGTAGTGGCTAAAATTGCTAGTCATTTCTCCACCCTCCCAAAGGTGAATGGAACTTTCAACTCTAGACATCAGACTGTTTTGTTAGCAATCCTTTAAGGGCTTCAGTCTTCATTTTATTATTGGATACAAAACCTTTACTTATTTTAAAGTGTTCTCTGAAATACTCAATATAGTCCACGGCTGAGAACACTTTGCCGAACGTTTGGCATCTTCCTTAATCAGCATCCCACAGACAGGGTAGAGGTGACTTAAGAATGAAAGGCACAATAATCCCTGATATCTGGAATCAATAAAATCCATGACGTAAGCCTATATAACTTTACACACCACAATTGTGGCAAAATTCATTTATTTGCCATTTATAAACGGGTCAGTAGTTTTCTTTAATACAGCTTACGTAATGTCATCGCCCAGTGCGTTTTCGGGTTTACACGTGTGGGTTAAAGAAATCTATGTCAAGATAACCTGTTCATCAAACTGTTTTTTAAACATTCAGAAAAAGAAACATAAACCACAAAACGCATATTTTTATTCTAAATTTACAGTCTACGTTCCAACGAACGACTGTCATTATCTTTTATCAAATAATCTGTCCAACAGCAAAAGCACAACAGCAAAATACGTGGAAAGCATTCAAAGCATACATTGTGCCTGCTTCTATTTTCCAATGCGGAATGTAGGCAATGAAACCGCTCCAGAGAAACACACTGTTGCGAGGAATAAAGGCGGGTGTGCAAGTGGCTCGACTGCCAGCTCAGAAAAGCTCGCCTCCGAGATGTCACCTGGCACACTTGGTGGAGTCACCGAGACCCAGCCTCAGGGTCCTACTGCAGCTTCCTCATTACGGAGAGAGCTGAGGCCTGGGGAAACGGGGGCTGCTCTTTCACGCGGGCCCCGCAGCCCTTCACTTTGTGTGAAAATTCCCTGCGAAGGCTGCACGGCCGGTCCCCTCGGGAGCAGCCCCTGCCCCTGCGCCTCGGACCGTCCGGCCCCGCCCACCTGCCCCGCGGCCCCCGCGAAAGCGCCGACTCCCGCGCAGCCCCCGGGTCCCACAGGCAGCTGTCCCTCCCCCTCCGCACCCCCCGGATCAGCACTTTGCTCCACTTTCCCCCAAAGTCGCCGAGCCCCGCCACGCCGGGGAGCGCCAGGAACGCACCAGGCGCCGAGCCGGCCGCAGAGAGGGCGCGCGACCCCGAGGGGTGCGCGGTGCGGGGCAGGGACGCTGGGAGGACGGCCCGGCCCGCGCCCCGCCGCCCGCCCCCGAGGCCCAGCCGCTCCCGGAGCCGGCCCCGCGCCCAGAGGCGCCAACAGCTCCCCCGCACAGAGCTCCGGCCGGGCCGCGGCGCAGTAGGCTCCTTTACCAGCAGGTGGATCTCCCGCAGCCCGGGGCCGCCAGCCCGGCCGCCGGCGCCGCCCCCAACTCCCGCGCCCTCCGCGCAGCCGCCCCGCGCCCCCTCCCGCCCCCGCGCGCCGCCGCTGCCGCCGCGAGCCCCTCACCCGCCGCTGGCGTCGCCGTGCTCCCGCGGCTGCCGGCGGAGCTGCTGTAGCCGCCGCCGCCGCTGCCGCCGCCGCTGCGGGCCGCCCCGCCCGCCCCGCCGGCTCCGCCCCCGCCGCTGGAGCGCCCGCCCCGCCCCGCCCCGCCGGGCCGCCCCGACCCCGCCAGCCATTGGCCGGCCCCGCGGGCCCCGCGCCCCGCGCCCCGCGCCCCACCAGTGGCCCGCGCGACTGTCACTTAGGGGCGCCGCCACGCAGCCTGCGGAGCGTTCGGGAGGCTGGCCCGGCTCATCGGTGTCACGGCGAGGTCCGGAGCGGAGCCGCGGTCTCGGGTCCCAGCTCTGGGCGCCGGCCTGCTCCCCGCCGCCCCGCTGCCACATCTGGCTGAGATCCTCCCGGCGCGTGCAGGGACCGCTCCGGCGGCCAACAAAGGCCCGGGCGAGCCCTCGGCCTGCGCCTCGGCGCGCGACCCGACCACCCGGGGCTGCCCCAGCTCCCAGGCGCCTGCCTGCCTCGACCCGGCCCCTTCCCAGCGGCGCGCCCCGCTCCGGGCCGCCCAAACTGGGCGGCCTCCCCGGGGACAGGTCCCGGGCCCAGCCCCACAGGAGCTCCCGAGGCCCCGCGGACGGTCGCGACAGCCCCAACTTCCCGGTGAGAACCCCGCGAATCGGCCAGAAGGGCTGATTTCAGCAACTGGGAAGGAGAAAAACAACTAGGGTTTCAACGCACATCGTTGGGTGCTAATGCCCCTGATTTTCCACTATGCCCCGTTTTCTTGAACCCCATGTCCTTATCTGTCGCCGTTTCACAAGGTTAGAGGTTAACTTCAAAGGCAAAAAACTGACTCGTTTGTAGAAAGCCTGGGTGGTCTGTCCCTGTTTTTCATAGTATCCATAGGACTTGTGCTAACAGTAACTACCCCTGGGTACGTCCTCTTTTGAATACTTAACTGTATAGCAGGCAACCGTATAGCAGGCATGGGTGTTAGATCGTTTATTGCATATCTCATGTTTTAAATTTATTCCCCATTTTTCATAAGAGGAAACTAGCTGAGAGGTGAAAGGGCTTGCCCAAGGTCACACAGCTGGTAATGGTTCAAAAACAAGGGATGTGTTAACTTTATTGCCGCAATAATCCTTACAGCAATCCTACCGAGTAACCTGTAAGGGAATTGAGGGGCCAAAGATCAAGGAGGCAGCCTTGTTCCTGCCAAACTCCCAAAGTAATAAGTAGATTCTTTTCAGAAAACAGTAATTTCAATAATCGAAAACTCTTAAGAGGCATCAATCAGAACAGGGTCCCCTCCCCACCTCCGATAAATTCCATTATTTTTATCTCAAGATAAGAATAATTAATAATCAGCTAGAACATGCATGGAGTTATCAGCCTTCCCATGTTGAGGTTTCTCCATGACGGCTAATTTAAAACTTCAGGAAGAGACACGTAACATCCCTGCTCCCATAGTCTCTTACTAGTTTAGGGGAACCATACCAAAAGATCTGTCCACTGCCCAGCACTGTGGACACAACTTGGGGGATCACAGCCATGATATCCAATGACAGCTCTTCCCTCTACTTTGAGTGTGTTTTCTCTCTACTTCCGGTTTGGCTGTGTCCCCACCCAAATATCATCTTGAATTGTAAATCCCACAATTCCTGTGTGGTGGGAGGAACCTGGTGGGAGGTAATTGAATCATGGGGGAGGGTCTTTCCCATGCTGTTCTCGTGATAGTGAATAAGTCTCACGAAATCTGATGGTTTTAAAAAAGGGAGTTTTGCTGCACAAACTCTCTTTGCCTGCCACCATCCATGTAAGAAGTGACTTGCTCCTCCTTGCCTTCCACCATGATTGTGAGGCCTCCCCTGCCATGTGGAACTGTAACTCCATTGAACCTCTTTTGTCCGTTGCCCAGTCTTGGGTATGTCTTTATCAGCAGCATGAAAACGGACGAATACATTGGGGACCTGAAAGCCAGGTTTCCTGTATTCTATGACAAAGCCATTGCCAAGTAGCAAGCTGGCAATTTGATTCATGACCAGATGTAAACAGAGGTAAAGACTGAGACCATTCCAAGGTAAAGCTTTTAATACATTGTTGGATATATCCTGCCTAAAATATCTCCTAGGAATAGATGATTCTAGGCTTTGCTATTACAGTGCTCTTAATGACAGACAAGCAAACTACTTCTTGCAGAGGAAGAAAGTCCTGCCATTTGATAACATCATGGAGAATGCCCCCAAGCCATTTTCATGAATTACCCAAAAGACCAAATGGAACAGGAGCTATTATCCCTATTTTATTCACGAAGAAACTGAGGCCCTGAGAAATTAAGACATTTGACAGATACAAACAGTAATTTAGGCAATTAGTAAATGTTTGAATCAGAGTTCAAATCCAGGTCTGTTTGATTCCAGAGCCCCTACATCACCCCTCCAGACTATCTCTCTGCTCACATCTTCAGCAAGTTACAAAATTTTGTTGAGTGGATGAATATTTTTACATATATTTCCCAGCTGGGCACAGTGGCTCATGCCCATAATCCCAGCACTTTGGGAGGCAGAGGTAGGAGGATTGCTTGAGCCCAGGAGTTCGAGACCGGCCGGGGAAACAGAGAGAGACCCATGTCTTTAAAAAAATAAAAATTAAAAATTAGCCTGGTGTGCATGCATCAGTAGTCCCAGCTACTGGGAAGGCTGAGGCATGAGGATCATTTGAGCCCAGGAGTTCCAGGCTGCAATGAAATATGATCATGCCACTGCACTACAGCCTGGGTGACAGAGTGAGACCCTGTCTCTCTCTCTCTCTCTCTCTCTCTCTCTCTCTCTCTCTCTCTCTCAAAAGAAAGAAAAAAAAAAGCCAGGTGTGGTGGCTCACTCCTGTAATCCCAGCACTTTGGGAGGCTGAGGCGGGCAGATCACCTGAGGTTCAGGAGTTCAAGACCAGTCTGACCAACAGTGTGAAACCCTGTCTCTATTAAAAATACAAAAATTAGCTGGGCATGGTTGTGCGTGCCTATAATCCCAGCTACTTGGGAGGCTGAGGCAGGAGAATCGCTTGAACTCAGGAGGCAGAGGTCACAGTGAGCCAAGATCGCGCCATTGCACTCCAGCCTGGGCAACAAGAGTGAAACTCCATCAAAAAAAAAAAAAAGATGTTTCTCTTCACCTTCTCCAGTTTTTTCTCTTAGTGAAGGAAGGAAATGAAAGCATTTACAGACATTCTATAAGCAGAGGCATATGTCAGAGGAGAAAGGAATAGGGGGAAGGACAAACTTCAGTTATAGACTCCACCGGCTTATTCAGATAAAAAGCGGAATTTCCCCTGCACTCTGGGTAGTGGAGGAAGCACAGCAGAAGACAAAAAGTGTACAGGAAAAACACAACTGCTTTCACTTGGAGGCTTTTTTGATACTTCGTTGCTGCTTCAACTGGCAGCAGAAGGGCAGGTTTTGGAAAATAGGGTTACACTTATCTCAAACCATATACATTGTAGCTCAGGAAAGTCTGGATTTCAGTGAGTTGTCCCAAGAAACTGGAATGCCATAGAATATATTATTCCAAGGTATAGGGTATAATTGGTTGATGATTCATGTTAACTTAGCAGAGTTTATGATCCTGGATTTTCCAACTAAGTCCATAGTATCTGTTAATAATCAAAGACAATCCATCCAAACCCCACTGAATCCCATTCCATATCTTTTTCTCTTTTTAATATTGTTGATGATGATTCTCCTCCTCTATCACTTCCTTTTTATTTATTCTCTACTTCTACAGTTTCTGTTTCTGCCTTTATTTCTCAGTGGAATTGTACCCAAGAGGTTCTGCCAGAACTTTACCATTTATTTTGTAGTCTGTCCCCAACAAAGCTTCTATGTTGAGGCTGTTTTCCTTTCCACACACATTTTTGCTGTTCCACAAACTTTTTCTGAGTGCCTATGATTACAGAGGCAGCTGTTATCTAACCACAAAGTGCTCACAGTAGAAGAAATGGGTAAGTAATTAAACCATAGTACAATGCTACAAACGCACAGTTCTGGGACAGCCGATAGGATTAAGCCATCTGGGGGCAAGGAAGCCTTCCTGGAAGTGATATCTGAGCTAAAAGCAGAGTACACACAGGGAGTGAATCTTTTCCTTTTATCTCTTTGATGGTAAATGGCTGTTGGTGGGGCCATGCCTATAGCAGTCAGCTTCTAAGAATTCAAGCACATAATCTCTAGTTTTCTTTTCTACCCCAGCCCCCTCCATGCATTAACAATCAAGCTTGCATTATTTATGAATATTTATAAAGATTGTGTTTTCTGGCTTCTTGGCTACTAGCTCTAGTGAGATTCTTTCCCCGACCCAGTGTAAAGCCTGCTAGAGGAATCACATCAGGAGGTTCTCCCTGGCTTTTTATTTTATTTTTATTTTATTTTATTTTATTTTATTTTATTTTATTTTATTTTATCTTATTTTATTTTATTTTGAGATGGAGTTTTGCTCCTGTTGCCCAGGCTGGAGTGCAATGGCGCAGTCTTGGCTCACCGCAACCTCTGCCTCCCGGGTTCAAGTGATTCTCCTGCCTCAGCCTCCCAAATAGTTGGGATTGCAGGCATGTGCCACCATGTCCAGCTAATTTTGTATTTTTAGTAGAGATGGGGTTTCTCCATGTTGGTCAGGCTGGTTTCAAACTCCCGACCTCAGGTGATCTGCCCACCTCGGCCTCCCAAAGTGCTGGGATTATGGGTGTGAGCCACCGCGCTCGGACCTCCCTGGCTTTTTTAAATGTATATGCACAAACGGTAGGAGACCTCTCCATTGTAATTGATCAACAGTGCACTCAATCACTTTCATCCAGAAACTAGATAAACTGGGACCAAGGTGAACAGTGTAGAGTCTATTAACTCTTTGTTAGATGCAGAGTGTTTCAGACACAGCATACAAACTATTTCTGTTGTATAATCAGACAGGGCACGGGAGGCCCAAGAAATTAAGGAGAGAAAATTCAAACAGAACCAACCACTGTGTATATTCAACTCTAGGTGGATGTTAAGTTTCATCCAGATGAAAGACCTTAGATTTCTAACAGAACTGAATTATTATTTTTTTATTTTTATTTTTTGAGACAGGGTTTCACACCCATCACCCAGGCTGGAGTGCAGTGGTGTGATTTCAGCTCACTGCAAGCTCCATGTCCCAGGCTCAGTGATTCTCTTGCCTCAGCCTCCCAAGTAGCTGGGACTACAGGCACACACCACCATGCTTGGCTAACTTTTGTATTTTTTGTAAAGACAGGGTTTTGTCATGTTGCCCAGGCTGGTCTTGAACTCCTGAGTTCAGGTGATATGCCCACCTTGGCCTCCCAAAGTGCTGAGATTACAGGTGTGAGCCACTGTGCCCAGCAAAATTATTCTTATTTTTAAATTTTTATTCTTCCCCCCACACCTTTGCCCAAAGAGAGAACCCTTGAAAGATGCCTTTTCTATTTCACTTTCATACCACTGGGGAAGATGTTATCTATCAAGTGACTCATACAAATGTCAGGTTGTGTGGCTACACAATTATGAAATTGTAAGTGTTTACCATGCTTAAGTGTTGTGGCTGTTGGTATTTACATAATGTACACAAGGCATTCCTAAAATTTTTACAGAAAACTCTAGAGAATCCAACCTGTCTTAGTGGGGGACAGGCTACCCTGCATGCATTGTTAGAACAAACAACAATGCTGAGTGGCAGCAAAAGTCTCTGTCAAGATGGTTTAGAAAGCTTGAAGGGATCACCCCTCCCTTGTAAGGGATGTAGCCGCATCGTTCAAGCTGACTCACTTATTTTCATTATATTCAATGTATACTCAGAAGACACAGTGGAAGAGAATTGTGTGCCAGACAATTACAGAGCTTTGGAGATTTTTTTCTTTTCTTTTTCTTCTTTTATAAATTTGGTACTTGTAAAAGTTACTGGATGAACAGCCCTGTATCTGAAATCTGCCCATGCATAAAACCAATTCAAGCAATTCAACTGTGCTACTCTATCAGTACCTTTCAAAGAGAATAAAAATCTTTGTTCACATCAAACATCCAGTACCCTGACTGCCAATTGTTGGAGTTATGGGTATCTGGAAAACAGAGTCTATGCTACCTTGTCATGGCCTCGGATGTTTCTTTATCCTCTTTTAGGGCAACTGACCATATCCCTACAAGTAGGTGTTTGTGAAAGCCAGAGTCCAGTCAAGAAAAAAAGGTGGAGGGGGCCAGGCATGGTGGCCCATGCGTGTAATCCCAGCACTTTGGGAGACCAAGGCAGGCAGGTCAGTTGAGGTCAGGAGTTCAAGAACAGCCTGGCCAACATGGTGAAACCCCACCTCTACTAAAAGTACATAATTAACTGGGCATGGTGGCACGCGCGTGTAATCCCAGCTACTCAGGAGGCTGAGTCAAGAGAATCGTTTGAACCCAGGAGGCGGAGGTTGCAGTGAGCCAAGATTGCACCATTGCACCCCAGCCTGGCAACAAGAGCGAAACTCCATCTCAAAAAAACAAAAAGCATATTAGGCATCATTTCAAGCCAAACCAGAAGCTGGTCCTGGAAACATGAGGGAATGGAGAACTATAAGCCTCTCAGATCTTTCAGGTCAAGTGGGATTTATACGGATTCTAGAAAACACCTCTCTTATTTACATTGTTCTTAAAAGAGACCATTCACGTGTCTCATGGCAGCCATCAGGACAGTATCACTGGTAAAGAGAGACTACTCTATCAGTGCCTCTGTGTTGAGCTCTCATCACGTGATCAGCTGTCTGAAAGACAGAAGTGTAAAATGTGGTCTTGGCCTTCAAGGAGTTTACAGTCTGGTTGGAGGAAAACCCAAGACCCGCCTCTTCTCATGCCTGCTCGCCTCTAACCTCTGGCCCTCAAGCTGAGCCATTCCCCCTTCTATGCTGTGACACACACAGCTGCCTCTGGCAGACTCACTCCCATGTCCATCCCACTGCCTCCTTGGCTAACTAGCATCCTTCAAGACTCAGCTGGAAGCCACCTGCCTAGGAAGCCTCCCCTTACCCACATGCCTGGGAAAGACACCGGCTGCAATCTGTCCCTACTCCTATCAGAGCATGTAGCCTCACTCTGAGTTTCCAAGCTGGTTTGCCACACGTAGGTTAGAGGAAGGCAAGCCTGAGAGTTTCTCAGCCTTTGGAGTGTCTGGGTGCTGGGTGGGACCTGGAGCCAGCTACAAGCAGCCCAAGGTGCCATGATAAATATTTTCATTTTCTCTGTGTTTTATTAAGTGAAAAAGGCTTGGCAGCACCACTATCATCTGCTAATGTATTTGCCTCATTCACCCAGCTCTTGAGGGCAGAGACTGTCTTAGTCATCAATATGTCCCAGGCACCTGTTCATTGACAGAATGGAGGAGGACTTTGTGGGAGAGAACAGACTTGATCTGAACCTTGAAGAACAGATGTCGGATTTGGACCTGTGCAGAGAAAAAGGAAATACACATGATAAGAGAAGGAGCACACCTGCAAGGTCACAAAGAGGGTGGTACACACTCAGTGTTCCTGGCACCTGGGCAGGATAGGCTGGCCAAGATGGACGGTGTGAACAGAGGCATCATGGGAAATGTGTCATGCCATGGAAGCTGTGCAGGAGGGTTCGCACCTCAGGCTTGGGTAAGAAGAAAGCACTGAAAATTTCCGAAGAGAGAAGCAACATTATAACAAAAATATTTCAAGATGAGTCTGAAAAAAGGACAAATTGAGCAGAGGAAGTCTGATGTCACTGACACCAACTAGGGAGTTGCTGTGTAATATTTTCACCTGAGTGAAAAAAAAATGGATCTTGTGATCATCAAAAAAAATACTTATTGATGGGCCAGGCATGGTGGCTTACACCTGTAATCCCAGCAGTTTGGGAGGCCGAGGCAGGTGAATCACCTGAGGTCAGGAGTTCAAGACCAACCTGGCCAACATGGTGAAACCCTGTCTCTACAAAAATATAAAAATTAGCTGGGCATGATGGCAGGTGCCTGTAATCCCAGCTGCTCAGGAGGCTTAGGCAGGAGAATCACTTGAACCCAAGAGGCAGAGGTTGCAGTGAGCTAAGATTGTGCCCTTTTACTCCAACCTGGGTGACAGAGAGAGACTCCACCTCAAAAAAAAAATTACTGAGCTGCAACAATATGTCCAGTCTACATACCTCTACTACAGACCCTTAGTAAATATTTGCTCATTGCCTTGGTTTTGCTTCCTATCTGAAACTGTACATTGGTATAGGATTAAATTCACAAGGCTTAAGACAGGATAAAGGAGAGCAGGGAAAGAGAGCTGTCTTCAGTACATGACCAAATGTACTAATATTAGTGTCTCAGAGGCAATTGAAAATGCCATATTGCTTCAGAAATGAACTGTAGTAAAAACTAAGGTGTCTCTTTACAGAAAAGAATCTTCTGGAATTCTGAAGCCTCCATTCAATAGACTTGTTCAAGTCGGCATCTACATAAGGGAAGCATCTGTCTGGGAAGAGAGAGACAGCATAAGAAATCAACAATGCCTTCCAAAAATAAAATATTCATTCATGGAAGCATCAATAACATATTCCAAGATAATTTCCGCAAAGTGCACTGTAACACTGTAAACATAATTTTAACAAATTCTTTTTCTTTTTCTTTTTCTTTTTTTGAGACAGGGTCTTGCTCAGTCACCCAGGCTGGAGTGTAGTGGCACAATCGGGGCTCAGTGCAACCTCAACTTCTCGGGCTCAAGCGATCTTCCTGCCCCGCCAAGGAGCTGAGACTACAGATGTTTGCCACCATACCTGGCTAATTTTTATTTTACATTTTAGTAGTGACAAGGTTTCACCATGTTGCCCAAGCTGGTCTCAAATTCCTGAGTGCAAGCAACCCATCCGCCTCAGCCTCCCAAAGTGCTGAAATTGCAGGCATGAGCTACTGTGCCCGGCCTAAAAAATTCCTTAAAAACTTTTTGCCAGCAATTTGTTTTGTGTACTTAACAAATGCTTATTCAAGGTACATGTTATGAAAATGAGTTGCCTCTGGTTCTGTATGGAATGGGTTGGAAGAGCAACATTCGTATCTTATCCTGGAGATGAGGGGGATGTCAGCAGGTCCTTCCCAGGTGAGGGAGCAAGAGAACAAGGTTAAGAGAGGTGCAGGAAACCTGAACACACAGTTGAGTTACGACCGAGAGCCCTCACTCTAGAGGAACTCAAGTCTTGAGCCAGTAGCACTCCCATTCCTTCTCCTCTGGGCCCCTAGGATGGCTCATAGCCTTGGGCCATCTTCCAGCCAGCCCGTAGGCTTTCCTCAGCGTTGACTTCCTCCACCAGTTGAACAGTTGCTGTATCACTGAGAACCTTTGTCCTGTTGGTTTTCTTCATGACTCCATATTAGCTGAAGCTTTTGCACACAAGACAAGCACATTTATTGAGCATCATTTTCCTAATATTAACTGAATTATGCACAAACAGGCAATCAGAAGTTTGATTCACACAAATGTGATGCTAGCACAAAGAGGGCTAGCTGGAACACAGGGCCCTAGCACTTGGGCCCTGCCCCACAGGGATGATTTCAGGGACTGAGACCAAAAGAACTGTTCAAATGTCTTCTTGGAAGGCCTTTTACACAGAGGCATGCAGTCTCATTCAGTGCCAAGGTAGAAACAGAAACGCAGAGGATGGAGCAGGCAGAAGCTGAGAGTAAACCAAGAGGAAGCCAAAAGGCAGAGAGGAAAGTAGAGGGAGAATGCGTGAGTCAGTGAAAGAGCAGAAGTGGCAGAGACGGAGAAGCCAACTGAGGGGCTGAGGCACCAGGGAGGCAGTTTCTGTGGGACAGTGGGAGAGTCCATTACTGGTGGGAAGGACGGATGGACTGGAATTCAGCCATGAGGCTGCAGGACCTTCCTGCTTGGATTCCTGCTCGTCTGGACTTACCATCATAAAACACTGTGGATAGGACAGAGCAGAGGGGCCAGGGAGTTGAGGAGGAGTGTCAAGTCCTCAAAACAGGACTCAATTTTTGTGAAGGACTGTGAGGACTTAACAATATCACATATGTGAATTCAAATGCAAACAATCAAACATTCTGGAATAAAAGACATACACATGCTTTTCAGATTATCCATGGTTTATGTTATGGGCTCCTTTATTCCTTCTCCTGTCACTCTGAGTTGAAGAAAGTAGTAGGTAATTATACTTGTTTTCATTTAAGAGAACTGGGCATGGATGGAAGGTGCAGAAGAAACAAATTTCCAGATCTCATTAAGGCAGCCACAGATCCAGTAAGGATAAATGTGTGACTGACTTTTCCATACAGATTCTAAAACCATCATGTAGAGGACAAAAGTGATTTGCTTCTAATAATCACGATTCTAATTTTTCTGTTCCATTTATTTTACCAAAAGCCAAAATACTACCAAATGACCAAAATCACACAGATAAATCCTCTTTAATTTCAGTATTCGCTGGTACCACCTGTGTGATACTATTTTTTAATCATTTTTCTAATTTTCTAACCTGAATCCTATCTCACTAGCCACATTTATGTTGCCATTCAGCAATAACAGAGAAGGTGATATTCAGAAGTATTAAAGAGTTGGACTCTGAAGCTTCCAGCAAGATGTGAATTTGCCATCATGGGCTTGTAATGAAAAAATATATAAAAGCTGCCCCCCAGCTAATGGGAAAATAAATTGGAATTGTATTGGGAAAGTACCCAAAAGAACTGTCCTTAAATGAGAATTGGGTTTTTATTAGAAAAATCTGATAACAGTAAAAAAACAACATTAGCTCCCCCCATCATCTAGTGGTCTTCATGTGTTACTGTTTCATCGCCCTCGTATAAAAGGACATTCCACTCGAGTATCTCTCAAATGTTTTCATAATTATGAAAGTATCTTCTGTCCAGCAACCTGAAATAATTTCTCATTTCAAATGAAAGCTTCAATCTTGCAATGAAAGTACATATGCCAATTTCTTCATCTTCCAAGCACTAAAGGAAAAGCCATCACCTTGGCCTCTGCAGAGAAGAACAAATATTTGGGGAGCTTTTTCCTCATAGATTTTAGTACTTGCCACAGTCACTATTTGATTATACATCATATTCCTTTCCTGTTAAATATTTTCTGAGTGCTTTCCTTGTGCTGGGCACCAGGCACTGTGTGGTGTCCACAGCTGAACACGGCTCTTCATTGTGTCTGGGGTGAACGGTAAGGGCAGGTAGATACGCAAGAAATGAAGTTTATATGCAGATTTTTCTAATAAAAACAGAAAGGCAGCCGGGCACGGTGGCTCACGCCTGTAATCCCAGCACTTTGGGAGGCCAAGGCGGGCGGATCACGAGGACAGGAGATCAAGACCATCCTGGCTAACACGGTGAAACCCCGTCTCTACTAAAAATACAAAAAAATTAGCCGGGCGTGGTCAGGTGCCTGTAGTCCCAGCTACTCGGGAGGCTGAGGCAGGAGAATGGCGTGAACCCGGGAGGCGGAGCTTGCAGTGAGCCGAGATCGCGCCACTGCACTCCAGCCTGGGCGACAGAGTGAGACTCCGTCTCAAAAAAAAAAAAAAAAAAAGAAAAGAAAAGAAAAGAAAAGAAATGGCAGAAAGGCTGGGATTGGTCTCAGTTTGTCTTGTTTTTTTTGATGGAGGAGGTGGGAAGCACAAGCGCAAGCATAGAAAGTGTGGACTGCCTTTAATGGATGCAGTGCTGCCAGAGGGCATTTGTGAGCGTGACTTGGTCAGAGCTGGGTCAGGAGATCTTCCTGGTGACAGCACGAACAGTGGGCAGGGGAGGAAGGGTGGGTCCTCCAAGCAAGAGCGAATCAGCCCTGACTTGGGGCTGCTGAGAGGATGGTGAGAGGAGGAGGGCACCGGAGGCACTGAGGTTGGGAGCACAGGTGGGGCTGATGGTAGATTCCAAGGCAAAGCAGGGACTGAGGCGAAGGTGCTTGGGAGGAAGGCTGCTTCAGTGCTGGCTCTGCCGAATCTGTGTTGGTGGGAGACATGTGGATGCTGCCCTTTGGCAGGAGTGGGCAATGAGCACCAGAACTTGAGAGAATCAGAGGACACCAGCAAGATGGAGAGAGAGGATGGCTGAGTAGAAGCCATGGAGTTTACCAACTCGGCCACTGGTCACTTTCCTGAGAGTCATTTCAGTGGAACAGTATTGGCTGAAGGCCACATGGCCATTTGTGAAGGTTGAATGTGTGGGGATGGGCTTGGGCTATGCATTTGCAGGGAGGACTAAGGCTTTCTGGTTTTGTTTTTAAGAAACATGGGGGCTGGGCACAGTGGCTCGTGCCTGTAAGCCCAGCACTTTGGGAACCTGAGGCAGGAGGATCACTTGAGCCCAGGAGTTCCAGACCAGTTTGGGCCATATAGGGAGACCCCCAACTTTATAAATATATATATATATATTAGCTGGACATGGTGGCACATGCCTGTGGTTCCAGCTACTTGGGAGGCTGAGGTGGAGGATTGCGTGAGCCCACGAGGTAGAGGCTGCAGTGAGCTGTGATTGTGCCACTGCATTCCAACTCCAGCCTGGATGACAGAGCAAGACTTTGCCTAAAAAAAAAAAAAAAAAGAAAAGAAAAGAAAAGAAAAAGGGGTCTGATGGATAAATCAAAAATCATGGTCTTTCCCATAACTGGCTGCATCCCACTGAGCATCCCTTTGTCTTGGCCAGCTTAGTATTCCTAACTACTCTCGACACCTCTGCTATTTTTCTATAATTATAGATAAGACTGAAATAATAGTAAAAGCAGCTAGTATTCCCAAAGCATGTATACTCTACCAGGCATCACACTAAGAATATTAATACATATTAATTAATTTAATCTTCCCTACAGCCCTGAGAAGTTGGGACTCTCATTTTGCCTGTTTTACAGGTGAGGAAAATGAGGCAAGAGAAATTAAATAACTTACCTAAGTTCACACAACTAGGAAGTAGCTGAGCTGGGAGTCAGCCCAGGAAATGTGCTGAAGTCTGTGCTCTTAATTAAGATCTTGGCCACCCTCCAACCACTGCAAAGGTAGAAAGGAAGGCAGGGCATGGTGGCTGACATCTGTAATCCCAGCCCTTTGGGAGGCCTAGGGAGGCAGATTGCTTGAGCCCAGGGGTTCAAGATCAGCCTGGGCAACATAGTGAGACCCCGCCCCTCCAAAAAAATTAAAAAATTAGCCAGGCATGGTGGCATGAGCCTGTGGTCTCAGCTACTTGGGAGATTGAGGTGGGAGGATTGCTTGAGCCTAGGAGGTCGAAGCTGCAATAAGCCATGATCATGCCACGGCACTCCATCCTGGGCAACAGAGCAAGACCCTGTCTCAAAAAAAGTATAAAAGGAGTTCTAGGAGTTTTACAGAAACTAAACAAAATTGTAGAAAGCTTTCGATATTAATTTTTTAATATGCCAGCTCCTTTTGGAGAGTGCCATGGACTAAATTCAACATCAGAGCTGAAAAATCTACCAGCACCATAAGCCTACGATTGAGGACTCAGACACAGGAAGGACCTTAAAGCATCTACAGTTAAGTGCCTTCTTTCACATAAAAAGAAACCACCATCCAGGCCAGCAGAGTGGCCTGGTCAAGGTTACGTCATGGCTGAGAGCCAGCAGAGACTGGAACTCAGTGTCCCAAGTTTTTCCACTGCACCCAAAGGGGCTGGAGGTAGAGGAGACAGGAAGAAGGGTGCGGTGAGGGAGGAAGGAAGCAGCTGAGGTGAGGCTGTGCCTAGAGCCCAGTACAGGGTGCAGGCTGCGTGGCACGGGCCTGCCCACAGGCTGCAGCCCATCTCAGGCCTCTTCTGAGAGGTGGCTCGGAATTTGCATGTTACCTTTCAGCCATTTCACATGACTCATTTCCTTTTTCTCTCCTCCTGTGTCTTACACTACCTATGCCCAGGACAAAGTGTTGATGAGGCCTGACCCATTAGTGCTTAATTAATGTTTTAAAATTAACTAATGTATCTGTACATGAGCTAATGATCAAAGGAGAAATGGAGAGGAAAAATAATTCCCCAGATCTTGCCTAGATCTGCCAGGGAAGCGGGAAAATAGCTTCAGTAGAATCTTCTTGAATCTTGCAAAAGAAAAAGACACTGTCTGTAGCAGTAACTTGAACTGTGCAATGTTCGTACTGATCTTTTTAAGATTTGTCCACTTCAACATTGAAGCTCCCAGCATATAAGTTGCAGTTGGTAACTTTCACCTTTTAATGGCATTTCATCTTGTTGTCAACAGGGACGCAGTAATGTGAAAACACTGAACGTGTGTCTCTTGCAAAAACAACTTTCCATACACACAAAAACTTACTGTGCAAACATGGCTTCTCCCTAAATGGCCCTACACATAGGCCAAGAAACAAAAAGCACATTTTGCAAAATAACCACCTCTCCCAAAACTGTTACCGCTTTTTGGGTGGTGCTAAAACTTGTAAGCAGGAGAAGGAGAAGTTTTTACTATCCAAGGATCATCTTTTGCATTTGCCTTAAGTTAAATGACTTAAAGAGAATACAAACACATTTACTTTCAAAAATATACCTAGTTTTTGGCTTGAATTTTAGAGTATGCTGAATAGGCAGTTATTTACATGGATTTGATTAGGAACACTAGGGCAACCCCAGAAAAAAAGTTAGTTTTCTTGGGGATTCACTGATGTCTGAACCTTAGCATTTCGTTAGTGGCTTTGTTACTTCAGTGGAAGGATTTTCCATTTGTTCAAGAGTGAAGGCTCCTGGAAAGGAAGTTGCATTTCACCAGGGTTGATAAAGGCCTGTGGGTGCAGACAGGTCATCAAGACAAGTGAGGAGAGCCAGGGTAAGGACATTGCCAGCTTGAGCACAATGGCAAATGACAACTGAGTTTAGCCCCCAGGTCCGGCAGGCAGTAGGGAGTTGTGGAGGTGGGTCACGGATGAGCAGCTGCCACACAGCTCCGGCCAATTTCTCACCTCCTGGGATGGAAGCCCAGAGTAGTCGCATCTGCTTCTTTCAGAAGCAATTGAAGTTCTGAGCCTAATGTTGATTTTCCCAGTTTTAAAGTAGCTGGGGGACTATACAGAACATATTTTCTGGCCATATCTAGCGTGTGGGCCTCAGCTTCCAGTCTCTGTGAAACCCTCTCAGTTATTGTTGTCTTTAATGTAACCAATGGGTAGGATCATTTTTCCCCCTTGGCACAGGGTCTTTCTCCATCACCCAAGCTGGGGTGCAGTGGCAAAATCATGGCTCACTGCAGCCTTGACCTCCTGGGCTCAAGTGAGCCTCCCATCTCAGCCTCCCAAGTAGCTGGGACCACAGGCAACCAGGCCCAGCTAATTTTTTATTATGTTTTATAGAGTCGGGGTCTCGCTGTGTTGCCCAGGCTGGTCTCAAACTCCTGGGCTCAAGTGATCTGCCCACCTCAGCCTTCCAAAGTGCTGGGATTACAGGCATGAGCCACTGCACCTGTCCAGGTAGGATCTTTAGATCTAGTCTGAATCCTAGACTTTCCATTCAATATCTGTGTTACATATAAATGAATATATGGTATATACAGTTATGTGTCATTTAATGACAGGGACACATTCTGAGAAATGCATCATTAGGTGATTTCATCATTGTGTGAACATCATAGAGTGTGCTTACACAAACCTAGATGGTAGAGCCTACTATACACCCAGGCTCTATGGTATGGCCCATTGCTCCTGGGCTACAAACCTGGATGGCAAGTTACTATACTGAATACTGTAAGCAGTTGTAGCATAATGTTAAGTATTTGTGTATCTAAACATATCTAAATGTAGAAAAAGTACAGGAAAATTACAGTATAAAGGATATAAAATGGTATATCTGTATAGGGCACTTAACAAAAATGTACGCTTGTATAGGGAAGGCCTGGAAGCTGCTCTGGGTGAGTCAGTGAGTGAGTGGTGAGTGAATGTGAAGGCCTAGGACATTATTGTACACTACTATAGACTTTAAAAACACTATACACTGGCCGGGCATGGTGGCTCACGCCTGTAATCCCAGCACTTTGGGAGGCTAAGGCAGGAGGAATACCTGAGGTCAGGAGTCCGAGACTAGCCTCGGCAACATGGTGAAACCCCGTATCTACCAAAAATACAAAAAATTAGCTCAGCATGGTGGCACATGCCTGTAGTTCCAGCTACTCAGGAGGCTGAGGCAGGAGAATCTCTTGAGCCTGGAAGAAGGAGGTTGCAGTGAGCCGAGATTGTGCCACTGCACTCCAGCCTGGGCAACAGAGCGAGACTCCATCTCAAAAACAACAACAACAACAAAAAAAAACTATACACTTAGGTTACACCAAATTTATAAAAACAAAACATAATTGCTCTATGACATTATGATGGTTATGATGTCATTAGGCAATAGGAATTTTTCAGTTCCATTATAATCTTTTGGGACCACCATTGTATATGTGGTCCATCCTTGGCTGAAATGTCATTGTGAGGTACACGACTGTACTTTATGAATATATGTGTTGCATATTAATATGTTATACATTATATGCTGTATCCATCAGCTATTCATATTATGGAATTGTAGAAGCCCAGTTTTGCATCTGTAAGATATTTTTATTTCATTTTATGTTTTTGTTTATCCCAACCACAAACTGAATGCATCTGTAAAATAAATATGACCTCAGCCACCTTGCAGAGCTATTGTGTTTGTGAAACGAATTCTTTTCCATTTGGATTGAATGCTCTAGGGGAGCTTCCTGAAACCTGGGTCCCTTTAGTTTTGATATTTCATGAAAAAGCTTGTTTTTAAAGCCAGAGTAAGGCAGATGGGAATGGGATTGGGAATTGATGAACATGGAGAAATTTTGGAGCAGCTACAGAAGGGAATGCTGGAGATTGGGCCTGTTTCCTTATCTTCAGCTCTTGTCTCTGGTTTTCATGACTGCGCTTTTGTGCATCTTGATGTAACGCCCCTCCTTTCCAGAAGTATTCACTCTTTAAGATGGAACAGATGATGAATGGGAAACAGTGCTGGTGGCAGGGAGGGGCCAGGGCAGGAAGTGGCCCTGGTCAGCTCGGGTAGGTGGCACCCCCCAATGTGCTTTGCAGCCTCGGGCGAGTGCAGTTGTCCTGCCTCCTGTGGTGTCTGCCTTAGCCCAGACCTGTTCAGACTCCGTAGAGATCGCATCATGCTCGGTTTAACAAAAGCAGTTTGCAATGTGTAAAACACAATTATAACTTTGTAAAAAGAAAAATAGATGTCTGTAGGAATGAAAAACCTTCTGTGTGGAGTACCCCAAAACGTGGGTGGGAGGGAGCACAGTTTTTCCCAGAACGTATGAGCTCCCCAGGCTGATGTTCTTCTCAGTTTGGATTTCCCACCCCACTCAGCAGCCTTGAGCTCTGCTGGGTCCCTTGTGAAATCCTTTATGCTCGTGCTATGCTATGCTAAGCCAGCCGGTTTTTGGTATTTTAGAAGGAGACAGGAGAAATGAGACTTTGCTGGGCTGTGCCCCACCTAGTTTTGTTTTTTGTTGTTGAGTTTTGTTTTTCGTCTGTCAACCAGGATGGAGTGCAGTGGTGCCGTCACAGCTCACTGCAGCCTCAAACTCCTGGGCTCAAGCCATCCTCCTGCCTCAGATCTCGGGAAGGTGGGACTACAGGCAGGCACCACCACACTTGGCTAATTGTTTTTTATTTTTTGTAGAGATGGGGGGGTGGGTCTCCCTATGTTGCTCATGCTGGTCTCAAACTCCTGGGCTCAAGCAATCCTCCCACCTCAGCCTCCCAAAGCACTGAGATTACAGATGTGAGCCACCCGCCCACTCCTGGTTTTGAGGCTGCTGCCTCTTCCTTGTTTCCTCGGCAATCTATGCCTCCCTCTGGCCCTGCCATGTAGATGGAGCTGGAGGTCAGGTCCTAAGCCCGAGGCCCCTGTGCCCTCTTTCTCCATGAGTGTACTCATGCTGTCTACCCTGGCATGCCTCCACTCCCACCCCTGCCCTCATGCTACCATCCCGAATCACCGTCGCTTGCTGCAACTTTATTTGATTGTCCCACACTGTTGAGTGTGTAACATAGAACTAGCCCAGAGTGGGCTGTCTCTCAGTAAAAGAGAAGTGTCTTTCCCTTTTGAAACCAAACTCATCATCTTTCTCCAAAATACATCTTCTCCCCCCAACTTCCCCATTCCTTGTACAGCATCCTTTTGCTCACACATGACTGTGGCTCAAATCTCAGACTCAGCCTTTGCTCCCTGCCTCTCTCTCCCCCTACCCCTGTGCACTTCTGACTCAGCTGCCAACTCCCATCTGGCTGCCTGTTGTCAGCAGCCTTGAGTACATGCATCTTGTCTCATTTCTCCTGTCTCCTCATTAGCACTAAGCCTCATGACCTCAGCTGTCTGGTAAGTGTTGTGGAAGCCCTTGCAATCTAGCTTAGACATAAAAAGGGAGTACATCTGGGCACCGTGAGGGACAGAAACCAGGAACTGGAACCAAAAACCGGAGACTTTATTGGAGGGAAGGATTGGGAGGTGGGAGAAGGGGGGACACTTGATCTTCTGTAAAGGAAGAGTCCCAAACCCCTCAGCCTGGCACTCAAAGCCTGCCCTGGCCGTGTGGTTTCCTACCTTACCAACAGCACCTCTTGAACGTTTCTCCTCAAAAACACCATGAACATTCATGCTTCTTTTTCCTCATATCATTCAAAAAATATGATTTTAAATTATAAGGGGCCTTATGAAATAAAAATGTCTAAGAAAAGAAATATATCTCATTAAGATGAAGGCCTCATTTTCAGTAAGATGTAAGTAAAATAAAACTTACATCCTGACTTTTTAGAAAATGCTCTGTTATGTAACCTATAACTAGGTGGTATGGCATAGAAGTTTCTTCCACTATATATTGATGGAGTTTCAAAGATATGAAGGTGCTGTGGTCTGGATGTACCACCAAATTCTGGTGTTGAAATCCTAACCCTCAAAGAGGTGGGGCCTTTGGGAGGTGATTAGATCATGAGGGTGGATCCCTTAACTCTTCCATTATATGAGGACAAACCAAAAAACTGAACCAAGTCTGAACTAGGAAGCTGGCCCTCACCAAGCACCGCACCTGCCAGCACCTTGGACTTCCCAGCCTCCAGAACGGTGAGAAATAAACGTTGGTTATAAGCCATCCAGTCTTTGGTATTTTACTATAGCAGTTTTGGCATTTCCATTATGGCAGTCTTTGGTATTGATACAGAAGGACTGGGCTCCCGACTAAACCCCACCCTTGAGCCTGGAACTGTGGCCCTAAGTGAAAACAGCTGACCCTGTTTTTCCACCCAAATGACGCCTTTTTGGCCTTCCATGCCCCATCCTGTGCCCATAAAAAGACTTCAGCTGGCAGAGCAACACAAGCGGCTGAGTGCTCGGGATACAAGCTGCTAAGCATCAGGGATTCAAGTGATTTAATGGCAAGCAGAGAAGCAACTGAGCATCAGAGACTATGGAAAGATATGGCTAACTTCAGCCGGTGCAGCTTTGGAGAGGGGTCTGGCTGGAAACAGCCAGGCTTCAGGGAAACATCACCTTCTTTGGGCACCATCCTCTTTCCAACTCCCTATCCCGCTGAGAGCCACTTCCATTGCCCAATAAAATCCTCCACATACACTGCCTTTCAAGCCATTTGTGAGACCTGATTCTTCCTGGATGCCGGACAAGAACCTGGGTGCAGAGAGGGCAAGGGCTGCCATCCTCCACTGAGCTGGTTGGCACTTGGCTGTCCCAGGATGGCAGAGCTCAAAGAGCATTGGTTGGACACCGATGCAGGGCCTGCACAGAGCCTGCTCCCACCAGAGAGGAGTGATTGGCCAGTTCCAGCGTTGGTTCACTCTGGGGCCCGCACCTGCTCACTCGCATGCTCCCTCTTGCACGGGGATTGAGCACGGGGAGGCTGAGTAAATGAGCCACACCCCTATTGCAAGTCCTGAGATGGGGGTCAAGGGAATTATCCCATCTCAGCAGTTTATTATAGCCATCTTTGGTATTTTATTATAGTCGAGTGGATTAACAGAGAAAGGAGCTCTCCAATGGGTATCTGTTGTTTTTTGTTTAATAAGCATTTTAGTGGCAGAAATAGATAGTTGTGTTGGGGCTCAGAAATCAACATCCCCAAAGATGGTGTTTTGACCTGTTAAACTGGGATCTCTCTGACTCCCCCACCCCCACTGTCTCTCCCATGGAATCTGGAGTTCCTTTATCCACCTAAGACCCAAACCCACCAAGGAGAAGAATTATTCTTGTTCCCTCCCTGTTGTCATTGTTTATTGCAGGAAAGAAGACCAAGATGTAAGCACACCTGAGCAGATCCTTTTCCAAGTATCCTGATGTCTCCAAGGGCTGTTCAGATTCCAAAGAGAACTATCTACAAGTTAATCTCTGTTACTGGAGTCATTCATTCTCCGTAGTAATCTGCTCCACAGAATTCCTCTTCTCTTCCCTCCCATAACCTGTTTTACCAGGATCCAAGCCTCCATTCTTTCTGTAACCTCATTGGGAAGTTGGTTCTTCATTTGGAAGGCTCCCATGTGTACATGTTAAATAAATATCTATGCCTTTTCTTCTGTTAATCAGTCTGCTTCAGTCAGTGATTTTTAGTGAAACTTTAGGGGGCCAAGGGCCTTGGTCCTCATATTTGCTTGTCCAATATCAATTCTTCACTCTTCTTTACTAATAGAATCCTGATTTGGGTGGGGGCAGGGGGGCACGACAATGTACCCAACTAAATAAATACCTTTCCCAGTCTCTCTTGAAGATATGGGTGAAAATATGATAAAGTTCCTGTCATTGATAGTTAAGCAGAAGTTGTGAGGTGAGGCTTTTATCTTGGCCCTTCCTCCTTCCTGTTGTGTGGACAATGGACCTGATGTCTGGGGCTTTGGCAGTGATTTTATGACTATGAGGACAAAGACCTCACCCTCCAGGGACAGTGGAGTTGAGAACCAGGAGGAGCCTGGGTTGCCAATGCTTTGAGAAGCTGCCACATCAGCCCTGAACTGCCTAACTCCAGATTTCTTGTTATGTAAAGTCCCTAATCAGTGGTTCCCAGTTTTCTCACCAGAGAAGCTCTAAAAATTATTGCTGCCTGGATCTCACCTCAAAAGGTTCTTATGTAATTGATATGGGGTGTGGCCTAGACATTTGGTTTTTAATATCTTCCAGATGATTCTAGTATAAGTCCCTTTCGGCTAAGAACGGTTTGGCACCATGGGGTGTTAGCTGCTATGTTCTTTGTATTAATCTGCCTTGTCCTCTTCACTGCATGAATCAATTTCTTGGTTGCCGTCTCTGTTTCACTGTCATTTTCAGGAGACTTCATTTAACTGGTCCTAGGGATTTTAAGTTACGCTTCCCCCGTGTGCCTCCTGATTTCCATCCAGTTACTTGTGAAACATTGGGGAAAAAAAGCACTGAAGGTTCTGTCTCTAAACTTGCTGATTGAGATTTGGTATTTAACCAAATCTAGCTTAAGCTAAGCGCAATAAGATTAGATAGATGTGATTGTGTTTTGTTGCTGCTATGCCCACTAGGTATGATTGAGAAGCACTAGGATGGAAATCAGGGGACTTTTCTCCTTGCTGTTTTGTTTCATTGTGCACACTAAACAAACAAACACTTATTTCCTCTCTTGGATTCGGGCAAACTGTCTTTTCCTGTCTAATCCACGTGCCACTATTGCCCAGAACCTGTGTGCTCTGGTCATTCCCATCTTTATTAGTCTGTTCTCATATTGCCAATAAAGACATACCCAAGACTGGGTAATTTATAAAGGGAAGAGATTTAATTGACTCACGTTCCACATGGCTGAGGAGGTATCACAATCATGGCAGAAGACGAAGGAAGAGCAAAGTCACGTCTTACATGGCTGCAGACAAAGAGAGTGTGTGCAGGGGAACTCCTTTTTATAAAACCATCAGATCTCATGAGACTTACTCACTATCACAAGAACAGCATAGGAAAGACCCACTCCATGATTCAGTTACCTCCACCAGGTCCCTCCCATGACATGTGGGAATTATGGGAGCTATAATTCAAGATGAGATTTGGGTGGGGACACAGCCAAACTATATCACCATCTACATCCTCTGCATTTCCTTTGCCTTATTTGACATTTCTTTTGTTGGAGTCCATGTTGTGTATTATCTAAGATTCATGGCTCATCTCATTTTATTGTTCAGATAGTCTGAATAAGAGAATCCAATTTTTGGCAAAGATCCCCTCATTAATGTAGCTGGCCTTGAAAACTTATTTTATCCTTTTTAGTGAATGTGGCCAGTGACAATATAATCTCACAAGTTTTGCAATATCACCTGCCTCCTTCATGGGAATCATGGCGTCAATCCCAAAAGACTCACCAGCAAGATGTATTCTTGAACATTGGGACCAGTTTAAACTAAATGGCCTTAAGAAGAGAAAACTGGTCTTTCTGTGTAATATGTTTGGCCTTGGTATTATTTAGAAAAACAAGAGAAATGGCCTCCTACTGGAACTGTGGCCTTTAATACTATACTTCAGCTCAATTTGTTTTGTAAGCAGGAAGGAAAATGGGATGAAATACCATATGTTCAAGTGTTTTACTGCTCAGTCAGAATAAAACCCTGCAGCAGACATGTGCATGTTTGATGGGAGAAAAGGAAGAAAAAGAACCAGACATACTAGGTGATCCCTTGGTACAGCCCCCACAGTTCAGTGGACATTTTTGGGTGGAGCAGAACCTCCTTCTGTCAGCTCTGAAGGTTCAGATGTGTCAGCCCTTTCTCCCTGTAGTCCACCTGAAAGTTCTATTGAGAACCCTTCATCCACTCCTCCTTACCTGTCTAGTCCCACTCTATACTCACCACTCCCTGAGGAACTTAGCCCTGAAAGTACTACTTAGAGTGGAGCCTCTTATCAACCTCCAAAGGGAAATCTTTGGCCATTTACACAGGTTGCAAATGGGGAAGAAGTCACTGCAAGAATACATGTTCCCTTTTCTATGTCTGATTTGGCTCTATGTGAAGAGAAGTTTGGTCATTTCTTTAAAGATCCAGGAAAATTCATAGATGAGTTTGAGAAATTAACTCCTACCCATAGTTTAACATTGCAGGATCTGCATGTTTTGTTTTCTCTGTGCTGTACAGTGGAAGAGAAACAACACATTTTGGGGACAACTAGGACCCATACAGATGAGGTATTGGCTCATAACCCTAACCATAATATGTATTAGGTAGGAGGTGTAACAGTTCCAGATCAAGATCCAGAATAGAACAATCAAAGGGGCAGTGAGGACTTGGAGAGGAGAGATTATATAGTCACTTGTTTGTTGGAAGGGATGAAGAAATTTGTGAAAAAGCCTGTTAACTATTGAAGAGGTTAAAGAAATTTCTCAGGGTAAAGATGAGAATCCAGCTTTGTTTCAAGGGCATTTATTTGAGGCGATTAGGAAATATACTAACACTGATCCTGCCTCAAGGGAAGGACAGACCATTTTGGGAGTACATTTCATAATCCAGTCTACCCATGATATCTGTAGAAAACTACAAAAATCAACTCTGGGTCCCCAGACTCCTATGGAACAACTTTTGGATGTGGCATTTTTAGTTTTTAATAACAGGGAAAAACAGAGGAAACAGAAAGAACAAGAAGCACCTCCCGCAAGGTGCAGCTCTTCACTGCAGCCTTAAACTCTCCTCCCACATGGGGTTGCCCTCCTGACTCTTGGTCTGAACAAGGAAAGCAGAAAGATGAAAAGCCCAAAGCTGGGTATCCGCATCTCCGTGCCTTGGACATAAATCGGTGTACACACTATAAGAAAACTGGCCATTGGAAGGGGGACTGCCCAGCGCTCCAAAGGGGGCCATCAGCACCCAAATTAATGATGGCCGAAATAGCCAGGCAAGCCCAAGAGTGACGGGGCCTGGGACCTTCTGCCACAACTCCCATTGGACAACTAGCCATATCTCCGAAGGAGCCCTGGGTAACCCTCGACGTGGCAGGTAAGACTGTTAACTTGCTTTTGGACATGGGGGCTGCTTGCTCTGTTTTGACCCATTATAATGGGATTCTGTCACCCCAAAACTGTATGGTCACGGGGATAGATGGACAAGCCCATAAATGCCATTTTACCTATCCCTTAACAACTTTGGTTTTCTCACATGCCTTTCTTATCATACCTGAATGCTTCACCCCCTTGTTGGGAAGGGATTGTTAACTGAATTGCAAACAGTGGTATCTTTTGGAAATCAAAAGACAGACTAGGGGTTGTTCCTTCTCCTTTCCTTTGTTAAGGGAGGAGAGTCAAAGGGGCTTACCTACTTTACCTGTTGAAGTAACCTCCCAAGTAAATCCTATAGTATGGGTCACTAAAGTTACAGGCAAAATGCTAAACCTTCCCCCAGTTTGCATCCAACTTAAGCCTGGTGTCCCACACCCATGGAAGAGACAATACCCCTTAAAGCCAGAGACATAAAGAGGGATCCAACCACTAATTGCTAAGTTTTTGCAGTTTGGGTTGTTAAGGCCCTGTGAATCTCCTTGTCATACACCAATCTTGCCAGTTAAAAAGCCAAATGGAGACTACAGATTTGTTCAAGATCTTTGAGCTGTCAATGAGACTATCATTCCTATACATACTACAGTGCCCAATCCCTACACGCTGTTAGCCCAGGGACCTTTTTTTTTGCATTCCAGTACACCCTGATTCACAATTCATCTTTACTTTTGAAAAGACTGATACTGATAGCCATTTAGTTTCTTAATTAACTTGGACAGTTCTTCCCCAGGGGTCTAGGGACAACCCTAATCTGTTTAAAAATGCACTACCTAGAGAATTTAAAATGGTACAATTAAGTAAAAACACTATTACCCAATAGGTGAGTGACTTGTTGGTTACTAGCTCAACTAAAAGAAACTTGGACAAAAATACCATTCAGTTACTAAACTTTCTGGGAACTAGTAAGTACAGGGTCTCACCACACAAAGCCCAGATTTCAACTCAAGAGATTAAATACTCAGAATAAGTTCCAACCCCTGACAATAACACCAGAATGAAGGGAAACTATCTTGGACATTCCAAAACCCCAAACTAGAAAACACCTGTGGACTTTCCTAGGGATGGCAGGATTCTGCTCTTTATGGGTAGTTGGATTTGGGCATATAGGCAAGCCTTTTGATGAGACTCTGAAAGGAGCAGATGTAGGTCCTTTTGAATGGGATAGTAATTGTGAACAGGTTTTTAAAACTCTCAAGGAGAAATTGGGATCAACCCCAGCCCTAGGGATCCCTAATTTTGATAAGCCGCTTTTCCTTTATATGACTGAAAAACAAAGCACTGCCCTAGGTGTCTTTGTCCAGAAATTGGGAGCTATTCCCTGACCAGTGACATATTTTTCTAAACGACTAGACCATGTCACTTCAAGATGGCCTGGATACCTCAGGGCAGTTGCAGCAACTGCCTTAGTAGATGAAACAATAAACTGGCTTTAAGACAACATCTGGAGGTTTTAACCCCACACCAAGTACAAGGAGTCCTAGAAACTAAAAGACACCAGTGGATGACAGGGGGACTCATTAAAATATCAGGCTTTATTGCTAGACACTCCTGATGTAACTCTTAAAGTATGGCATACTTTAAATCTAGCTACTCACTTGCCTGAACCTACAGGCACCCTAGATCATTCTCGTATACAAGTTATGGAGCAAATTTACTCCATGGAAAATCTCGGCTCACTGCAACCTCTGCCTCTCAGGTTCAAGCAAGTCTCCTGCTTCAGCCTCCCGAGTAGCTGGGATTACAGGCATGTGCCACCATGCCCAGCTAATTTTGTATTTTTAATAGAGACTGGGTTTCACCATGTTGGTTAGGCTGGTCTTGAACTCCTGACCTCAGGTGATCCACCCACCTCGGCCTCCCAAAATGCTGGGATTACAGGTGCGAGCCACCACACCCGGCCCATCACATTCTTTAAAAAAGCAGAGAAATGAGTGACACATTCTTGAAAACTTTCCATTACGAATGGATGAAACCTAAGATTAGTTATTTAAGGTTTCTCAGATGGGAAACCTAGCTTCCTAGGGTGGCTTATTCTTGGAGACTCCAGACAGTGAATGTTTTACTAGGCTGTGTGTTCACTCCATTTGTTATTTTCTTAATTTGTTCATTTTTAAAGGCAAGTGATGCTATCAAACTTCATTCTATATGTCTATACTACTGATTTCTGTTGACTTACCCCTCACTTCCCCCTATCTTCAATGGCTAGTTACTGTTTTAACCCCATACTGGGTTGTCTCTTTTATTCATTTACTCTTGCACCCTCCTCTATCATCACTGATGAAAATTTAAGCTATATTGGCCCAAGATCAGCCTTTGAAAACATTCTTTGTGTGTTCTCTCATGCCAACATCAGGACCGTATTTTTCTGGTTGTTGAGTGATTTATGTGAGATGAGTTTAAACCTCTTGCTGAAGTTAAGATGTATCATGTAAATGACAACCTTTGATTTATCAAACTTAGTAATTAAAGTTTCCTAATGCAACAGGATGTGCTCTTCCCATAGCCATACTGAAGAGTACTTCATGTTTATTCTTTGGAAGGGTTAAGCAGTGAGACAGCCACGGGTGCTCGGATCAGACATTTTCGTTTGTGAGGGTTGGAGAATGATTTTCTCCTGTTTCTTATCATTAGCTACCTTGCGAACTCTCCTAAAGCTACTGAAATAATGGCAATGGTTTAGACGCCCTGCATCTCCAGGGCTTGTGGTTTGTGCACATCTCTCGTCTAAATAAATATAAATATTTTCTCTGTTTCTATTTTATCTTCCCCAAATTCCTGGTTCTGGTGTTGCAACTTCATAAAACCCAGAGCCCACATGGCAGTACCAGCTGCTAGCCCAGGTCAAACTTGGGGAGGGCAGCTGCTTTCCAGGTGCACCCTGTGTGATCCTGACTTCCTCCTGACAGTGCCAGGAACGCCCGTGAACTGCTTTCGTGGTTGCATGTGAAAACTTTTGCATTTCTAGAAATCTCTTCTCCAGCAGGCTGGGCTATTGGCTGCTGTGGGATTGCTAGCTGGTCTAGACCCAGCCCCTCCTTCAGGCTTTTCCCACCCGCTGCTCCTCTCCTGGCCTTGGGCCTCATGCCCGAGTCTCCAGCCGCCACCTTGCTGTTGCTTTACTGTTTCTCCGTGATGCTGTTTCTAGCTAGTTATAATTGGCAGGCAACCAGAAGCCTCATCTGCCAAGGGCGGAAGTCATGTCTGGAACAGGTTTCCCTCTTAAGACTGTGGGCTAACCCAGCATCTTGCCACTTTGTGTGGGACTTCCTCATTCTTAGTACATAACTGTGTTTGACCCTCAGGGATGACTAGTGTTTCCTGGCCTCGGTACAGTTGACTTCTCCAGAAACTATCTGGCTCACTCTCAATTTCCTGGAGCCGTATATCCTAATTACAAAAATGGGAAAATCATACCTAGAGTCCCATAGAAAGAGAAATAGAACCCCCATATGTGCCTACAATTCATCCATTCTCAATTCATTATTTTAAAAATGTAGCTGATGGTTTGGTTCTGAGACCAGACGGTACAAAAATTACCATTCACTCATAGTAGGGCCATCAACTACCATAATCTTTTGGAAAAGTAATTTAGCAATATAAGTCAGGACCACTTAAAAAACCCTTAGAGTTGCTCATTCCACTCTTAGGAACTTATCCTAAAGACGTCAACAGATGTGGACCAAAATTTGTGTGCAAGAATATTATGTAGAATTTCTGTATTGAGAAAATTTGGAGACAGCCTAGCTGTCCAAAAATAGGACTAAATAAAACATGGTACAGCAATATAGTGAAATATTATTATATAACCATTAAGTTATGTTCTTCAACAGTATTTTTAAAATAAGGAAAATTCCAACGTTTTTGAGGAGTCTTTTTAAAAACGAGAGTACAGACCAGGCACAGTGGTACACACTTACAATCCCAGCACTCTGGGAGGCCAAGGCAAGTGGATCACTTGAGGCCAGGAGCTGGAGACCAGCCTGGGCAACACAGTGAGACCCTGTCTCTACAAAAAATACAAAAAATTAACCAGGTGTGTTGGTGCACACCTGTGGTCCCAGCTACTTGGGAGGCTGAGGTGGGAGGATTGCTTGAGCCCAGGAGTTTGAGGCTGTAGTGAGCTGTGATGCCACCACTGCACTCCAGCCTGGGTGACAGAGTGAGATCCTGTCTCAAAATAAAATAGAATGTAAAAAGAGCACATGCATGAAAAGTGGAACACAACACTTTAGGTAATAATATTATCCCAATCACATAGGTGTGCTTAGTGCAAACAAAAACATTCATAGTATTTATCTCTGGTGGTAGAATTACTGGCGATTTAAAAAAAAATACATTTTTTTCTGAATATTCCAAGTGTTCTACAATGAATGTGTTACTTTCCTAATCAGAAAAACAACTGTTATTTGTTAAAAGAAATTAGACCACAAAAAAAGCAAAAACACAAAGGCCTTGCCTATTTTTTTTCCCCCTGTTTTACCACATCCTTTCTCACTGATGTAGAAAAAAAAGGAACTAATATTTATGGTGCCAAGAATGTAAATCCGTCCTGTAACTTGGAAGGTACATGTGTATCTTTCCCATTTTAAAGGTAATAAAGTCACCAAAGAAAAGGGTGGCAAAAATAAAATGTGAATGCAGGCCCATTGGCCCCAAAGGCATCTTCTTCTCACGTCTACACTGTCCCACTCGTGATAGTTTTAAGTTGCATGTTATTCTGTACCTGGCCTTTTTAATTTTATCAAAATAAACTTCCCTTTGGTAACAAAGATATTCTACTTTCTGTAAAATTTTCATTCCAGCTAACTTTTGTTAGCTAAGATTTTGTCTAAGGAGTACCAATGCTTTGAATAATCATACTAAAAATATAGCCTAATTGGTCTGAATGAAATTGAACAACTGCAATTGTTCAAACAAGCTGGATGCAGCATTTTTGCACGTGCCTAGTCATTTTGCTACAGTAGTCATTGCAAACGAGTGCCTGAGACACAAATCTCAGAGAAGTCATGGTTTTGAGGGATCAACTTGGAGAAGCTGCCATCTCCTCCGTCCCTCTGAGAACATCCTCCTAGCTGGTGGCATTAGCATTCTGCCTGCCCAGGTGAAGGCCTGGCAGGTTGTAGGAAGCCTCCCGTGGGAGCTGACCAGACCCTGAATACCCCTTCTGCATCACCCCAAATTGAATATGGTTATGCAAACAGCCTTTAACAATCCTTGTCATCTGGATCTGAGATACAACTTTAATGATTTCACATATGTCATCTTGCCACTTGCCTGCACCCATAGATCCCCTGCTGTTGTGTGACAGTGACCACTGTGCCGTGCTTGTCTGTTACCCTATGACCGAGGAGGAACTGAGAAGACATATCATTCCTCAACATTATGATAAGGAAATGGGGACCAGAGGAGTTAAGCAATTTGCCCAAGGCCATGCAGCTTGAAGTGCATGTGTCAGAGCTGCTGCCTGTTTTTGTGTTTTGTTTTGTTTTTTTTTATTGTTGTCTGTTTTTTTTTTGAGACAGAGTTTCCCTCTTGTCTCCCAGGCTGGAGTGCAATGGTGCAACCTCGGCTCACTGCAACTCTGCCTCCTGAGGTTCAAGCAGTTCTCCTGCCTCAGCCTCCCGAGTAGCTGGGATTACAGGCGCCTGCCACCACTCCTGGCTAATATTTGTATTTTTAACAGGGACAGGATTTCACCCTGTTGGGCAGGGTGGTCTCGAACTCTTGACCTCATATGATCTGCCCGCCTCGGCCTCCCAAAGTGCTGGGATTACAGGCATGAGCCACCACGCCTGGCGGCTTTTGAGCACTTACATTGTGGCTGTCTGAAATGAGATGTGTTCTAAGAGTGAATTATGCCCTGGACTTCCAAGACGTGTTTTGAAAAAATATGCATAATATCTCATCAGTAATTTTTATATCAATGGCATATTTAAATGTTCATTTTGGATATACTGAGTTAAATAAAATATACCATTAAATTTAATTTCAGTCTCTTTTTTATTTTTCTCTTTTTTAATGTGGTTACTAGGAAATCTTAAATTACAAATGTGGCTTGCATTGAATTTCTGTTAGCAGCAATGTCTGAGAACTGTTTTTCTCATCTGTTAAATGATGTTAACAATGAGAACACCCATAAAGTTCCCAAGACAGTAAGTGTCCTATACATGTTTATGTTCTTCCCCCATCACTTTTTCTCAGCAGAACACTCAAGCCTCCTGACTTTCATTTCATGATCCAGATACATTCAAAACCATTGTTCCATTTCCATCCAGATTTCTCCTGAGTAAGGGCTTTTTTTTTTCAGTCATGTGTCACTTGAAATCTTATGATTACAGTTTGTAAATAGCAAGTCAGAAGTTGGAAACTCAGCCAAGATTCTGAAACTGCCTTGCCTAAAGCAGAGGCATCAGAGAATGCACCTATTCATAAACCCGTCCCAGGCGCTTGTGAAAAGATACACTGACATTTAGGCAGGAAATGCACACAAGGTAATTCATTCCTATTGAAGCTCACTGAGCATCAATCTGGTTGCGATATGAATTATTCATGTCCCCCCCCACCCCGCCGCCGCTGCCACGCCAGCCTCATGTTCAAGGCTGATGTCAGTGCAGGACCCATAGCTCCTCTCTCTAGGCCCTTTCCCGGGCAGCTGTGCACAGATCAACACCCCGTCCTAGAGCCAGCTCTCATTCTCTCTGTGGTGAGGGCTCACCTACACGGACCCAGAGGCTGCGATCGACACCTGATGGGCCACTACAATTCAATTTTCTTGTCCATCTGCTAGAAGACAGATGAATTCATCCAACAGCCAGCCCAGGACTCCAGAGGAAACAACTTGAGATAATTTATGAATTGATTTATGCCACTTCTCTTTCCACAAAGAATGTATGGTGGCTGCATAATATGCCTTTTGTTGAACTTACCAAATCGTTCTCTCATTTCATGTTGTGGACGTCCTAGTAGGGAGTGATAAATGCATATGCTATAAGGCCCAAACAGTTATGCTGATGGGGAGCAAGGAGCAAGCGACAGGGAGTGGTGGAGACTGTGTCCAACGGAAGAGCACCTGACCCACCTGCAGGGGCAGCCGCTGCCCATCCAAGCTGGTCGTTGCCTGTGATGATGCTCTTGGTGTTGCAAATCCTCTGATTTGTTACAAAAGGTCAGATTCCCAGATTTTAATTTGGAGATCTCCTAATTTTTGAAGTGTGGGGCTGAATAAACCTGCCTATTGGTCCAATTCAGCCAGCCAGTTGATAGTCCCTGATCTTGTTTGTTTGCTTGTATAAATGGCAGGCTTTCATGCCAAGGATTCTAACTTCATGTTCTTTTTTATTCCCTCTACCCTTCATCCCTCCTTCCACAGTACATAGCATTTATACCAATTATGATTTTCAGAATTAGACACCAATTTACCATCCTCATAGTTGCTCCGGATGCATCTTTTTTGTTATTTCCTTTTGTGTCCTCCTCCTTTTTTCTCGAAGTTCTCCAGACTCTGAGAGAGGAGGGGAAGCGAGAACAGGAGTCGATAATGGCCCTTTTCCAGCCACACACCCTCATCTGTAAGAAAATGTGGCTGAGTCTCCCTCTCCACGCTTTATCTTCTGTGTTGCCGAAGCATTGCCAGAATGTCAGGGCTCAGGAGAAAAGAGGGGAAGGATGCCAGATGAGGGTCTGGAAGGTCTCTCCTTTGTTGTAAGGCAGCAGTGGAGCAGTTAAAGGCATGAGGGACCTGCCTCCATACATCCTCTGCCAGGCGTGACTGAACTCCCACCCGCCTCCCCATGTGCCTCCCAACGGTGGGACACTTTCTTTTCTGGGGCTTGCCACTGCCTCCTAATGATCTCCCCCATTCAACTAGATACTTTGTCTTTGATGACAAGCCCTGGGGTCCCAAAGAAACCTGGGCTATATGCACAAGTAACCAGAATCCGCGAGTCAAATTCAGTTTCAGTAATTGGCTATTTGAGTCTAAGGGGTAGTTTGTTTAGTTCTTTGTTTTTTCTTTTTCGTTTCCTATAGTATTGATAAAGACACAGATTAGGCCAGGTGTGGCAACTCACACCAGTAATCCCAGGGCTTTGGGAGGCTGAGGCAGGAGGATCGCTTGAGCCCCAGAGTTTGAGGTCAGCCTGGGCAACTAACAAGAGACCCAGCTCTACAAAAACTTTAAAAATTAGCCAGGTGGTGTGGTGAGTACATATGGCCCCAGCCACATGAGAGGCTGAGGCCAGAGGATCATCTGAGGCCAGAAGTTCAAGGCTGCAGTGAGCCCGGATGGCACCACTGCACTCCAACCTGGGCAGCAGAGTGAGACGCTAGTCTCAAAAAAAAAAAAAAAAAAAAAAAAAGATGCAAATTGACCTATGTGACAGGAAGCAGGTCCAGACGACTGTTTTTCAATTGACAAATAGAAATTATATATATTTATGATGTACTACGTGTTTTATATATGTTTACATTGTGAAATGACTAAATCACACTAATTAACATATGCAATCTACTCTCAGCACATTTCAAGCATACAATACATTGTTATTAACTATAGACACCGTGCTGTATAATAGACCTCTTGAACTTCTGCCTAACTGAAAATTGGTATTCTCTGGCCATTAAAGGCATTCCCCATCACCTCTGCCCTGACTCCCTGTTAACCACCATTCCACTTTGCTGTTATGAGTTTGAGGTTTTTAGGTTTCTCTTATGAATGAAATAATGTGGTATTTCCCTTTCTGTGCCTAGCTTATTTCACTTAGCAAAATGTCCACAGCTTCATCCACGTTGTTGTAAATAACAGGATTCCCTTGTTTTCTAAGGCTGAATAGCATTTCATTGCATTTATATACCACATTTTAAAAATCCATTTATCCATTGATACACACATAGGTTGATTTTATATCTTGGCTATTGTGCATAATGCTGCAGTGAACATGTAAGTGCAGATAACTCTTTGCCATGCTGATTTCTTTTCAGAAATCAATCAAAAAGAAAATTTTGAAACAGGATCTTATTCTGTTATCCAGGCTGGAGTGCGGTGGCATGCTTAGGGCTCACTGCAGCCTCGACCTCCCAAGTTCAGGCAATCCTCCTGCCTCAGCCTTCTGAGTAGCTGAGACCACAGGTGTGCACCACCAAACTCAGCTAATTTTTAAATTGTTAGTAGAAATGAGGTCTCCCTATGTTGCTCACCATGTTGGTCAGGCTGGTCTCAAATTCTTGACCTCAGGTGATCCACCTGCCTGAGCAACATAGGGAGACCCCTGGACTTGAACCCCTGAACTCAAATGATCCTCCTACCTCAGTTTCCCAAAGTGCTAGGATGACAGGTCTGAGCCAGCACCCCCAATCGATATACTGATTTCATTTCCTTTGGATGTGTATGGTAGTTCAATTTTTAATTTTTTGAGGAAGCTCCATACTGTTTTCCATGATAGTTATACTAATTTCCATTCCTACCAACTGTGTAGCAATGTCCCTTCTCTCCACATTTCCTTATTGGTGCTCAGAAGTCAAAATTTGAGGAACTACAGTATTAGTATAAAAAATGTTAAAGCACTTTTATGGGAATTGAAAGAAGACAGCTGCAATTTCAGGAAACTGATTAAGAAACACTTGGTCATGCAACATTTGCTCCACATTTTCAAGAATGTGTTAATCAGTTCTCCGCTTTTTAAAGAATGTGATGGGCCAGGTGTGGTGGCTCATGCCTGTAATCCCAGCAGTTCGGGAGGCCGAGGCAGGTGGATCACCTGAGGTCAAGAATTTGAGACCGGCCTGACCAACATGGTGAAACCTGGTCTCTACCAAAAATACAAAATTAGCCGGGCATGGTGGCGCATGCCTATAATCCCAGCTACTCGGGAGGCTGAGGCAGGAGACTTGCTTGAGTCTGGGAAGCGGAGGTTGCAGTGAGCCAAGATTGCGCCACTGCACTCCAGCCTGGGCAACAACAGCAAAACTCCATCTCAAAAAAAAAAAATGGGATGGGATGGGTGCAGTGGCTCATGCCTGTAATTCCAAAACTTTGAGAGGCCAAGGCAGGCAGATCCCTTGAGCTCAGGAGGTTGAGACCAGCCTGGGCAACATGGTGAAACTCTGTCTCTACAAAAAATACAAAAATTAGCCAGGCAAGATGGTACACACCTGTGGTCCCAGCTACTTGGGGGGCTGAAGCAGGAGGATTGCTTGAGCCCAGGGGGTTGAGGCTGCAGTGAGCCAAGTTGGCACCACTATACTATAGTCTGCATATCAAAGTGAAATCCTGTCTCAAAAAAAAAAAGAATGTGACAAATATAATGTAGCCTTTTATTGATGACTCGGGTCAATTACTTATGATCGGAAATTCTATTTCAGCCTGTAATCCCAGCACTTTGGGAGGCCAAAGCAGGCGGATCACTTGAGGTCAGGAATTCGAGACCAGCCCTGCCAACATGGTGAAACCCCGTCACCACTAAGAATACAAAAATTAGCTGGGCATGGTGGTGCACGCCTGTAATCCCAGCCACTCAAGAGACCGAGGCAGGAGAATCGCTTGAATGCGGGAGGTCGAGCCTGCAGTGAGCCAAGATTGCACCACTGCACTCCAGCCTGGGTGACAGAGTGAAGCACCATCTCAAAAAAAAAAAAAAAAAAATTGTATTTCAATTCAATAAGAATTTACTGAGCCTCTCTACTTTGTGCCAAGCACTACACATTGACCTTTAACCATTTTTAAATTTACTTTAAAACTAGGCCTTGAAAACATTGTGCTAAGTGAAAGACATCAGTCCCAAAGGACCATACATTTGTATCATTCCATTTATATGAAATGTCCAGAATAGGCAAGTCTGCAAAGACAGAAAGTAGATTAGTGGCTGCCTGGGGCTGGGGGTACTGGGGCACAGTGGCTAGTGTGGGGTAATGATGGTGTTCTAATGACATCTGGGGCAATGATAATGCACTGCTGATTGTAGTGGTGGATACACAACCATGAATATATTAAAAAACGACTCCGTGGTACACTGTAAATGGGTGAATCGTACGGTGTGTGAAATACATCACAATAAAGCCCGTTTTTAAACAAAGTTGTTGGCAATGTTCGGAAAACAGAAAGAGACAGCACCTGAACAAGGATGAGGAAGGGAGGACAGTGGGTGGGCCTGGCTCAAAATGATGATCAGTCCCTCTTTGTCTCCATAGGATCCTTTGCCCCTCCTGGACTAGCTTGGGACACTCTGCTACTCCACCGTCTGCTCTCCTTCCTGTCCCCATGCCTGCCTGTGACAGCTTCTATGGTATCAGCTGCTCCCCATCAGCTCTGGTTCTGGAAACCACAGAGGTTCAAGGCTGGGCTTGGGAGTCGGAAATCCCCTGGTTTTATGACAGGGGTGTGACCTGCACCAGCAATGTGACCTTGGACAAGTTTCTTCAACCTTTTTTTTTTTTTTTTGGAGACGAAGTTTTGCTCTTGTTGCCCAGGCTGAAGTGCAATGGTGCAACCTTGGCTCACTGCAACCTCCGCCTCCCAGGTTCAAGCAATTCTCCCGCCTCAGCCTCCCGAGTAGCTGGGATTACAGGCTCCCAGCACCACGCATGGCTAATTTTTTTGTATTTTTAGTAGAGACGGGGTTTCACCGTGTTGGCCAGGCTGGTCTCGAATTCCTGACCTCAGGTGATCCACTCACCTCGGCCTCCCAAAGTGTTGGAGTTTTTTTTAACCTTTTTACGCTCAACTTTTCTCATCTATAAAACAGGGATGATGATATCTACCTCATGGTGTTATGGTGAGGATTAAAGGAGATAAAGCTCAGAACGTGTCTGACTCATAGTAAGTGATCAAAAGGACTTTGTATCTGGGAAGGGGAAATCAGCAGGCTGTCAGAGAAAGTTTCACTACAGATAAAGCTGGAATCCTCAGAGCATGACCCTGGAGGTAGTTATTCTGGTTACTCAACTCGGTTAGATGTTGAGGATGTTGGTATCAATGAATGTTCCTGCCAGATGAGATGTTAACTGAATCACCAGTGTTCCTTAAAATAGTAGAAGGGGCAGGCTGGGCGCGATAGTTTATGCCTATAATCCCAGCACTTTGGGAGGCTGAGGCAGGTGGATCACAAAGTCAGGAGCTTGAGACCAGCCTGGCCAACATGGTGAAACCTCGTCTCTACCAAAAATACAAAAATTAGCCAGATGTGGTGGCTGGCGCCTGTAATCCCAGCTACTCAGGAGGCTGAGGTAGGAGAATTGCTTGCACCCGGGAGGTGGAGGTTGCAGTGAGCTGAGATCAAGCCACTGCACTCCAGCCTGGGCGGCAGAGCAAGACTCTGTCTCGGGAAAAAAAATGGTAGAAGCAGGAAAGGAACAAACACTTGCACCTATATGCCATGTGCTTGTCATTCAGCGTCTCGTTTAATCCCCAAAGTAACAATATGCCATAGGTAGGTATTGGTAGCTCTATGCTACAGATGGGAAGCCAAGGCCCACACAGCTAATCATGACGATAATGCCATTAAACACTCCTACATCGTGCTACAGTCGTGTACTCACTCATTTAATCCTCAGCAAACCCTATGTGGGAGTTGCCATTATTATCCCACTTTGCATATGAGGAAACTGAGGCACAGGAGGAATAAGTAACTCGCTGAGGTCACACATATTAAGTCGCAGATCTGAGACACAAACAGAAACAAATCTGACCCCAGAGCCCGTGTCCCCCCCATGGCTATGCTGTCCATGAACACAGCAGAGCATCCTTGTGGTGGCCACATCTAACCGTAAGAGGTGCTGTAAACAGGGCAGTCCGTGAGATGCTGTACACATTAAAAGGAGGGCAGGCTCTGGCTTCAGTCAGGCAGCTAGCTCTTTTGGGGTGACTTGAAGGGCACTAAGCCAGCTTCGCTGGGCTCTTCTAAACCTTCCTATCTGAGAATACATGCTCAGAATACCATTTTTTAGCTTAAGGCTGTTTGCAGTTTGGGGTTTATTAAAATGTCCCTTAGCTGGGCACAGTGGCTCACACCTGTAATCCCAGAACTTTGGGAGGCCAAGGTAGGAAGATCACCTGA
This sequence comes from Homo sapiens, assembly GCF_000001405.40. NCBI lineage: Eukaryota > Metazoa > Chordata > Mammalia > Primates > Hominidae > Homo > Homo sapiens. The sequence goes on from NC_000002.12 coordinate 98,768,127, forward strand.
GGTCGGGAGTTTGAGACCAGCCTGGCCAACATGGTGAAACCCCGTCTCTACTAAAAAATACAAAAATTAACAGGGTGTGGTGGCGGGCCCCTGTAATCTCAGCTACTCGGGAGGCAGAGGCAGGAGAATTACTTAAAGCCAGGAGGCAGAGGTTGCAGTGAGCTGAGATTGCACCACTGCACTCCAGCCTGGGTGACAGAGGGAGACTCTGTCACAAAACAAAACACAAATAAAATGTCTCTTAACAGCTGTTAGTCACTGCAAGGATGTGGGTGGCTGAATTTCCAATCTTACCCTGGCTTTTTTTCCCCCTCACACAGTTTTGGTAGCAGAGAAGAGAGGAAGATCTTGAAGGTCCTGATGAGGCCAGGTGAATTCTAAGAACCTTGGGCCTCATCTCCCTCCCACTCTGCCCTCACAAGGCTGGCTCAGTCTTGATAGCTGATGTGTAGAGTGTGTGGGAGAAGGTCGGGCTGGGACTCACTCTGGTCAGATCCATCTGTCTTCTCATCTCCAAGGCTGCTGTGATGGGAACAGCAGGAATCTCTTCGCCGCTGTGTCTACCCCAGTGTGGTTATTCAATGTTGGTGGCCTCTAAATGCTAGAAAAAGGACATTTTCTTCCTTGCAGACATCCTGGGATAAAGGAAGACAGTGGTTCCTAAGGGCATCAGACACGGTGGGAGGGAAGGGTGCAGATGGCATGTTAGTTTGTGTTGGCTGCCAAAGCAAATACCACAGACCACATGACTTAAAACAGAAATTTATTTTCTCACAGTTCTGGAGGCTGGAAGTCCGAGTTCAAAGAGTCAGCAGGACTGGTTTCCTCTGAGGCCTCTCGCCCTGGCCTGTAGCTGCTATCCTCTCCCTGCATCTCCACGTGGTCATCCCTCTGTGTGTGTCTGTGTCCAAATTTTTTTCCTATAAGGAGAGCAGTCATATTGAAGTAAGGACCAGTCCATTTTAATTTAGTCACCTTTAAAGGCCCTATTTCCAAATGCAGTCACATTGTGGATGTCTGGAGGTTAGGGTTTCAACATTTGAATCTTGGAGGGACAGAATTCAGCCCGTAACAGATGGTGAGGGGGACAAGCTCCTTCTGCCACTTGCAGAGAATATCAAGATCACATGCACCTGCCAGAAATTCCCCGGGAGAAGGGTTCATCCTTCCACCCCGGAGGATTTCCAGGCCCCGGGTGCCCTGCAGGGCAGAGGCACAGCCGTGGGCTCACTGCTGGCCACTCCAAGATGCCTGGGTGCCTGGGCCAGGTTCAGGTTTATTTGAACAGGAGACCCGGAAGGGAGCAGAGGCTCTTTCTCTGCTCTGCAGTTATGAAACATACTTAGGGGAAAATCAAACTCCATGCTAATTTAATAGTTATTAATAATTGATAACACCCATTCCTCGAGGATTGTTTGCACAGTGCTTGGAGGCCTGAGAATTGGTGATAATGAAATTTTAGCATAAGATAAAATTGGGTTAAGGGTTTTTCTGCCTCTGTTTAAAATGTTCCTGTATAAAATATTCATTTTAGGTTATAAACTAATAAACAAATATGTCCCCCATATGCTCCCATGTGTGAAAATCTAACGTGATAATGAAAGTAAAAATAGTAATAAACAAATGATAGGAAAATGATCATTTGCTACACAATGAATAAATTATTAGAGTAATAGATTAACATGAAGAACAGGTACAGGGTGGGAAGGGGAAGGGCTTGGCATCTACGGCCCGCTCTGTGGTTTGTGTGGACATGTGACTCGGTGCCAGCAGCTCTTTCCTTTGTCCTTCCAGCAGGTGTTATTAAGCAGGGATGACTTGACAGTTGCCGGGCTGGTCTCACCAGAACCAGGCAGATGCGCTTCGCCCGCGTTCCTGACTCCCCCTCCTTCCCGTCTCTTCTCTTTTCAAATGACGCCATTTATGCAAGAGGGGGCAAAAGGTGAAATGCAAACCCTTTGAGTTAGCCCTGATAAAATCTCCTCATTTCAAATCCTGCTGGCAAAGCCGCCTGCAGCCTCCCTCCGCGCCCCTCTGGTCGCTTGTTCTTCTACCCAATCCCTAGGGATCATGCCCATCAGGGTTCATCCTAGAGCTCCTGCTCTTCTCTACAGCACATTCTCATAGCCTTGGAAAATGCCTCTACTGACAACTCCCAACTTATATTCCACGCCAAGACCTTCCTCGGAGCCCCAGCCTCACACATGCCCACGCCCCTGCCCCCCGCCCCCCCCCCCCACCCCCGCCCCGAGGTCTTCTTGACATCTCTGCTTGGTGACGTGCAGGCTTCTCAATCTCCCTGCTCCTCCCTCCGCCTCAGTAAATGCTGGCCCAGGCTGCTCGCTTGCTCAAGACACAACCCCAAGAGGCGTCCTTGATGCTTCCTTTTCCCTCACTCCCCATATCCAACCCATCCATGAGTTCTTTCGGTTCCACCTTAAAAATACCCCTAGGGGCCGGGCGCGGTGGCTCACGCCTGTCATCCCAGCACTCTGGGAGGCCGAGGTGGGCGGATCATGAGGTCAGGAGATCGAGACCATCCTGGCTAACACGGTGAAACCCCATCTCTACCAAACACACACACACACACACACACACACACACACACACACACACACACGAAATTAGCCGGGCGTGGTGGTGGGCGCCTGTAGTCCCAGCTACTCAGGAGGCTGAGGCAGGAGAATGATGTGAACCTGGGAGGCGGAGCTTGCAGTGAGCCAGGATCGCGCCACCGCACTCCAGCCTGGGTGACAGAGCAAGACTCCGTCTCAAAAAAAAAAAAAAAAAAATACCCCTGGGGTCTGCCCACTTCCGTCCATCTTCCCGGTCATCACATGGGTCCTGTCACTGTCACCTCTGGCTGAGATTTGTGCAGTAGCCTCCCAGTGGATCTCCCACTGTCACTTTGCCTGCCCAACCAGCAGATAGAGTGATTTAGAAAGAATAAGTAGATCATGTAACGCCACTCCCAACCCCAGTCTGCACAAAGCTTTTCAGTGAGTTCCTGTCGCACTTAGAATAACACCCACGCTTCTTACTGCACAGAGACCCCGACTGAGCCGCCCCACCTGTCTGTGCAGCCCTGTCTTGACCTGTTCTTCCCTCTCCTATGACATTTCTGGCTGGATTGATCTCTAACGATCCCCTAGGACTTTATTTAATACTCTAAGTGAGATCTGGATCAGGCACCTCAGCATTACCTGGAGCTTGTTAGAAATCTCAAGCCCTCTCCAGACCTACTGAATCAGGAATCAGGATTTCAGCAAGATCCCTGGGTGATTCAAATGCAAATTAAGGCTTGAGAAGCTCTGCTGCAGCTCAGAGCACAGCAGGCCCTTTCCACCCCAGGGCCTTTGCACATGCTCCTCTTTCCCCGGTTCCTCATACAGCTTGCTCCTAGGATACCTCTGGAAATGGATGTGATGAACCATGGCTGCTTCTGGGGAGAGAAACAGGGAAGCTGGCATTGGGGATGGGAGGGAGAATTACCTTTTATTGTGTACTCTCATTCATCTTCAAACAAACAAGCCATTTTAACAGCTGTTTTTCAGCCTTCAGTTCTATTTACAGCCACTATGAAAAGTAACCTCCCTTCCTTCCTTGGTGTCACAGTGTCCTTTGTTTCCTCCATGGTGTTCATCGTAATTTGGTGATCGTGATGTTTCTTCGCTGATGTCTCACTTCTGCCATCAGCATGCAGGAAGTGAAGATGTTGTCTTGTTCACCCCCCTGCATCCACCAGCTTTAGATCCATGCTGCACACAGGAAGCTCTGAAATGCTGACAAAATGAGCTTCTCTGAAATCTTACATTCAGATGCTCCTCCCTGCCCCTTCCGTCCCTCCATGCAGTGCACCTACTAATTTGCTCCCACGACTCCTGTTTCATACCCGCGAGGGGCTCGTGTCCTGATGGCTCTGCTCTTATCTTCCAGCCTCCTTGGTTTGCATCTGTTCTGTGCTGCTTTCTTCTCTGGCTTCCACACACAGAGCAGTTGGCCTCACCTCAGTGTAACTGAGAGAAATGAAAGTCATCAGAGGCAACGCGCTCACTTCCCTGCCACAAAGCCCGCAAACCTGTCCACGTTTGCTGCTGTCTTTTTCTCCCTTCCATTTGCTAACGTGCCACTGCTCTCTTACTGAAAGTGCTCTGATCTCACTCCTCCAGTGGTGCTGGTAAACGTTTCACAACTGACTCTCTGGGAATAAAAAGGTCTGATTTGAGGAATTTGCTGGTTTCTGTGGTGTAAATACTCCCATCACAGCCAATTTCAAGCCACCAGTGAGATAACACGACACGCAGAGTTGGAAGAGATGCATAGACGTGAGTAATCACTCACATATAGCATTCTCACCACAGGGACACAATGGATGGACATTATCTCAGGGGAATAGCTATTGGTAGAAGGTAACAAACTAGGAAGAGATGAGTTTTCAGTATTTATTGCTTTGTCTCTATGTAACCTATTTAACTGTAAGTTTTCATCATTTAATTTTTAACACTGGCTGTGTTTGGCGCCTGGCTCAGAAAATTCCTGCAGATTTCACAGTCGGCTCTCCCGCCTGTGGTCGTGCCTTGCAGCCACTTTTCCACCCCTACACATTTCTCAATCACCACAGTCTGGCTTCCGCCCCACATGCCGAGGAACCTCTCCCACCTCCTTGTTGCTGACTTCCCTCTTACCTTCCTGGATCCCCAGGGGTACGGGACTCTGGGACAACCTACTCCTCCAGCTTCCACAGCCCTGCAGAGCCCGGCTTCTGCCTCTCCTCTGTCCATATGCTCCTGCTCTCTGTCCTTCCTCAATTCCTCTCCTTGATCCATCCCTTAGGGTTTCTGGCCTCAGCCCTGCCTCCCTTTGAGCTCTCTCTTGGCAACTTCAGCCGTCTCCCCGCCCAATGAACCTCTTCTCTCTGTGGGTGACACTCCATTCTCTATCCCCAGTCCCCTCCCAGGCTTTGGCCCACAGCAGGCCCTCACGGTGCATCATGACTTCAGTGAACACATGAAGGAACGGGTTGCTGAAACTATCCCTTGTCCCCTTCTCACTGGCCCCCAGTCCATCCTCCACATTTATCCAAAACCCATCTTTCTCAAATGCAAGTCTTAAGCACCACTTTTGAGCCTCTGGGAGACTGCTGCAGTGGCTCAGGGAGGCTGGGCTGGGGCCAGGCTGGGGCCAGGCTGGTGAGAGCAGAGGTGCACAGACCTGGATACATTTGTGGTGGCTTGTGGAGCGGAACCCACAGACAAGGGCACGCACCGAATGTGGAGGGTGTGTGGTGATTCCCAGGTGCCTGGCACAGGCATCCAGGCGGAGACAAAGCATTCACTGACACAGGGACTTTGAATCATTTCTGTTCTAACTTCTGACACCAAGTGTGTGGGTTTTTACCTCACACTAACCAGTTCTCCAGCTCTCCCGACACCAACTGGTTGTCCTACGATTCAATTCAGTTTTGACACCATCCATCAGCCTCAGGTCCTACAGGTTAAGAGCTCTGTCCTGCAAGGCTGCCCCCACTTCAGAGGCCAGTTGCAAGGCCTAGGCCTCCCAGACGTCTGACCAATGGACTACAAACTGGTGGTTCCCACAAACTGCTCCTCAGGTTTAGAACAGCTCACAGAACTCAGGAAAACATTTTACTTACACATACTGGTTTATGATTAGGATGTAACTCAGGGGCAGCAGAGAAGGACTGCCCTGGGCAAGGCATCGGGGTGACTGTTGCGGAGTGTCCAGGCTCTCTCTGGATGCGCCACCATCCCAGCACCTCCCTGTGCTCACCAGCCCGGAAGCTCTCCAGCCCTGTCCCTGAAGAGTTTTGTGGAGGTCACATCCCTTAGGCATGGTAGATTAAAACACTGGGCATTGGTATGTACCTCAACCTCCAGTCCTTCTCATCTCCTTGGAAGGGAGACGGGGGAGCTGAAAGTGCTAACCCTGTAGTCACGAGGTTGGTTCCTGTGGCAACCACTCCCACCTGAGGCTCTCTAGGAGCTCACTATAAACTCAGGTATGGTTAGAAGGGGCTCATCTTGAATAACAAAAGACATTCCTCTCACCCTCATCTCTTAGGAAATCCCAAGGCTTTTAGAGTTCTCGTGCCAGAACCAGGGTGGAGAATCAAATGTATCTCTTATGACAATGACACAGGGACTGTCATAGGAAGAGCAGATTTGTGTGCAGGGGAGGTGTCTAGATGTACAGGTGCCTACTGGACTTCCAGAGACCAGGGGAGGCACATGGCGTTCAGAACAGAGGTCTGGGAGGAAATAAAGGTGGGAGTTGTTAGCATACAGATGATAGCAATGTCACATAGATGAAAACAAAAATTTTCAGCAAGTTTTCATGGATTTTAGAATAAATTCTAAATGCCTAAGCATGGTCTCCAACAATGCCCCCGCCCCTCAGCTTGCCCTTGCTCTTGGTTTGGGTCTCAGCGCCGGCTCCCCTCCTCCACCCTCCCTTGCCCCTCCCCTTCATCCACTTCCTGCAAGATGGTGGATGCCATACCTGCCTTGGGTGGTTCGGGCTTCAATACTGAAATACCATAGACTGTGTGGCCTATAAACAACATGCTTATTTTTCACACTTCTGGAGGTCTGGAAGTTCATGATTAAGGGGCAGATTTAGTGTCTGGTGAGGGCCCAATTTCTGGTTCATAGATGGTGACTTCTGTCTGTGTCCTCCCATGGTGGAAGGGGCGAGGGGGCTCCCTGGGGCCTCTTCTTGTAGGAACCTATCCCATTCATCAGGGCCCCACCCTCATGACCTAACCAGCTCTCAAACGCCCCACCTCCTAACACCAGCACACGGGTGTTAGGCTTCAACATAGGAATTTGGGGGGACATCAACATCCAGACCTCAGCAGGGCTTCTCCTGCTTACTCCAGCAGATCCTCTGGCGGTGGTGACCGCCATGTGCCCTGCATGGAAGGGCCGTTCTGTCTCTGCCCCAGGACTTGCCCAACTCCTCTGCCCAGTGAGCTGACAGCCCACTGGGGGCAGAGACATCCTTGTCACTAGCCCCGTGTTTCCTCAGTGCTTACCCAGTGCCTGGCTCATGGTGGATGTTCAGTGAGCATGTGTCAGAAGAAGACATTATGCTGTGAGCTCTCTGAAGCTTGTGAGCTGGCCCCAGGGAATGCAAGTCCAACTGTCTTTGGTGTTGGAGGTAACTGAACACCAAGTCCTGGCCAGTCTCTCCCGGATGCTGTGCACTGTGTTCTCAGGGAGGCAGGAGGACTCGCAGCGGATGCCAGGGACACGTGCCCATTTCTTCCTCCCACGTCAGCCTCCCCTTTTCCGGCCACATTTCAAACAAGTCTCAAAAGCCTGACCATGCCATGTAGCTTTTCCAAACTCACCTTGAGTAAACACACAGCTGCTGCCTCTCACCCACTGAGCTCAAATCTATCATCATTTTTGTATTGTGCACTCATGTATGGTTTGGCTGCATGCAACAAGGTGCCGATCTGCCTCTTCATGGAAGCATCGAGGGTCTTGGACCGTGAACTGCTGTGGTGAGACGACGAGAAGGGGACATTGGGATTTAGCAGTTGGCACAAGGCCTCCTGGAGCAATTCCAGGACCCCTCTGGGGAGTTACAATGGTGGTGACAGGGAAGATTTACCATCTGGGACTGTGCTAGGTGCCAAGCGAAGCAGAGCTTGTCAGGTTCCTGGAACCGAGTATTAACGATTCCAATCAAGCAGGAAATGTCTGTGCCTGTTCTTTGCTAAGCTGGATTCCTCGCTCACTAGGCATCAAGGTGCCTGCGGAGTACGCTAGGCATGAGAAAGGTCTCGGGAGGCCGAGAGTGCCTGGCCTGCCCTCTGGCCCCACCCCAGGTCACGCTTGGGGTCCCTGTAGGCTGCTCACTGGTAATGGAGGAAGCCTTCATGGACTTGGGTCCCATCAGGCTGGCTCTCGGAGAAGCCCTGCAGAACTGTGGTTTGGTTTTAATGAGGGGAGAAGATTCCAAAAGTTTATCATGAAAAGCCCCATGACCACCTGTGTTTTAGAGACTTTGATGACTTCAGAGGCCTTGAAATACAATCCCAGAGAAAAACAGTCAGCTTTGGACATGTGTGTTTGTGTGTGCGTGCATGTGTGTGTGTTTTGGTGGGGGATTCCTAATTCTCACCCCCTAGCCTTCCTCCTGAGCTGGAAGCCAGCCTTGAACAGGCAAGGGTGGGTTCTTAACTTCCTCAGAGCTGGCTGAGAACCACAGAGGCAATTCCAAGTCAGATTAAACCCAGAGCCTTGTTCCAGCTTCTGTGTTTAAAGGGAAAGTCATTGTATATTCCTCCTGGATGCCCTCCTGCCCCCAGAGTCTCACTCCTGTGTCTGAACAGTGGGTGACTTCTCTCAGTGAGCATAGTTTTTGTTGATCATGATTTGCCAATCTGTTTCTGAAGTGGGGGGAAATTATAGCTGGTAAATTCTCAGTCTGGACAACACACAATGTCACTTTGCAATAAAATGTGTGAGGACAGATAAGATAGTTATTGTCCTTGCAACATTAGAGATCACCATTAGGTGGTATATTAGTCTAGATTCTCAGAGAAACAGAACCAGTAGCATATAGATATACAATTATGTACTGTATAACAATGTTTTGGTGAATGACAGGCCACATATGCAACAGTATTTTTATTGTGCCTTTTCTCTCTCTTTTTTTTTTTTTTTTGAGATGGAGTCTCTCTCTCTGTTCCCCAGGCTGGAGTGCAGTGGGGTGATCTCGGCTCACTGCAACCTCTGCCTCCTGGCTCCTGGGTTCAAGCGATTCTTTTGCCTCAGCCTCCTGAGTATCTGGGACTACAGGAGTGCACCACCACATCCAGCTAATTTTTGTATTTTTAGAAAAGATGAGGTTTCCTGATTTTGGCCAGGCTGGTCTCAAACTCCCAACCTCAAGTGCTGGGATTACAGGCATGAGCCACTGCGCCCAGCCTTACTGTGCCTTTTCTATGTTTAGATACACAAATACTTACCATTGTGTTACATTGCCTAGAGTGTTCAGTACAGTATCGTGCTGTATAGGTTTGTAGCCCAGGAGCAACAGGCTACACCACAAAGCCTATAGGCTTGTTTAAGTGCGTTCTATGATGTCCACACAATGACTTAATTGCCTAACAATGCGTGTTTCAGAATGTATCCTCATTGTTAAACAATGCATGACTGCATATGAAGAGATTTATTATACGGTATTGGTTCACGTGAGTATGGAGGCTGAGAAGTCCCACAATCTGCTGTCTGCAAGCTGGAGACTCAGGAAAGCTGGTGGTTAATTCAGAGGCCTAAGAGTTGGAGGGTCAATGGTGTAGATTGAGTCTGAAGGCCTGAAAAGCAGGAGCACTGGGGGAAGATGGCAAGCATCAGACAGAGAGATGGCAAATCCTCCTTCCTGCTCCATTTTTATTCTGTTTGGGTCTTCAATAGATTGGGCAATGCCTACCTGTATTGCTGATGGCAATCTGCTTTACTGAGCCCACTAATCCAAATGATAATCTCTTCCAGAAACACCCACACAGACAAATACAGAAATAATGTTTAACCAGCTATCTGGGCAACCAGTGACCTAGTCAAGTTGAAACATAAAATTAACTACCACAAGTGTCATGGTAGCTTTTTTCCCTCTAAGTAGCTAAAATAAAGGTTAGACAATGCCCATTGTACCCTATTACAGAATGAAGGAATGAAGCCTACACTCTTTGGCATTCTGAAAACAGAGTTGCCAGCCAGGTGTGTCCCTGCATCAGCACTGGGAGCTGTTTTTCATTCCCCAGGTCCAACCCTGTCATAAAAGCGCAAGCTGAGCAATTAACAATTTGCAGATGATATTTAAGCAGTGCCTCAGAGGGAAAAGAAAAAAACAACATGCCCTTTCTTTTCTGTTTTTAGTAACATTCTTGGTAACATATTTATGCATTTTGTACAGAGGACATAAGTAAATATTGTGGAAAAACACATTTTATACCTTCCAAGGCCTTAATAATCATGGCAGTTATCAAAGGCCCAAGAAGGCCTCAGCACTAAATCACGTGGCTTCAGAAATGCATGAATAAATCTGTAGTCAAGCCTTTGCAGAGGAAATGTGAACTACAAATCAACTGGCCTCAGACAATTCATTTATTTAATTTGTCCTTTGGATTTACAAAGAGATCCAATTAATTTAGAGATGCTTCCATTGGCACTTGCTGCTCTGGAGGGCCCCTCGCTGAGAATATTGAGTTCCTGGAACCAATGACTCACATCGTTTATTTCTGTGCATTGTGCTCAGCCCCTGGAACCCAGCTTTCCCAATTTTAGAAGGTCAAGGGATTAACCTGTTCAGCATTTTATTTATGTATTTACTTATTTGAGTCTCACTTTGTTGCCCAGGCTGGAGTACGGTGGTGTGATCTTGGCTCACTGCAACCTCCACCTACAGGTTTCAAGTGATTCTCCTGCCTCAGCCTCCCAAGGAGCTGGGAGTTACAGGCGTCCACCACCACGCCCAGATAATTTTTGCATTTTTAATGGAAACAGCAGTTCACCACGTTGGGCAGGTTGGTCTCAAACTCCTGGCCTCAAGTGATCCGCCCGCCTCATCCTCCCAGAGTGCTGGGATTACAGATGTGAGCCACCACATCAGGTCCTTTCAGCATTTTAAAGGGAACTCATTACCTAAATTGAGATGCTAAAAGGACTTTGCCCCAAGGGAGAACTCTTCAAGCTGACAGCCTGGCTTGGAAAACACCCACTGGATCACCAAATACTGACTGAGGCTTAAAGAGAGTTCTAAGAGCCTTTGTTGGGAACACCAAGCCCAGGACCACTCAAGCCAGTGTGTGTTTGGGCTCAGAACTCTCTGGAATGATTCACCTCACTCTCAGTGCAGCTGAGGTTGTTGACGTCACTCTTAGCTTCCCAGGCTGTTAAAATATCAATCATACCAATACACAGGGAGAAAGGAGAAAACAGTTCAGCCTAATGGATTAATGACGTTCTTTTGAATACCTCCTAGAATATGAAGAACTGAAGCTTTCCTCAAGATAACCTTTAGGAAAACTAACAGCTTCAAAGAGAAGAACCAAGATAAGCAACCCAAGGTTGGTTCCCAGGGAAAGGAGAGACGATTCAAGATGTGGACGTCTCAGAGCGCCATGTCAGCACATTGCTTCCAAGAAACAACAGTAGGTTGACCCAGTAAAGGTGCAGAGAACAAGAGTTCTTGAAGATTATTGGTTAGACTGAAAATTGAAACGTGACATGATTTTGAGTATTTACTGGAGTATAAGAAAAAAGAACCCATGTGACTTTGATGCTTGGAACTGATTTAGTACCAGTGAATTATATTTATTTCTCCAATCACACTACTTAGTTCTGCAATGACTAATATTTATATAATTAAAATAATGTAAATATTGTTTCTTCGGTTGCAATTTTTAGAATCAACTTCTGGCAGAGCACCAAAGACCTAATTAATTTACAAAACAGAATGCAAACATTATAATATGGGTGCTGTGAAAGTAACAGTAGCATTAATAGCAGTCGGGCAAAGATGGGGAGAAGGGTAGGGTGAGGAAGGAATAGCAAGATCCTCATGTTGCCCAGGGGAGGCTCAAGAGGAACGGTCTCCTGTTAATGGAAAAAGAAACAGCAAAGTTATAAAGGGAAACAAACCAATGGGAAAAACTATTAATATATGTTGATGAAAGACAAGTCTTAGAGGGTTGCGGAGGAAAGAGTGTAAGAAAACAGCCTGTTGCAAGGCAAGAGTAATGCCACCTGAAGTGAAATCACCATCAGGATCGATGTTTGACTCCTGAATACCAAGGTGTTCCTGCAGTCAGGCCAAGAAACAATTCCTGTAGCATAGATAACCCCTTATAAAGATGCTTATCTAACTTTCCCAGTGGTCACACACTTTGTGGGAGGGTCTGAGACGTGACCAACTGTACATGTTTTACCAAAAGCAGCTTGCTATATAAAGACTACTTTCTGGAGGGCAAGTATAGGAATCAACCGTCTCTTGGCCACCAGAGATATTGCTTCTGTTTGTTAGTTCCTATTAAATGTTTCTTTCTTTCTTAGCTAGATGCGGTGACTCATGCCTGTAATCCCAGCACTATGGGAGGGTGAGGCAGGCGAGTGTCACCTGAGGTCAGGAGTTCAAGACCAGTCTGGCCAACATGGTGAAACCTCATCTCTACTAAAAATACAAAAATTAGTCAGGCGTGGTGATGCACTCCTGTAATCCCAGCTACTTGGGAGGCTGAGGCAGGAGAATCACTTGATCCCAGGAGGCGGAGGCTGTAGTGAGGTGAAATCATGCCACTGCACTCCAGCCTGGGCAACAGAGTGACTTTTTTTTTTTTTTTTTTTGAGTTAGGGTATGACTCTGTTGTTCAGGCTGGAGTGCAATGGCATGATCATGGCTCACTGCAACCTCCGCCTTCCAGGCTCAAGTGATCCACATCAGTCTCCCAAGTAGCTGGGACTACAGGCATGCACCACCATGCCCAGCTAATTTTTGTATTTTTGGTGGAGATAGAGTCTCATTATGTTGCCTAGGCTGGTCTCAAACTCCTGGGCTCAAGGGATCTATCTGCCTCAGTCCCCCCAAAGTGCTGGAATTACAGGCATGAGCCACCATGCCCAGCCTAAATGTTTCTTTCTGAGAAACTGGATTTGTTAGTCTCTTTCTTTTACCTCTCAGCTCCTTTGGCCTCTGGGGGTGGGTTTACCTGCTTATCACAGAAAAAAGAGGTAATGTAAGACAGGAAATTTTATTTTTTAAAAAAAGTGTTTTAATTTTTAGTTTTTTTATTTTTTGTGATGGAGTCTTGCTCTGTTGCCTAGGCTGGAGTATTGTGGCATAATCTTGGCTCACTGCAACCCCCACCTCCCAGGTTCAAGCAATTCTCCTGCCTCAGCCTCCCAAGTCTCTGGGAATTACAGGCACCTGCCACCATGCCCAGCTAATTTTTGTATTTTTATTGGAGATGGAGTTTCACCACGTTGGCCAGGCTGATCTCAAACTCCTGACCTCAAGTGATCTACCCGCCTTGGGCTCCCAAAGTGCTGGGAGGAAATTTTCTCATGTTTCATGGTTGGGTGAGGGAGTCTCAATAGATTAATATATCAATAAATAGAGTTATAAGCCTATATTACATAGAATTATGTGTGCATCCACCCAAAGAATGCAAAAAATAGTTAAATGTGGTTATCCTGGAGAGCAGGACTCCTTCATGGAGAGCAAGACTTTGCTCATTTAATATTATTCTATAGCTCAGGAATCAGTTAACTATGGCCCACAGGCTGGCTGCCTCTTTTGTAAATAAAGTTTTATTGGGACACAGTCACACTCATTTGTATAAATATGTGGATGTATGAGTGTATGGATGACTTTGTGTTGATAATGGGAGAGTTGAGTAGTTGTGACAGAGAGCACATAGCCTAAAATATTTGTCATTTGGCTTTTTAAGAAAAAATTTGCTGACCTCTGCTATAGACTATGATTAAAAAAAAAACCCATATGTATGCTTTATCCTGATTTTAAAAAATTAAAGTGGGGGGAAAGTCTAAGCTGCCCATTTTTCAAAGTCTATTTCCAAACCACTGTAGACTTGAACTGTAGGTTATAAAACCTCCACATAACTTCTTTTCATTCCTAAATTGTCTCTAGTCACATGCATTTGATCCTGGAACTGGAATATTCACCATATTGTTCTATTTAATATTTCCAGCTCTCAATAACAACAACAAAAATGTGGCATACAAAAAACCATGAAAAGCACACTCTGAAGAGATGAAGCAAACATTGGGACCAGACTCACATATGATACAGATGTTGGAGCTATCAGACATTAATTATGATTAATATGTTAAAGGATCTAAAGGAAAAGGTAGACAGCATGCAAGACCAGATAGGTAATTTCAGCAGAGAAATGGAAACCATTATAAAGAATCAAATGGAAATAAATACTAGAAACAAAACACAGTAATGGAGATGAGATGCGCTTTTGATGGGCCCATCAGTATAATTTGTAGAGCTGGGTAGAGAATAAGTAAACTTAAAGATATTACCCAAAATAAAATGCAAAGAGGAAAAAAGCAAAAAAAATCTCAAGACAGTACAGATAATCCAAGAACTGTAGGACAATATCAGAAATATCAGACAGTCTAACATAAGCATAATTAGAATTCCAGAAGAAGAAGAAAGATAAAATTAGGCAGAAAACGTATCTGAGAAAAATAATGGCTGAGAACTTTTAAAAATTAGTGACAGAGCTTTATGCAGTGGCAGTATCATAGCCAATGAGGTTTATCTGAGGTGTGATTATTGCTAATTGAAAACTTTTCCCAATACTCCACCATGATGACTTGAAATATAGTCAGCATTGGCAATTTTTGACAGTCTGTACAGACACTGAATTTTATAGTTAAAAAGAAGAAAAAACTTAGAGACACAGAATCAAAGACCTAAGAATACCAGAGCACACCAGCAGGATAAATACCAAAAACAAAGAAACAAACATACCTACACATATCATATGTAAACTGCTGTAAATCAAAGACAAAGAGAAACTCTTGAAGGTGATCAGAGAAAATAAACATGCTATCTATTGAGGAACAAGGATAAGAATTACAACAGACTTCTGTCAGAAACCATGCAAGCCAGAACACAATGGATTAACATCTTTAAAGTACTAAATGAAAAAAAAAAAAAAGGCTGGCAATCCAAAATTCTATACCTACTTAGAATATCCTTAAAAAGATATGAGAAGTAAAAACCTTCTCAGGCAGACAGAGACTGAGGAAATTCATTGCCAGTAAACCTACTCTACCATAAATACTAAAGGTAGATCTTTAGGCCGGGTGCGGTGGCTCACGCCTGTAATCCCAGCACTTTGGGAGGCCAAGATGGGCAGATCACAACGTCAGGAGATCAAGACCTTCCTGGCCAACATGGTGAAACCCTGTCTCTACTAAAAATACAAAAAAAAAAAAAAAAAAAATTAGCTGGGCATGGTGGCGGGTGCCTGTAGTCCCAGCTACTTGGGAGGCTGAGGCAGGAGAATGGTGTGAACCCAGGAGGTGGAGCTTGCAGTGAGCAGAGATCGCATCACTGCACTCCAGCCTGGGTGACAGAGCGAGACTCTGTCTCAAAAAAATAAATAAATAAATAAAAAATAAAGGTAGATCTTTAGGGAGAAGGAATATGATAAAGGTCAAAAAAGCACCAAAATAAAATAAATAAAAGCAAAGTAAAACATTTTTTCTTTATTTATATTTCCTCTAAAAGATAACTGTTAAAAGCAAACATGGTAACAATAGAATATGTGTTTATAACATATGGAAAAGTGAAATGTATGGCAAACAAGGCACAAGAAATGGGAAGGAAGAATTGGAAATATATTTTTATAAAATGCTTACAATAACGGTGGAATTGCATAACGTTATTTGAAGGCATACTCAGATTATTTTAAAATGTATATTTTAAATGCTAGAGCAACCACTAAAACTGTTTTTAAAGTATAAATGAGATAAAATTGAGTCATAGAAATACTTTAATAGAGGGGATATTCAATATTGATATATTAATAGAAGAGACAAAATTGAATCATAAAAAATACTTCCAGTTTGGGCAACATAGGAAGACTCTACCTATGAAAAAAAAAATTAGCCAGCCATGATGGCACAAGCCTGTAGTTTGGGAGACTGAGGTGGGGGGATTGCTTGAGCCTAGGAGGTCGAGGCTGCAGTGAGCTGTGATTGAGCTACTGCACTCCAGATTGAATGGCAGAGTGAGACGCTCTCAAAATAAAATAAAATAATAGAAAAATAAACACAGAGAAGGTTGTAAAAGAGAAAAAAATGCAAACAACAAATAGAAAACAGCTAGTAACGTGGTAAATTTAAATCTGACCATATCAATAACCATTTAAAATATGAATGGTCTAAACATGCCAATTAAAAGACTATGACTGAATAAAAAAGCGTGCCTCAAGTTTATGCTGTCTACAATAAACCCACTTTAAAGATAAGACATACATACATTAAAAGTAAATGGATGGAGGCCAGGCATGGTGGCTTATGCTTGTAATCCCAGCACTTTGGGATGCCAAGGCAGGCAGATCACTTGAGGCCAGGAGTTTGAGACCAGCCTGGCCAACATGGCAAAATCTCATCTTTACAATTAAAAATGAAAAAAAAAAAAAAGGAAATGGTTGGAGAAATGTACACTATGCAAACACCAGCCAAAAGAAAGCTGGAGTAGCTGTATTAATTTTAAAGTAAACTTAAAACACGGAAGATAATCAGGAATAGAGGCATTATATAGTAATAAAGGGGTCAATTATCCAAGAAGACCTAACAGTTCTCTACGTGTTTGCACCTAACCACAGAGGCTTCAAAATCCCCAAGAAAAAAACTAATAGATTTGAAAGGAGAAATAGAGAAATCCACAATTACAGTTTGAGAGTTCAACACTCCTCTTTCAGTAAATGATGGAATAAGTAGGCAAAAAATCAGTAAGGATATAAATGACCCAAACAACACGATCAACCAATTTGGTCTAATTAACATTTATAGGACTTTTTACCCAACAACAGCATTTCTCAATTGTACATGGAACATTAATTAGCCAAGAATATTTGCCATATTTTGGGCTACAAAATGCCCATGTAAAGGCAATATTCCATATAACAGGTAGTTGTGGTCTGATATGTAGCTGAGAAGAGCAGGTTTGGATTGTTTCAAACAAAGTTCCTCTTTTCTTTTGCCTGTCTCCTTCTTTCCATCTCTGCTGCCCTTCTACTCCCACTAAGAAACCCTGCATGGAAACATTCATGTAACTGATTACCTTCTTTATTAATCCATTCCATAGACATTAGCTAGACACCTGCTGTGTACCAGGTGCACCACCATGCTGACGACTGACTGGGTGTAAAGTAAAAGACGGCATTGCCAGGGCTGGTGAGTGCCTCACAAATGAAGACTGCAGCCTTCTCCAGACTGAATCAAAGCAATGTACTGAGAAGGAGGGAGGGGCACAGAGACTGAAGGTATTGGAAACTAGGGAGAGCAAATAGAACTAAAAATGGAAGGTGATTCTTTTTCTTTCTTTCTTTCTTTTTTGTTTTTGGAGACAGTCTCGCCCTGTCACCCAGGCCGGAGTACAGTGGCGCGATCTCAGCTTACTGCAATCTCTACTTCCTAGGTTCAAGCGATTCTCACGCCTCAGCCTCTGGAGTAGCTGGGATTATAGGCACGCACCACCATGCTGGCTAATTTTTGTATTTTTGGTAGAGATGAGGTTTCACCATGTTGGCCAGGCTGGACTGGAACTCCTGACCTCGTGATCCACCTGCCTCAGCCTCCCAAAGTGCTGGGATTACAGGCATGAGCCACCACACCCAGACTCTTTTTCTTAATAAAAAGCTGTCTGCCACAAGTATCAAAAATAAGCTGGCCTTATTTGTGGCTGACCACAAAGGCTCAGAGTTGGTAGGGCCCAAGAGGTCACCTCTCCTAGCCTAGACCCAGAGAGGCAACTGCAATCCCAAATGTAGACCACACTAGACTTGTAGGTTAATCAGGACTGCCATAACACAGTATCCCAGACTGGGCAGCTTAAACAAGAGAAATTTTTTTTCATAATTCTAGAGACTGAAAGTCAAAAATTAAGGTGTCAGCAGGGTTCATTTTTTCTGAGGCCTTTCCTTGGCTTGTAGACGGCCACCTCTGTCTTCATATGGTCTTCCTTCAGCGTGTGTCTGTGTCTTAATCTCCTTTTCTTCTTGGTACACCAGTCATACTGAATTAGGGCGCACACTAGTGACTTCATTTTACTTTGATTACCTCTTTAAAGACCCTGTCTCCAAACACAGCCAATTATGAGGCATTAGGTTTAAGACTTCCACATATGAATTTTGAGGGACCCAATTTAGCCTATAGTGTAGCTCTGAAGCCCAGCCTCCCATGGGAAGAGATCATAGAGAGAAGAGAGCTCTGAAACCCTGCTATGGCCAGTGCAGAGGTATCCACTGGATGCACGGAACTCTTGCCTGTAAGGGTGGCAGCTGCTGGGACCCAGGTCCCCTGTAGTCACATTCAGGGTCCCCATTGATCCAAGACATACCTGTCTCTAGCCAGTGCCAGGAAGGCTGGCTCTGATCTTGGCCACTGTGAGTTTAGTGCCCAGCCCTATATCCTTTGTAAACTCCTCATTTCAGCACCACTGGTGGACAGTGCTCTGACAGGACAGGGCAATTTGAGGCAGAGGCTCTGGTGGGCTGCCCTACACCCAGCATTATGGCGGGCGTCCAACCACTGCCTCCTGCTCTGCCTCAGGGGAGCCTGGGCAGCCCGCACTGGCGGAAGCACCTGATCCTTACAGATGAGATGGTAAGTGGGACGGCAGGGGTAAGTGGTGATGGAAACAATCCCTCTGCCCCCTCCTTGGGAGAGATGGAGAATCTAAATATAAAGGCTTCTGCTCCTGAAAGATTGAGTTGAAAGATAATGCAATTTTGCATTATCGTAAGTTTGATGGCAGAATTCTTCTTCCCATGGGAAATCTTTCAGGAGCAACTCGTTCTTACTGGATAGTGAGCTCAATACTGAATTTCAGTTTTTCTGCAAGTGGAATAGCAGCTGTCAAACTGGGCGTTTGGCAGGGAGGGCCACTCAGGCTATAAGGTCTGCAGGTCTGGAGGCCTCTGGCCTGCCTGCACACTTTCAGGGTGCTCTCTGGAGAGGCCGGACTCCTGGGGCACACCCTAACCACCAGCCCAGCCGCCGCTGTTTCTAGTCACCTTCTGGACATCACACACACCTCTCTTTTCTTTCCATGAGAATAAGGATAATTTCCCAACAGAGAAGGCAGGAAGGAAGCTAGACAATGCATAGAAAGCAAATGTCACCCAACACGCATGTGTTCAGCCTGCATTATTTCTGCTATTTGATCCAAAAACACCTATTCACTACAGATTATTTCCATCGATCAAGGGATAAATATTTCCCTCCACACAGGAGTTCAACAGAACCAACTGAAGGGCTCAGGGGTGGGGCTGGGGAAACAGATGTGTACGGGGCCCAGAAGGACCGTCTTCTGACTGGCTGGTTCTGCATGGCTGCCTTCTGGTAATAAAAAGCTGTCAAAGCATTCTGGACAATGACATTCTACATAAAAGCCTACTTGGAGGACTTTCTGAATGATTACTTCTTGGTAATAAATAGTAAGAAGAGCACTATATAAAATGCCCCTGCCTCAGATAGTACCTGTTGTAGTTCAAGATGCAGAGTGGCTCCAGGCTGGGGAGGCCGCTTAGTTCAGACTTCCTCTGAGGGTGAGGATCCGTATAGCATCCTGGAGGGGTGAGGTCCTCTGGCAGCCTGCCCCCTCAGGTGCCAGAGAGCTCACTCCTGACCAGACATCCTGTCCTGCACTGAACGGCTCTCACAGTTAAAACATGTCTTTCTTTGTCCTCTCAAACATTCATTTATGGTCCTGGTTTCTTCCCTGTGGCATTATACAGAATGAGTCCCTTTTCTCTTCCTCTTTCCTTCCAACAGATGCTGTCGGAACCTCTCCTCCCTCCCCTGGGTCTCTCTGAGCTAAGCCTCTCGCTTCTGTGAAGTCTCACCCACAGGAGACTTTCTCGCCTGCCATCCTGGTTGTCCTCACATGAACCTTCTCTAGAAGTTAAGGATTTGTATTGGGGGTGGGGGTGGTGCATATCACTTCCGCCTACATTCCAGGAGCCAGGACTTGATTACAGGCCTAGGCAGTTGTGTGTGTTGGGTGGGAGGGGGCTGAGGCTGGCGATGCGGTTCCCAACTGGGCATTTGCTTCCAGAACAACTCCATACCATGCGAGGGGACCACAGGTGTTTGAGGTATGCCTCCAGCTATCTCTGCTGCACAGCCTGAGACAGCCTGCTGTTCGGGAGGTGTTAAATAACATTTTCTCATACTGTGCTTACGCTTATATTCTTAACCCCAGCTAAAATGTTAACTTTAAAACAACTAAGGAGTTTTCACTTCAAGATCCAGAAAAATAATATGAAAAACCTGTTGCTGTGTAACAAATTATCCCCAATCGTGCTGACTTAATAATACATGCAGTTTCAGTGGGTCAAGGTTTGGGAGCAGCCCCGCAGGGCAGTCTGATCTGAGGTTTCTCGTGAGGCTGCTGTCAGTGTGTCAGCTGGGTTGCAGGCCTCTGAAGGCTTGACAGGGGCTGGCAGGGCCCATTCCAAGGCAGTTCATCCACTTGGCTGGTGGGAGGCCTCAGCCACCAGCACCAGCTTGCTGGCCATCGAGCCGTGTGGGCATCTCCACAGGCTGCCTGAGTGTCCTTGAGATACAGGGACTGACTTCCTTCGGAGTGAATGGTCCAAGAACATGCAAGGCAAATGCAGCTGTGCCTTTCATGGCCTGGCTTCAGACAGCACATATCTTCCCATCTGCTAACTGTTCTGCAGTTAGAAGTGAGCACTCTGTCTGTCCCACACTCAAGGGAAGGGGAATTAGGCTCCACACGTTGAAGAGAGGACTGCCACAGCATTTGTGGACATACTTTGAAATGCCTAAAATATTTCGATTTCAAACCTCCTCTATAGAAATATTTTCCTGTCTTTTCCCCCAGAATCTAATATAATAATTGCTGTCTTTGAATTTTTTTCTTCCCCAGTTTTCCATTTAACAGTGATGCAAATCTAGTGCCCACCTCACTGGCTGCATTTTTCTTAAAATGTCAGGGGTACCTCTATTTGCTCCCTGTTTTTTCTTCTTCTCAATGACTCTCTGCCTATGAAATAGACGAGCACCCCCTCTGAAGTGTGCACAAAGAAGCCTGGGTTCTCCTCAGGTGGGCAGCCTCACCTGAGTCCGAAATCGTGATGGTCTCAGGGACAGGCTTATCCAAACCTGGATGGAGTATGGAGGAGGACTCTCTTCAGGGCCGTTTGCATTGTCAGTCTTATAAGATGGATTTTTTTTTTGAGAAGCGTGGCAACTCAGGATGGATGGAATCACAAGAACCACAGATCCTGTTGCTGGTGGTTTTAAGCACTCATCAAAGCATAGCCTTGAATGAGGTGGAGAACATTTTACTCATCACATTCTCCTCAGTGGGATGACTCCATTTGTTCTGAAGACATTCTCTGTTAAGCTGCTTGGAGTCGTGTATGAGGGAGAGCCCAAGGCAGGCCTGATGTGCCTAAGACAAACAAGGGAAATTTGTCCTGCTAGGCAGGTGGAGCTGTGGGACTAGGAAGCTAGGGAGGGCCATGTCCCTCAGGATGCATCCCCTCCTTGTGACCCTAGTCCCAATTATTTAATGGGTTTGACCAAGACACAGAATGCAGATATGTATGGAGTTCTTCTGCAGACTGCTGAAGGGGCCAAGTTCTGGGGAAAGAGAGCAAAACTTCCAAGAATGCACAAGTTCCAAGTACAAAGGAGACAGTAGAAACAGAAGACCCAGGAACCAGGGGGAAAGCTTTGGATTTCTCAAGCATAGAATCTGTTGGCAGCCAAGTTGATTTTACCTTGCTCTTCAGGGGAAAGGAGACTCCTGGGGTATCAATCATATATATGGGCTGTCAGAGCGCTGTACACCCAAATAACGTCACACACCCTTCTCCCTGAATACCAAAGCTCTGCACTAACACTCAAGCCACGGTAAGGAAAATGGGCCAGTGTCCACATTT
Organism: Homo sapiens; assembly: GCF_000001405.40. Taxonomy (NCBI): domain Eukaryota; kingdom Metazoa; phylum Chordata; class Mammalia; order Primates; family Hominidae; genus Homo; species Homo sapiens. The sequence continues at coordinate 98,789,842 of NC_000002.12, forward strand.
AGCCAGGGCAAGCACATGACCATGTCATCGTTACAGTGGCTCCCCCTTATCAGCTGGATCAAAACGTGGGGCTCCTATTTCCAGGAACAACAAAAGCAGCCTGCAGGTGTGGGTGCTTCATCCTTGTCTGAATCTCTGGACGGCGAGGTGTGCTTCAGAAAGACCTGCTTCAGCAATTTTCCCTTCCCTCCTACAAGTCTATTCCTATCCATACGTAAACCTCCTCTTGTATCAAATGAATAGGAAAACTTTCTCTTGCCCCCAGCTACTGCCATTTCTTCTGCTCCTATTCATGTATGAGTAAAATTTCATGGAAGTTGGTTATAGCTGATGTAGCTACAGGCTGGCCAGCTTTGACCTAATCTACCTGTGCCTCCACCCCCACTTTTCCACAGAGAGGGCCCTTGTCAAGCCACCTATGGCTTTTGTGTTCCCAAGCCAATGGCTGCTCTTGTTCTCATCTGGTTGGATCTCTCAGCAGATCGCACTCTCAGCAGATCCCACTCTCAGCAGCAGATCCCACTCTCAGCAGATGCCACTCTCAGCAGATGCCACTCTCAGCCAATCCCACTCTCAGCAGGTCCCACTCTCAGCAGGTCCCACTCACAGCGGGTCCCACTCTCAGCAGATCCCACTCTCAGTGGGTCCCAATCTCAGCGGATCCCACTCTCAGCGGACCCCACTCAGCGGATCCCACTCTCAGCAGGTCCCTCTTGACACAGCTGATTCTTCCCTCTTCTTTCCAACACTTTTTCTTGCCTCGCTCTTGCTGTCCCTCTTCCTTCACAGACCCTTTTGACAACTCTAGATCCCTAGTACAGGAGTGTCCTAGGATCAATCCTCCCACCCTGTTCTCCTTTGTCTAGACCCCTGAATTCCCATTCTATCCAAATGCTGATTACCTACAATTGTATAACTTGATATTTCCACTTAGATGTCTAATGGGAATCTCAGATTTAAGATGTCCAAACTCAACTCCTTTCTGTGAATCTCACCCTCCACGCCCATTTCTGTGTTACCACGACTCACCTAGAAGCTCCAACCAAAAATCTAGGTGTCGTCTCTACCTCCATCCTTTCCTTCTCATACCAAACATACCAAACCCACCTGCATGTTGGATTTGATGCTAACTCTACTTTATTATTTTTGAGATGGAGTCTCATTCTGTTGCCCAGGCTGGAGTGCAGCGGTGTGATCTTAGCTCACTGCAACCTCTGCCTCCCAGGTTCAAATGATTCTCTTGCCTCAGCCTTCCTAGTAGCTGGGATTAGAGGCATGCACCATCACACCTGGCTAATTTTTTTTTTTTTTTTTGTATTTTTAGTAGAGGCAGGGTTTTACCATGTTGACCAGGCTGGTCTGGAACTCCTGACCTCAGGTGATCCACCTGCCGCAGCCTCCCAAAGTGCTGGGATTACAGGCATGAGCCACCGCACCCGGCCTGACGCTACCTTTAAATTGTGGTTTGAATCCATCTACTTCTCTCCACCTCTAGCATTACCTTAGACTAGGCTACCATGATCATTTTTATAATTAGATCACTTCCAGCAAACCTTTCACTAATCACCCAATCTCACGTAGTCCTTCCACCATGATCAAGACCTTCTGTTTTAGACTCGTCATTGAACTTATTACTATTTTTACTTGGGGTTTTTTGGTATGTTTTATATTTATTTATTGTCCCCCTCCCCATACCCAAATAAGACAGGTGTGGCACAAGGTTAGCCTGTTACTTGTTTGTTCATCAGCTGTCCCTAGGCCCTCATAGGATGCAGGCACTAAAGCGTCACCTGAATGAGGTGAAGGAATGAATGAAAATACCACATAGTTGAGGCAGGTGCTCACGATTAAAAATTATAAATGCCTCCCCCTCCCTTTTTCCAGTTTGTCTAAGGAATTAAAGGATGAGGTGTCCCTAGGACATAGGAACCCCCAAAGTCACATTCAGTGCTCTCATGTCTGGGTTGTCTTGGAGACCACAGATTCACCACTGCACCAGTGCTTTTTATTAAAAAAATTTTTTTTTTTTCTGAGATGGAGTGCCACTCTGTTGCCCAGGCTGGAGTGCAGTGGTGTGATCTCGACTCACTGCAACCTCTGCCTCCCGAGTTCAAGCAATTCTCCTGCTTCAGCCTCCTGAGTAGCTGGGATTACAGGCACCTGCCACCATACCCAGCTAATTTTTTTGTATTTTTAGTAGAGATGGGGTTTCACCATGTTGGCCAGGCTGGTCTTGAACTCCTATCCTCAAGTGATTCGCTGCACCAATGCTTTTTAAAAATGGGGATGTTGGCTGGGTGGAGTGGCTCATGCCTGTAATCCCACACTCTGGGAGGCTGAGGCAGGAGGATCGCTTGAGCCCAGGAGTTCAAGACTAGCCTAGGCGACATAGTGAGACCCCATCTCTACAAAAAAAAAAGATTAGCCAGGTGTGGTGCACATCTGTTGTCTCAGCTACTTGGAAGGCTGAGGTGGGAGGACTGCTTGAGCTCAGGAGCTCAAGGCTGCAGTGAGCTGAGATTGCTCCACTGCACTCCAGCCTGGGGGCAGAGCGAGACCCTGTCAATAAAATAAATAAAATATAAAAATAAGGATGTTACTCGAAGGTAGTGTTTAAAAGCATGGGCCTTGGAGTCACTTTCCAGGTGCATACCTGCTGTGGGATCTTAACCTCAATGTGCCTCAGTTTCCTCACCTGCAAAGTGGACATAAAGTACTTACCCTCAAAGGACTGTGCAGAGGATTCTAAATTACATATGAAATATAGAGCAGTGGCTGGCTCAGTAATTGCTCCCCCGTCTTTCTTCTTAGGAAAACCAGGGCTGGTAATTCCTTGCAGGCTTTTACCATCTCTGCTGCCACTCTGGACTTCCGACATCCCCAAATTTCGGCCAACGTCTCAGCTGGTTACGACAGAAGGGTCACCACCTCCATGCTGAAAGTGGCAACTGCAGGGCCACACCCTAGTGAATTCTCCCAGTGTCCTAAAAATGGCACCCTTCTAACTCACCAGGCGTCAGAGAGAATTAAACCAAGTCCTCAAATACACAGAGAATATCAGCATCTGCTTGAACAAAACCAAACCAAATACTTTTGATCTTGCAGTGAAATCTGCTGTCTCAAAATGGTTCATCTGATCATCTGCTAGGGAGAAATGGGGGTTTGAGGGTAGTAATAGCCAACACAATTTTTGCCAGTTAAAACAGTTCACAGACGCCTCGGCTTTGGAAGCAAGGCTAGATGGACGGAGCTCTTGTGTTACAGCATATTCACCATGGAATTCGGTATTGACGTTCTCTAAGAGAATGCAATTAGTAAATCAACTCGGTTGGGAAAAAAACTGACCCAGGACTTTCTCAATAAAGGTAGGCTCAATCAATCTGTGTAGTACTAACAGCTAGAAAAACAATATTCATGAAGATGGAAAATACAATAAAAGTAGCAAGGCCCTAGGGTATATAAAATCAAATTATAGTATATCATGAAGTTGTAGTGATTCTGATGGCTAAATGCCCCCAGCTACATGTACTCCCATGGAGATTACCTTGCTCGAAGGAACAAATTGGAACTATTTTAAACAGTAAAGAGGCATTATGTAACCAAGACAATTCCGAGATTTCAAATATGTTTTCCTTCTGCCTGGTTTTTCCACATTCCACATTCATGGGTCATACTGGCTGATGCACTGGTAACCCAGCTTTCAACAGAAATATGCAGGTTCGATTGATTAGATGCTAAAGAATGATAACTTCTAAGGAAATTTTATATATTTAGTATGTCGTACTAAATAGATGAAAAGAGTTAAAACCCTACATTACCGTCTGTCTTCCAAAATTCTCACTGGGGAAAAAAAAAACCTCAAAAACTCAAACTCCACAATTAACCCAATTCAGAATTTTAAATGAGGCATGTATGAAGCAAAACCCTATTCATTGCATTTAACTCAGTGCTGGAGGATGTTCTCTAAATCTGAGTAGAAATAACATTTACACTTAGAACAGAGGCATGTTTGAAACCTTTTATTAAACAGGCAATGCATTGTGCAGTGGTTAAAGACACAGATGCCTAGTGGAAAAGTTTAAAAATTATTTTTGGAAACAGTCTATGAATTGATGAACCCTGCCGTGTTCCTTCATCTCCTTCTCAGAGTGGCTGTCTTTAGGAAAACAGATTGTTTTATAGCTGCTCTTGGAAACGGCATCCCTGTTTTGCCATGAATGTCATGCCTCGTAGTAAACATGAAAGAAGACAGGATCCACAGGCAAGAGAGCGACCAGAGACATGGGCTGATCTCAGCTGGAAGCACAGATGTCCCTTCTCCTAGAAGGGCTTCTCTTCTGGCCTTTGCTGGGTGTCCTATTTATGTGTCCAATTTCATTTCTATTTTCTTCCTTGTCTGAGGCTTCTTTATCAAGGGAATTCGAAAAGACACATTCGTACCTTTGGGCACAGGAACTGGTTCCTGGACTTTTTCAATGTTGTTCTTGTTTCTGGGCCCTCTGGCCCAGGAGTATGGCTGTGTGTTTATCCTCTTTGTTTTGCCTGGTTCCTTCCTCTTCCCCAAGTTCGTCATAACTTGATGATAAAATCAATCTTTAAGTTTCACAGTTTGTTTGCCACAATACACTGGCAGTTTTTAACTAAGTGGCTTGTCAGGGTAGTGGACATGCTTTATCAGCACACTGCCCACCTATTTTATAATCTGGGGCATGTCACTCCAAGCTTGAGATTTCTTTCTGGCAAGTTCCATCCAGGATGGCTGATCTGTACTGGCATAACTGGCTCTCTTCAGCTGATGCAGTTCCTTCTCCATCATCACTGCAGACTGAGCTGCTTGGAAGGGAGACAAAACCAACAGAAACATGAGCAGTGACTTCGAATTTTCCCTTAAGCCTCTTGTGTTTCTCGAACTAGACATCGAGGTCTTAACTGTGTTCTCGAACATAAAATTCAATAATATGTCAACATGTAAGGAAGATTTGGGCCTAGAATATGTCATTTATGTGATAAAAAGACTTATGAGCAAGCTCAAACAATTCTGGCAATGCAATGAGGTGAGAGAGACTTTGGAAATAAAATGGCAGGAGCTCTACAGATGGGCTGCAGCAATGTCCCTCACTTAAAACTACTGAACTGAACTGTGCACTTAAAAATGGCTAAGATGGTAAATTCTGTTATGTGCCCTTACCATAATTAAAAATATATATATATATATATATATATATATATATATATATTTTTTTTTTTTTTTGAGACAGAAGTCTCACTGTGTTGCCCAGGCTGGAGTGCAGTGGTACAATCTCAGCTCCCTGCAATCTCTGCCTCCCGGGTTCAAGCGATTCTCCTGCCTCAGCCTCCCAAATAGCTGGGATTACAGACATGCGCCACCATGCCTGTCGAATTTTTGTATTTTTAGTAGAGACGGGGTTTTGCCATGTTGGCCAGGCTGGTCTCGAACTCCTGACCTCAGGTGATCTGCCCGACTCGGCCTCCCAAAGTGCTGGGATTACAAGCGTAAGCCATGGCGTCCGGCCTAAAAATTTTTAAATACTGATACATGCAACAACAAAGGCATATCTTGAAGATGCTATGCTCAGTGAAAGACGCCAGATATAAAAGGGTACATACGTTAGGATTCTATTCATTAGAAATGTCCCAAAAAGGCAAATCTATAGAGACAGAGTAGATTAGTGGTTGCCTAGAGCTAGGAGTGGGAGTGGGAAGTGACTGTAAATGGGCATGAGGTTTCTCTTTAGTGTGAGGGAAATATTGTAAAATTAGATTTTCATCACAGTTGTGCAACTCTGTAAATACATACATGCTCACTGTCAATATACAGTTGTCCCCTGGTGTATGCAGGGAGCTGGTTCTAGGACCTCTCCCACCTGCATATACCAAAATCTATGAATACTCAAGTACTGCAGTCAGCCCGTGGAACCCGCACATAAAAAAAGACGGCCCTCTGTTTTCTCAGATTTCACATCCTGAGGATAGGATACAGGTAATTTTCCATCTGGGTTTGGTTGGAAAAAAGTCAGCATTTAAGTAGACCTGTGCAGTTCAAACCCGTGTTGTTCAAGGGTCAACCTTATACTTAATGAACTGTACACTAAAATGGATGAGTTTTATGACACGTAAATTGTATCTCCGTAAGAGCTGTGTAGAAAACTCAATGTTGCAAGTAATTTGCAAAAACCAAACCAAACCAAAACTCAAACTGCAGGAACGACCCAGGAAAATGATTTCAAAGTATGTGGTAATGTTTGCAGATTTCATACCCAAGTTCTGATGGGACAATGAGATTCCTCTTTGCAGCCCCTCCTTGAAGTTGAGCTTTGCCCCCTGCTTCCGGTCCACAGCGGGCTTCACAGGGGTTATCAGGAAAGACTTGCTGCGAACAAAGTCAGCTTGCTTCACAGGCTCCTGTTGGGACATAAGACACATGCTGCCAAGTTAACAATGATTCAGACAGGGGCAAACACATCCAAAGTGAAGGAGCTGCAAAGCTGCTCATCCAAGATGCCTGCACTGCTGGCACTTTCTCGGGAGGGCGCCCTGGTGTCAGCTCACTAACACCGAGTGGTCAGATGCTGGCGCTGGGACCAGTATGCGGCCTTATCCTGGCACACACGTGCATCATGGCTTCCTTCCTGTCCCCACACCTGGCCTCAGTGCCAGATGGCAGGGATTCCATTTGAAAGTCAAGATTTGTTTAGAAATCATTTTGTGATTTTTATGACAGTTGGAATAGTTATAGATGTCCCAAACTGGTTACTATTTGTTTTCTAAATTCCCCACGCCTACATGAGGGTCTTCAAGTCTGGTATAATTGAGGTTCTGGTTAAAACGAGGGGAAGCAGGTCCTAATGCAGGCTCAGGCTCTCTTCCCCACATGGCTGAAACACACAGATTCATCACGGTGCTATTGGGGGATACAAAAATTGCGAGTCTCGGCCTGATTCTAGGCATAGTTGTTTGGGTTGGTGAAAGCTGCCTTCAATTCAGAGTACAAAATGGAACCACAAGTTCCAGCCCCGCAGCCCCAGGTGAGGAATGAGGAGCTCCAGCATGTGGCCGGTGGAGCAGCAAAGAGCAGGGCTCGCTCCTCACAGCATGATAAGCTGGGATGGAGCTGTCGACATCATTGCTGTGTGTCTAACTCGAAGTTATTTTAACCTCCTCCCATTTTTCTAGATGCTGAGCTGCTGCGTTGCCAAGGAGGCAGGGAGTAGAGAGCTGTCTGCACTGCCTAAGTGATTCACATGCTTCTCTGCATCCCCAACAGCTCAGCATATGCAAAGGCAGGCAGAATGCTCCACCATGGAGGTTATGATTTGGCAAGTCATTTATTTTGCTTCATTGGCTCTCGACCACACATCCACAACCATCACAGGTGACGGTCCCTGTGACGCCCATGCAGCACATGTGGTCCTTACAGGGTCCTCGCCCCAGTCCCAGCTGGCTGCTCCCTCCTGCACCCACAGAACAGAAGTATTTGCTCTAAGCACCTGGCCTCTCTCGGGCACCTTGGCTTGCTTTCCTGGTTCAGACTTCAGGGTCCGTGCCCCAGGCTTGTCTTCCTGGTTGGGTGGCTGGTCCAAGGTCCCCCTCCGCTTCTGCCGAGTGACGGTGATCCAGGGTGGCGCAGGCTGCCCATCAGCTCCAGGCCCTGTTGCTGCAGGCGGCAGACTCTTTTCTGTTGGGTAAAGGCACAAGATTATAGAAACAGTCCTATTCCCTCTTCGGTTGCACCCTTTGTGTCTCCTGCACAGAGAACACTACTGCTTTGGTTCAGGGTTGCAGGGTGTCTGGGAGAGGATTACTTTCTTTAGGGGCTTTGTTTTCTTATTAAAGATGCATCAGAGAGATTATGCTCCTCTAGTCTGAGCCCCACAAAATTAAATGCAACTGCTTCTATAGGGTCGGTGTGTACTTTAAAGCCAACTTCCTCCTAGGAATCCTTTCTGGAAGGAGATAAAAATAAGTACACAAATAGATAAAATTTCTTTAATATAATCCTGTCATTTTGGACCAGTATGTACTGGTCCAAATGCTGATTCCTGCTCAAATGCTGTAGACACACTATTAATCTCTTGTCTTCTAAAAACTGTGAGCATAACCTTCCCTTTCTGGAGACAGTGACACCAAAAACTGGTCACAGTTGCTTTCCTTAATGTTCTAGAGAGAAAAGAAATAGTGCCTTTGAAACCATATAGAGTTGGCCGGGTGCGGTGGCGCATGCCTGTAATCCCAACTCTCTGGAAGGCCAAGAGGGGGTGGATCACCTGAGGTCAGGAGTTCGAGACCAACTTGGTCAACATGGCAAAACCCCGTCTCTACTAAAAATACAAAAATTAGCTGGGCATGGTGGCACATGCCTGTAGTCCCACCTACTTGGGAGACTGTGGCAGGACAATCGCTTGAACTTGGGAGGTGGAGGTTGCAGTGAGCTGAGATCACGCCATTGCACTCCAGCCTGGACAAGAGTGACACTCTGGAGGCTGAGGCAGGAGAATGGCGTGAACCCGGGAGGCGGAGCTTGCAGTGAGCCGAGATCGCGCCACTGCACTCCAGCCTGGGCGACAGAGCGAGACTCCGTCTCAAAAAAAAAAAAAAAAAAAAAAAAAAAAAAAGAGTGACACTCTGTCTCAAAAAAAAGACACCATATGTTTTGTGGAATCTCCTTCCATATTTACTGTGCTTGTCTTTGGGTGGTGAAATTGTGGGTCATTCCCCTCCTCTTACATTTCAGCTCTTCTGTATTTTCATATTTTCTACGATAAGAATTTATTACCTTCATCAATAGAAAAAAGAAATCTGTGGATTAAATAAGTGGCTTTTCTTTTCTTTTCTTTTCTTTTTTTTTTTGAGACAGGGTCTCACTCTGACACCCAGGCTGAAGTACAGTGGTGCGATCAAGGCTCACTGCACCCTCCGCCTACCAGGCTCAAGTGATCCTCCCACCTTGGCCTCCTGAGCAGCTGGGATTACAGTCATGCACCATCACGCCCAGTGAATTTTTTGTAGAGATGGGGTCTTGCCATGTTGCCCAGGCTGGTCTCGAACTCCTGAGCTCAAACAATCTGCCTGCCTCAGCTTCCCAAAGTGCTGCAATTACAGGCGTGAGCCACCTCCCCTGGCCAATAAGTGGCTTCTTACAGGTACATCAAAAGCATAGAACCCAAGGTTCCCCATGAGCCTGCTTCTGGATGTTTGCCTGCCACGGGATAAAACAAAGGCTGAAACTGATCTCCAACCACCTGGCACCTCTCCTCAGTTCCCTTCTACACAGTGTGCTTGAGTCAGCCGGGTGACAACAGCACTGTTTCACAGCAACACATGCAGATGTCCAGGAGGAGTGAATGTCATTGTTCTCTGTGGCCTGATGTCTTCCACCCCTTGCTCTGGTGTGCAGAGGATATTACTCACTTTGCCTTTGTTTCTGCTTCCAGTTCAGGCTGGAATTCTTTTCCCTTAGTGCCCTGGTCAACAAGGAGGTACAAGCGGGGTGGCCACTGCTTTGCAAGCTACAGTCTCTTGCTGGTGGTGAGAAGAGCCTTCAGCCTCACACAGCCAGGACCTCCCCTGGCCCTGGCAGCCAGGGACGGCTCTCACTCCTTTTTCTGGCTGCTCCCTGGGGCCTCCACCTGACTGGCCCCCTGGGAATCCTGCTGCACCTCTTGGACTCATCCTACCCCTTTCCTGACTCTTCAGTCTCTCCCACTGACATCTTCCCTGCAGCTTAGCAGAATGCTTGGGTCTTCCATAGCTTGAAAGAAGTCTCCCCGGAGCCTCATTGTCCCTTGAAGGTCCAGTTCTCCCTCCTCCTCTACCCTTAGCTCAAATGGCCTCTGCCTATGTCTCGTCAGCCACTTGCTGAACCAGCCACGAGTTGACACCACTCCTTCCATCCTCCCAACCACCCAACCCCAAATCCCAAGGTCAAGCCTGGTCCTCAACCTGCTTCACCCCTGCAGCTCTGACGTGGCTGCACATCCTCTCTGGGGGAGCCTGTCCTCCTGGGGCATCCCTCCAGCCTCTGAGGCCCTTCTCCAGGTCCTTGTCTGACTTTTGTTCCTAACCTGGAACTCCTGCTTGCTCCTGACCCTCAGCCGTCATCGCTTCCTCCCAGCATTCTCTCTTCTACTCCTGATCCAACAGGCAGAATTGCTGAAATTACTAATACTTCTTAGTGTACACTCCAGCCCTACTTTCTATTCCTAGCCAGAGCCCAGCATTTCTATTCTCCTGTTTCACCTTGTTTGCTATGAGCAAGGACGACCTTATATTTGAGGTGGGAAAATAAACAACAAATTGTTCCTTCAAAAAGCTCAAAGTCTAGTTGGGGAGACGAGACACAAACAAGTAACTGTGGTAGAAACTGGAAAATGCTAAAATTTACAAAGGGCTATGCGGACACAGGGGCTAACACTGGTGAGTGGGAGTAGGGGTGCCTTCTGGGTTGGGATCTGGAGAACAATCTTCCAGGCTGGGGTTGGGGGCAGGTGGAGGAGTTGTGTAAACCGGCCCCAAGGAAGGGTCTTTTCTGTCTTTTTTCTTTTTCTGTCCATAATGGGGACACTGTGGGGGTTTTAAACCATGGGCTCACTCTGAAGGTTGTGTGGAGAATCAGTCTGACTGTAGAGGGACGAGAGGCTGGGAAGCTAGGAGGGAGGCTGTGGCCACAGCTCAAGAGAGGTGACAAGGGCTTGGATATCTTGTTCTAGAATCCTCCCCGCTGGTTCACCAGGGTCCCTAGACACTACCTCCTCCATGAAGTCTGTTCTGGTCAGTCTCTCTCCTAAGTCCTCTGTAACCTCTCGAGACACTTGCCTCACTATGTTTGGTACTAGACATGTTTGCTAGCTGACCATCTACCCAACTGAAGTATGCCTTTGGTCATAAGCATTTCTTATCTACCGAACAAACACACACCACAGACTATGTACCAGATACACTTCTAAATGCTGAGCTTGGCAAGAGGTAAATTTTCCTTTCCTTACATCAGGAGCATGCTGGCAGAATTCCATCCCAAACACAGAAGGGTCACCTGCTGCTGCCTGTCTGTGGGGTAGGAATGTTTCCAGCTGTACTGTGTGTGTGTTTTAAGCGTGTGTCTGTGTTCACATGCAGACCCACGGGAGTGGGTGGGTGCCCTGGCTGGGCCAGGCCATGCTGCTGTGGGATAAGGTAACCTGCAATAGCAGCATCGCCAAGCACTGGGCCAGCTTATGACCACACCACCATTTCTCTCCTTTTTGGTTCCTGCCTCTTTCCCTGCAACTGCTGGTCTTTCCTTTTATTCTGTATTCTCTTCTTTCTCACCTTTTTCCTTGTCAGGAATGCAAGAGGGCCCTTGTAATCTCTAGGCCCTGTTACAGGGACTGTCCAGGGCCACCCTCATTGGCAGAGGAGTGCAGGAATGGCAAATGGGGGTCTAGACACCAGGAAAAAGAGAGAGAACCCACTCCAGCTCCATAATGTAGTTCACAGATGCCTGAGATTCCACCTGGAGCCTCTCAGCAGATAAGCTGAGAAAGGGGTGATGGGCTGAGCATCACCTTCCACAGTGCTGAGCCTCAAAGAAGCTGTGCCTTTGTCCCCAGTGAGCACAGGCAGAGCAGCTGTGTGATGAGCCACTCTGCTCTGTGGCAGGGGCCTAGGAGGCCTCTCTGAACTGTATGCTTGTAGCAGGTGTAGACACTTGCTAGTGTGGTGTGAAGATTCCATGACATAATCCACGACCTATGCCTCCCAGTGTGGTTGTGAAGTGAAATATCCACTGTCTATATCTCTCAGTGTGGTTTTGAAGATAAGTGAAATATCCACTGTCCCTCTTGGTGTGATTGTGAAGATTGGGTGAAATATCCACTGTCTATACCTCTCAGCGTGGTTGGTGAAGATCAGGTGAAATATCCACTGTCTACACTTCCCAGCGTGGTTGTGAAGATTCTGTGAGAGAATCCAGGGAAAGCCCTTAGTGGTGTTAGTTGCTGCCACAATTGCTGCTGTTGTTATGTGCTTGTTGCTAGTGTTGTTATTGTTCCTGCTGGAGGAGGGGTGGAGAATTTTGGTCAAACCTTACCCTGGAGCTTGATGGAGACCAGAGAGCCATTCTGCCATGACAACGAGCCCTCGTGGCTGTTGTGATAAGAAAACCACAGCAAGCAATGGGTTGCACCCCAGCCTCTTGCAGGGTCAGGCAGCCAGGCTGACTCTTGGCTCCCTGAGAACATCGTCCACGGGTTCCAGCAGACCATCTCAATGCTGTGTGTGCCAGTCTGCCTGCAAGCCCTGTAAGGGCAGGCGCCTCATCCTGGTCACGTCTGCCACAGTGTGTGAGAGCCAGCGGGTCTGATCGGGGCTGCCCTGCTGGCGCTGCATCATGGAGGAGCCTGGCCCAAGCCACACCAGTGTGCACCGCAGTCCCGCTATCCACGGCGGCGCTCTCTCCTCCATGCACACGCTGTGTGTTACAGCGAGCCTGGCCATCCCGGATGCAGGACACACTGCCCGAGATGAGAGCCGTTTTCATCTGCATTCCCAGGAATCACTCTTAAAATACCTCCACACAGAACTCTCCTGTAGGAGAGGATGACAAAGTTTTCAGACCCACATTTGGCATTATTACTGAGCTATTTGTATTCGGGAAGATCTAAAATGAACCCTTTCAAAAATCCTCAATGTTAAACCATTTCTAGAGGTGTTCAACTACGCCTACGTGGGACAGATTCGTCTCATCACTTCATTTTGACTTTCTGATAGGTGATGGTTAGTTCTTTTAGTGCCTATTAAAATTCAGCCTTAAGGTATTGTTTTTTTCTTTCAGAAGGACTTCTGCTATGACGAGTTGAGGGGCCCAGGGTGGGACCCCAATGGTGGGCCACACCCCGTATGACACTAGGGATGCAGCTGTTAAGTCTGGAAGCTGAGGGCTGTCAAGCACAGTCTCCTGAGAGGCAACGAGTTGTCGTACAATGTAAATTCCCAGGTTGCTTGCCTTTTGGCTGAGGATATAAAGCACAGGCTCTGCCTTAAGGTAAGGCAACAAGATTTCCAGGCCTCTGAAAAATTTGGTACATGGTGTCCTTTCTGAAGTAGCAACTTTTTCAGCCTCCTGAGTAGCTGGAATTATGGGTGTGAGCCACATGCCTGGCTTTTTTTTTTTTTTTTTTTGAGATGGAGTCTCGCTCTGTTGCCCAGGCTGGAGTGCAGTGGCGCAATCTAGGCTCACTGCAAGCTCCGCCTCCTGGGTTCAAGGGATTCCCTTGCCTCAGCCTCCCGAGTAGCTGGGACTACAGGCATGCACCACCACGCTCAGCTAATTTTTTGTATTTTTTAGTAGAGACGGGGTTTCACCATGTTAGCCAGGATGGTCTCGATCTCTTGACCTCGTGATCCACCCGCCTCAGCCTCCCAAAGTGCTGGGATTACAGGCATGAGCCACTGTGCCCGGCCATGACTAGCTAATTTTTTTCTAAATTAATTTTTGTAGAGATGGGGTCTCGCTATGTCACCCAGGCTGGTCTCCAATGATCTTCTCACCTCTGCCTCCCAAAGTGCTGGGATTATGGGTGGGAGCCACTGCACCCGGCCTGATGCAGCAATTTTTAAGAAACTTTTTCTTTTCATAACATTTCTTTCTTGTTCATAGAAGTACACAAGCATATTGTACAGATTTAGAAAGTAGATAAAAGTATAAAGGAGAAAAAAGCTTCCCATAAATCAACAACCCAAGGGAGCTGTGTGAACACTTCATACTTTGGCATATGCTACTTCCAATTTTCTCCATTATGCTGTCATCCTAAAAATGCACATCAACAGCTCATTCCCAGGTCTTCACAACATTCTCTGTGGAAAAGAGGCCTGAGTTTGCTAAGACTTCGGATCTAAAGTGGATCCATCATCGCCATTTCTCACAGCCAGCTGTGCTAGAACAGTCACTGTGCCTCGTTGCTTCAACAAATAGAACAGCGGTCCTCTGCTCTGCCTGCCATCCAGGTCCACTGCCACAGCCCTGGTTGACCTGGTGGAAATGGGACCTGTCTACAGACACTAAGAGGACTTCTGGGGCAGAGGTGGGCCCCAGGCCCTGGGGACACATGGGGCCACACCACTGCGGCAGGGTTTGTCAGGCTTCCTAGATAAACAGCTTGAGGGGTTTTGCTTTTTAAAAGCCATTTATTGATCTGTTGTCAGTCTTGACTCACAGGCTGCTCCTGATCAATACATGCTGGCAACGTCTACAGTCGCTCGTCATCAGATCTGTCCCAGAGCCAGGCTGTGTGATCTCACTGTGGAACTCAGGGTGGTAATGCTCAACCAAGTCTTCTTCTCAAAACCATGCTGAGCATTTTGAGACTGAGCAAGAGCTTTTCAGGGCAGGCCCCCACTGCTAATGACAGGAGACGGTGCTGTGTCCCAGTTCCACCTTAAATTAAGCTTACCGCCATTCCTTCCTCTCCTCATTCAACAAATAGAGTCAATCATCGCTGTGAGCTGACTCCATATTTGAGAATTCGCCTACTCGCTAAAATACATTTGTAATCCCAAAATCAATATGCATGGTGTTGGCATGGTCATTTGCAAACACGTGCAGGGCAGCAAAACATTTGAGTTTCCCAATGTGCAAGTTCCCAGCTGAGGTCAAGCAGTGATGCGCCGCCTTATTGTTTTAGCTCTTACACCGTATACAGTATCTTTTTTGTAGTCTACTCAGTGCCACATTTTGGGGCACTAGGTTTTCTTGGTGATTCTGCTGGTTAGGCTGCCAAGTGGAGTGCTGATGTGCTGTCTAATGTTCCTAAGCCCAAGGAGGCTGTGATGTGCCCGATGGAGATAATGTGTGTTTCAGATAAGCTTCATTCAGGCCTGAGTTACAGTGCCGTTGGCTGTGTGTTCGGTGTCAATGCGTCAACAATATATACTAAATAAAGCATCTTTAAACAGAATTACACCTAAAACAAGGTTATGTGTTGATCTATTGATGCTGTGGCAGGAGACACACAGGAAGCTAACCTTGCATTTCCTCCAGGAGCAGTGGCTCAGTACTTGCTAAGTTAGCTTGCAGTGACTTCTCAGAGCATAACTTCCTTAGACAATGAGAACGGACTGGACCTGGTGGGTGCCCACTAGGTGCCAGGCCCTGGGGAAGGTGCTGAGTCTAGACAGGAATGATTTTTTTGAATCTTTCTCTCCAGTGCATGGAGACAGGCTCTCCTGCAAAAGCCATCAGGACCAGAGGATCTTCTGACAGCCACCATGGTCCACAATCAGGAATGAGTTCCAGAGCCTGCTGAAAGGGGACACGGCAGGGCCTCTGGGGTGCTGGTCTCATTCTGTTTCTTGGTCTGGTGTATTCAGTCTGGAAATGCACTGAGCTACACACATAGGATCTGTGCATTTCTCTGTATGCATATTATTCTTCAATTAGAAGTAAAAGCACACAAATAACAAAACCCCCCCTAAGACAGGAGTCACTAGGTGCTTGAGAGTGACCAGGAAGAAGAGCCTAGCTCCCTGTGCACATAGAGAAATGAGGCAAGTTTGCACCCAGAGCTGTTTCCACACTGCAATTAAGCAAGGTGCCCCGGATGCCCTCACCAGCAGACCCTTTCCACCGCTTCACTACCCCACAGCTTCAAGTGCACCCTCCGTAGGGCCTCACCCCCTTTGCCTTTTCTAACCACTGCCTCCCCTCATCCACACAATCTCCCTCCTCCTCCACCCTCCAGAGCCTCCCCTCCTCTTGCTCCACTTCCTCTCCTAAGTGGAATTGCACAACTCAGCGAGTGCAGAGGATCTGACTCCACACAGACTCACTTTGCAGCCTAGGGGCAAACAGAAGGACACTGTTTCTGGAAGCTTCTTTCCCAGCCACCAGCATGGGGCTGCCAGGGCCAAACTGCCCTCATCCCTTACCTGACTCCCAGGTCAGGAGGCACTGCCAAGGGCTCCTCAGCCGGCTCTCCTGCTTTCCCAGGCCAGGCTTTCTGTGGTTTGAATTTCCCAACTGATGCTCAGAAACCCGCCTCCCGCTGGGCCACATATCTCTTTTCACACAAGCTTCAACTCCACATGGCAGAAAGACAAAAGCCACTGCTGCTTTAACAGCCCTGGTAGCACGCTTCTATCATTAAAAGGCGAGGGAGTGAGGGCCCAGAGGGGCCGTCTTCCCCGGTGAAAAGGCTGAGGGAGACAGAGAGTCTCCCAGTGGCAGCATTTATTTACGAGGGCCTCATATGGTAGTATATCCATCATGGGGTGGGGTGAGTGTCAGTCCTTGTCCCAGGGCAGGAGTTTGCTCAGGTCCCCATAGTAGAAACTGATGTGAGTTTTTCCCAAATGGGGCCCTGGGGTCTGCTTTGGTTGTTGTCAGGGCCCCAACTATACCTGCTTTGGGGATCTATTGCTCACAGGTAACATCTGTGAGAAGGCATTCATAAAGAAAAAACAATCGTTGAGTCACATCTGTGTTTGGGTGTGTGGAGTGAGGCCAGGAATCTGGCCAGCCATGTGTATTGGGGGCACCCCAAGGGGCAGATGCCTTACCAGGCTCTTTTCCTGACTTCTGGGACAGCTGCCCAGCACTTGGCATGTCAAGGTTGGCAGACATCCCAGGGTGGCCTGGTCCAACCTCCACATCTCATAGTGGAGATCCCGGGGAGCCAGGGCCGGGCTCAACGGCACAGAGTTGTCAGTGGAGGAGCTGGACTGAAAGCACACTTGCTAAACTGCCGCTGCCTGTGCAATTAAAGCTAGCCTCTCGGCAGGAGGCAATGACCACTCTACCTCCACAGAGACAGCTGGTCTCCGCTCCCAACCAGCTGATATAACTGTGACCTCACAAGGATATGGGGAGGGAAAGGCACTGTTATTTAAAAATAACTTTGAGCTAGAGCACGATTGAGAAAAAGGTGAAAAATTATTCTACTTACACTTTGAAATGTACACAAACACCTCACCTTAGATTCCTTGTCTCCCCATCTCAGATCTCCAGGAACTGCTGGAATTCTACAAGAACTGTCTAGGGTGGCCAACAGAAGAGTAAGTAATCCATTCCAGGGGCAGCTATTGTCCTTGGAGCTCAGATTTCCCTTTCTCTATTACATCTGGGCCCTCCTTCACTCAGCACTAGTCAGGTAGGGAAGTTTCTCCCGACCAAAGAAATGTTCACAGCTAAGGTTTATTCCATCTTTGTCTTCAGAGCAGTATCATATTCATAATGACCCTCACAGCCCTCCTTGCAACGTAAGGATATTTTCAATCCCCATTTTGGATATGGGACCACAGAGTCTTATGGAACAAAGTGACTTGTCCAGGGTCCTTGGCCAATATGTAACAAAGCTGGGATTTGAACACAGACCTCTTGATCTCTAATTTTCATTCACTACATCACATACCATCTCTTACTAAGAGGTATGACCTCATGACTGTCCTATAAAACCACTTCCTCCCCATTTTAACTTATTCATTGAGTGGCAAACAACAGTTACTCAGCCTTGGCACTGCTGACATTTTGGGCTGGATAGGTCTTTGTTGTGGGGAGCTGTCCTGTGCACTGTAGGATGCTCAGCGTCTCTACCTGCTAGATGCTGGTATACCTCCCTTCCCCACCCTACCACAGCGGTGTCAATCAAATATGTCTCCAGGCACTGCCAATGTCTGCTGGGGCCCATGCCTGCCCCAGCTGAGAACTGCAGTGCAGCATGACACTGTGGAGCGTGGGCTGCAGTGAGTCTATGTGGCCTCCACCTCTCCTCCACAGTTTACTAGCTACATGCCTTTGTGCAAGTTCTTTAACCTAAGTTTCTTTTCTTATTTACTAAATAGAATTGTTGTTGAAAATTAACGCATAAAGCATTTAACGTTAATACTTGGCACTTAGTAAGTGCTCACTATATGTTAGCTATTGTTGTTATTATTTACCCATTTACTGAGAGGGTAAATCTGCTGCAGACCCTGACTTCAAGAAGCTGATAGAGGGGGGCAGGCATACAGGCAGAAAGGTGAAGTATTATGGTGCCTTGACACCCAAGCCATTTTTGGGAAGAGCACAACCCTTACAGAGTCTCAGCAAGATGCTATTTGCTAGTGACAGCCCTGAAACAGTGCTGCCCAGTAAAACTTTGTATAATGATGGAAATGCCCTCTGTGCTGTCAACCAGTCATACGTGGCTCCTGAGCTCTTGAAATGTGGCTGCTGTGACTGAGGAACTGCATTTTAATTTCGCTTACATTTACATTTAAACAGCCACGTGCAGCTACTGGCTCTGTGTTAGAGAGCGCAGACCTGGAGCCTCACCACTCCAAGTGTCGTCCACGGACCAGCACTGCTGCCATTATTCCAGACGTACTGGGTGGGAAGCATCACCTTAAGCAGATTCATAAGCACTCCTAAGTTTGAGAAGCGCCGCTGTCCTAGAGCCCAGTATCTCAACATTGGCCACACATTAGAACCACCTGGGCAGCCTTTAACACTCTCACAGTCTGGGATTCATCCTGGGCAGGTCCACCAAATCTGTGGGGGTGGACTCCCAGGTGACCGCAAGTTGCAGCCAGCTTTGCCAACCACTGATCTTGATGCTGCTCTGAGCTTCTGCCCAAAGAAACCCTGAAGAGAGAGCTCACAGTATGTTGTCCCCTTTCTGGGGACAACAGTGCCCAGCTGACCAGATGACCCAGTTCTTGAGAACTGGGCTGACATCTGCCCCCTGCCCCCAGGCTCTGGTAGATGCTTCTTTTAACCAGCCAGTGCCCCTGGTCCCCAGGACATCTACCCCCAGGGCTGCCCATGCTATGGGTCCACACTGTTGCCACCTCAGACCTCACCTCCTGCCATACCCTTGGCCCTGCTCAGAGGGGCCTGGGACACTTCCTACTTGTCATAAAGATACTGTCTTCTCTTCTTCAAACCTATTTCTCTCCTGAGCCCTGGGGTGAGTGCACAGAGGGTCTCAGCGCCCCCCACATAAGGTTAATGGCTGCCGTGGAGAAAGTACTGAAGCCAGCCCTCTGAAATGGCACCAGTGCAGCTGCAGGGGATGGGCGGCACTGCTTATCTGCTCCTGGGAGGTGGGCTGCACCTGTGCAGGAACCAGAGCACTGCACCTGCAGGTTCTAGAGACATAAAAGCACTGCCCGATCCTGGTCTCCCATGGTCCCCCATCCCAGGTAGAAACTGTAAGACTTCCAGCACCTTCTCAGTCCTTCTCAGGTCCCAGCAGTCACCATGGTCACTTTTGTTATAATCAGTTTTAATTCAGTAATTAAAATGTGTAGCCTCTGGGCGAAGTGAGGCTATGACTCCTGAATGCAGGGTGTCTGAGTTGGGGCGGAGACTCCTTTCCCGAGGGCTGAGAGCTGGGGAAGAAGGAGAGTAGGGAGATCAGCAGGACTCTTTGGAGCCTTACAAGGTTTTGTCCTGCCTGGGCCTGGCAGACACTTGAAACTGACACTGGGGGATTCCCAGCCACCACTGGGACTCTGGTTGTGACCGCTTCTCATTGTCCCCTTGTCCTCTTGGCTGGCTCCCCATGTGGGGCTCTGGGAGCACAAGTGGGTCATGTGGTGGTCCTGTCTGCCCCATGCCCACAGGTGGTCTGAGTCCAGCAGCAGTCCTTCATGTCTCCCAACTGCAGGGCACATCTGTTCAGCTTCTAAGAAGTCCCATGGAAGCCACCCTTGCAGACTCTGCATGAGGGAAGTTTCCTCTGCGCTGGTGGCTCACAGGACTGCAGTGTGCTCTCCACAGAAAGTGTTTTGCAAATCCGCTTTATTCCTCCCCACCGTCCGTATATTCTGAGGGTGGGGGTGGTGAGTGGTTGTTGACTCCACAGATCCTGCAAACATGCTCTCTGGTATCTTACATCTCTGCATTGGTGCCTTAACCAAAACTGGGACAAGGAGAATCCCATTCTCATACAGCATTCTGTGCAGCTGAGATGAGAATATTTTAGTACATGTTTAGGAAAGTATGACTGTACTCTATGAAACTGTATCACATTTTGCAGTTAAAATGTCTTTGCTGCCCTATTTGCTGTTATTACAAATAACCTCATTATATAAAGGAGGAAATTAAGACTCAGAGTTTACAAGACTCAACTTGCTCAGAATCCCACAGCCCCTAAGAGGTGCTCCTCAGAGTAAACCCCACAGATCCACACTCTTCAGTCTTACCACCCAGCCCCTGCCTTGCTCCCTCCCTCATCCCAGCACCTGGTCATGCAGACACAGCCTGGTCCAAGGATCACCCACTGCAGGCTAGGAACCCCAGGGCATGGGTATGGGTGCTCAACAGAGGAAGAAAAACCCTGGAAGTTCTCAAGGGCTCAGGATCTAGTTCAGGGGTCGAGTGAAGTACGCTCAATATGGGCAGGGGTGTGTACAGAGTGCCAGGGAGCTGGTATCAGGGGCGGGGCTGCAGGAGATGTTGGAGGGAGTGAAATGGCAGACAAACTTAGAGAGGCAGAAATGTTTGTTTTGGCCAGAATCTAAAAAGCCTTAAATGCCTTCTCTAGGAGTCTGAATTTTATTCTAAATATAATGGGAAGGCAATGCGAATTTTTAAAGAGGAAAGCTCCATGGTTCCACCCACGACCTGGGAAGAAAGGGTAAGAAGAGAGTTGGAGGGAGGAGGTACTGTAGGTGTCAGGTTAAAGATGAGGCTGGCATGGGGACGTGGGAGGATAAAGACGCTGCACATTAGGATGACCAGAACTTGCTGACCAAGGTGAACATCACAACTGGCATTTTTCATCCATCAGACTGGAGGA
Source organism: Homo sapiens (assembly GCF_000001405.40). NCBI lineage: Eukaryota > Metazoa > Chordata > Mammalia > Primates > Hominidae > Homo > Homo sapiens. The sequence goes on from NC_000002.12 coordinate 98,810,616, forward strand.
AAAAAAACACTGACGACACTTAGTGTTGATGAGGGGGTGGAGAAATAGTCTCTATTCTGCTGGAAGAAGTGTAAACCAGCACAACCTTTATGGAGGGTAATTTAAAGTTGTCTATTAAAAGTGCACATGATCTGAGAACCTGAAAATCCACTTTTAGGAATCTATCATAGAGAAACAACCGTGTAAATACATAGGGATTAAAATGGACAAGAATGATTACTGCAGCACTGTCAGCAAGAGGGAGAAAAGCTCAAACAAGCGGAATGCCCCTCAGGAGGGGAACAGTTAAATAAAACACAGAACACATACAGTGTAACCCTTAAAAAGAAAGACGCGAGGCAGTTCACTCTGATATAAAAAAAAAAAAAAGATGCCCATGCTTTACTGTGGAGTGAAAGTGCAAGCCAAGATGTACAGCATTTTTGTGATTAAAATAAAAGGATCCACGTGCCTAGATATGCATGCCCATCTTGTTGTGGTTATGACTGCAGTGTTCAAGGGAAACACGATGAATCTGGTGGTGCGGTTCCCCCTGGGGAGTGGGATTAAAGAGGTTCAGAAAGGGGTGGGCAGGAGGCCACTATCCCTTTTTTTTTGTATTTGAAAATTATTCTGGCCGGGCATGGTGGCTCATGCCTGCAATCCCAGCACTTTGGGAGGCTGAGGTGGGCGGATCACGAGGTCAGGAGATAGAGACCATCCTGGCCAACATGGTGAAACCCTGTCTCTCCTAAAAATACAAAAAAATTAGCTAGGCATGGTGGTGTGCCTGTAGTCCCAGCTACTCGGGAGGCTGAGGCAGGAGAATTGCTTGAATCTGGGAGGCGGAGGCTGCAGCGAGCCAAGATCATGCCACTGCACTCCAGCACTCCAGCCTGGTGACAGAGCGAGACTCTGTCTCAAAAAAAAAAAAAAAAAAAAAAAGAAAATTATTCTTACATTTATAGATAGTAAAATTCACCCTTTGGTTGTACAGTTCTGAATTTTAACACGTTTAGCTTCTTATAACAACCGTCACAAACAGGATACAGAATATCAACACCCTGAAGAATTCCTTCTTCCTTCCCCTATGTAACCAGACTCTCCTCCTACTCCCAACCCCTGGCAACTACTGATCTATTTGTTCTCTGTCCATATATTTTTGCCTCTTCCAAATGTCATAGAAATGGAATAATTCAGTTTGCAATTTTGAAAGACTGGCTTTATTCACTGAGCATGCACAATTAAGGTTACTGTGTATATTGAGGGTCCATTCCTTTTGATGGCTAAGTAGTTTTTAATCATATGGATGTACCACAGTTTGTTTCCCATTCACCAGCTGAGTTACATGTGGGTTGTTTCCAGTTTTGGGTGATTATGTCATTTGTATTTTTACTTTTGAGACAGTGTTGCTCTGTCACCCAGGCTGGAGTTGCAGTGGCACAATCTCTGCTCACTGCAACCTCCACCTCCTGGGTTCAAGCGATTCTCCTGCCTCAGCCTCCCAAGTTGCTGGGACTACAGGTGTGCACCACCGCACTCAGTTAATTTTTTATTTTTAGTATACATGGGGTTTCACCATGTTGGCCATGCTGGTCTTGAACTCCTGGACTCAAGTGATCCACCCACCTTGGCCTCCCAAAGTGCTGGGATTACAGGCGTGAGCCACCGCACCTGGCTGGTTTTTGGTGATTTTGAATAATGCTGTTGTAGACATGAACGTATGACTTTTGTGGGAATGTACATTTCCATTTATCTAGGATAAATACCTAAAGTGGAATTGCTGGGTCATAAGCATATTTTTAATTTTATAAGAAATTGCCAAACTGTTTTCCAAAGTGACTGTGCCATTTGCATTCCCATTGGCCATAGAGATAATACTCTAATGAGAATTGCATTTTCTCCACATCCTCACAAGCACAATGGTATTATTAATATTTTTTGTTTTGGTCATTTTAATAGTTACGTAATGGTATCTCATTATGGTTTTGTGTTTCCCTAATGGCTAATGATGGTAAGCATATTTTCAGGTGCTTATTTGCCATCTGTACACTTTCTCTGGTGAAATGTCTGTTCATGTCTTTTGCCCGTTTTCTAATTGGTTTGCTGTTTTTTTGTTTTTTTTTTTACTATTGACTTTAAAGAATACTTTATATATTCTAAATACTGGTCCTTTATAGGATATGTAGTTTGCCTATCTTTTCTTGCAGTTTGTAGTTTGTCTTTTCAGGCTCTTAAATAGGTCTTTTGCAAAGCAAAAGGTATTAATTTTAATAATGTCCAATTCATCAAATTTTCCACTTTGGATGCTTTGATGACAAGTCTAAGATGTCTTTGCCTAGCCCTATATCCCAAATATTTTCTCATATTTTTTTCTAAAAGTTTTATAGTTTTCATTTTACATTTAAGTCCATGACCCCTTTTGAGTTAATTTTGTATATGATGTAAGACTTAGGTCAAGGTTCATACTTTTGCCTATGAATATTCCTATGCTTCAGGACCATTTGGTTGTGATGTACAATTTGATAATATTTTGTTAAGAATTTTGCATCTAGGGCAGGCACAGTGGCTCATGCCTGTAATCCCAGCACTTTGGGAGGCTGAGGCAGGTGGATCACCTGAGGTCAGGAGTTTGAGACCAGCTTGACCAACATGGTGAAACCCTGTCTTCACTAAAAATACAAAAAATTGGTCAGGTGTGGTGGTGGGTGCCTGTAATCCTAGCTACTTGGGAGGCTGAGGCAGGAGAATTGCTTGAACCTGGCAGATGGAGGTTGCAGTGAGCCAAGATTGAGCCATTGCACTCCAGCTTGGGCAACAAGAGCAAGACTCTGTCTTAAAAAAAAATTTTGCATCTAAATTCAGAGATACTATAGTATACTAAATTGTACATCACAACCAAATGGTCCTGAAGCATAGGAACATTCATAGGCAAAAGTATGAACCTTGACCTAAGTCTCACATCATATACAAAATGAACTCAAAAGGTGTCATGGACTTAAATGTAAAATGAAAACTATAAAAATTTTAGAAAAAAATATGAGAAAATATAGTATCTCTGAATTTAGTATAGTATACAGAGAGTCTATAGTTTTCTGTATTGTCTTTAATTCCAGTATTACAATCATGCTGGCCTCATAAAACGGGTTGGGAAGTGTTTCCCCTTAGTTTTGCTGAGATTTTGTATAATTGGTGTTATTTCTTCTTTAAATGCTTGGTAGAAATCACCAGTCAAACCACGTGAAAATGGAGTTTTCTGGAAGGTTTTTACCTACAGATTTGATCACTTTAACAGATACAGGACCATTCATGCTATTTTTTAAGTTTGATAGTTTGTGTCTTTCAAGGAATTGGCCCTTTTCTTCTCATTTGTCAAATTTATGTGCGTAGAATTGTTCATAGTATTCCCTTATTATCATTTTAATGCCTATGGAGTCAGTAGTGGCACTCCATAATGTTTGTAATTTGTGTCTTTTTTCCCCTCAGTTTTTAAATCAACTTTATTGGCTATTTTGAAGAACCATCTTTTGGTTTCATCAATTTTTTTTCTATTATTTTTATATTTTCATTTATGTTTGCTCTTATGTTTATTATTTCTTTCCTTCTTGCTTTGAGTTTAGTTTGCTTTTCTTTTTCTAGTTCCTTAAAGTGGAAGCTTAAATTACTGCTTTGAAACATTTTTTCTTTCTAATATAATTTAATGTTGAGTTTCCCTAAGTACCAGTTTATCTGCATTCCACAAATTTTGATATGTTGTATTTTCATTTTAATCCAGTGTTCTAATTTCCCTTGAGACATCCTCTTTGATCCATGGATTATATAGTGGTGTAGTGTTTAATTTCAAATATTTGATGATCTTTTTCATATTTCTTTCCAGATATTTTTCAGATGTTATCAAACTCTTATTTAATTCATTAAGGGCAGAGAACAAGCTTTGAATAATTTCAATTCTTTCGAATTTAATAAGGGCTGTTTAGTGACCTAGAATATGGTCTATCTTCATGAATGTCCCATGTGCACTTGAAAAGAACATGTATTCTGCTGTGGCTGGTGGGCTGTTCTATAAATATCAATTAGGTCAAGTTGGTTGATGATGATGTTCAACCAACTTGACCTAATTGAAATATCCTTTCTGATTTTCTACCTGCTACTTTTCTTGACTACTGACAGAGGAGTGCTAAAGTCTCTACATCTTACTATGGATTTATTTATTTTTCCTTTCAGTACTACCAAGTTTTTGCTTCATGTATTTTGAAGCTCTGTTGTTAGGGACACACACATTTAGTACTCTTATGCATTCTTGATTCACCAATATTACTGAAATTATCATTATATAATGTTCCATTTTATCACTAATAATTGTCCTTTTTCTGAAGTCTTCTTTGTGTTATATGAATATATAGCCACTCCAGCTTTTCCAACTCTAAAATTTCTATCTTTATAGCTTCTATTTTTTTTTTACAGAGAATTTCTATCTTTCCATTAATTCCAAGAGTACTCATTTTTACTTCTTAGAATGTGGCATAATAGTTGCTTTAAAGTCTTTGTCTAATAATTCTAACATTTGAATCCTCTCAGGGTTGGCATTTGTTGATTGCCTTTTTCCTCGAGAATTTTTTAGGCTTTCCTGGTTCTTTGTATGTTGGATAATTTTGGTTCATATCCTACAGATTTTGAATATTATGCTGAGACTTGGTCCTTCTAAAATTCTCAAAAGGTTTTGCTGTGCTCATTCTAGTCAGTTTTATGCATGTGCAGCTCAGGGATGAGCCCAGAACTTCATACACACATTTAAAGGATATCTAACTCAGATGTCTCCTTTCTGTAATCTCCACTCCTCAAGGTTCTACGGCTAGAAAGCCAAGGTTTAGCCTCTCTGCACTGTAGCACCTTCTTGTGACTGGGACCACCTCAGGACAGAGTGGCAAGGGAAAGGAGCCTGCAGGACCCCCAACCACCATACCTGTTGCTGCTGTCTGTGCTAATACGGGGGTATAGCTTCATTTTTGGGTTTCTCTGGGGGTAATGTCTAAAGAGTCAAAAGAGCTCTGACCCATAGGAGCTGCTGTGGGGAGAGGCAGGTACTCACTTGGAGTGCTCTAGGCTGGTGCATACTTGGAGCAGGGCTGGAAGGGCTAAAGGACCGTTGCCCTGCAGAGGGTACTGCTACCATCTTCAGCAGGGGTGAGGGGTTGGCCACTTCACTGATGACCAAAGATTAGGACTGAAAGAATCAAGAGTTGTGCCTCACAAGGGACATTACTGCCACTGCCACCAGGGCAAGTAGTTTCAGCTTGTTGTTGGCATTTGCCTGGCATAGGGATGAGAGAATAGAAAGAACTCCATCCTGCAGGGATGCTGCCGCCAAGAGGGATTTGCTGCTTAGTTGCTGGTGTTCACTTGGAGTAGGGCCAAGGCTGTCCAACAAGCTCTGTCCCATAGGGGCTGGTGGTGGGGGGGTGCAGTAGGATCTGGGCTAGGAAAGTCCCAGGAGCTCTGGCCTGCAGGGGTTGTTGATACCACCAGTGGCAGAGCGCAGAGGTGTTACTTCACTGCTCACACTTGCTATGGAGTCAACACTCAGGTCCTGATCTATCTCCTCAGGCTACCAGCTCCTCCTCTTACCTACCTTTCAGAGTCCCCTGATACTCACTTTATGCATTCAGTTTAGGGTTTTATGACGTATCAGTGGGAGAGATGGGGTGGTGTTTATTCCATCTTGGTCAGAACAGCAAGTCCCTTTTTATGTCACTTTTAAAGTGGTAGGATTACGAGGTGATTTTACTATCATTTTTAGGCCACTCAGGATTGTTCATATAAAGATATCTGTAATAATGCTGAGGTTTCTGGCTTGAGTATCTGGGTAGATGGAGTACTGAGAAGGAAAGAGAACTGTGCTGGAGGTGGCATTGACAAATGGAATTATGAATGCTGAAGTGTCAAGTCAGGGCTGCTCATCAGATGGGTAGGTGGCTGATTGCTGTGGCCCAAGAAGTCAAGGGAAGCAAGAACTCCAGGAAACAGGTGGGAATCTGTGATGTGTCTTGCACGAGGGGAAATGAGGAGAGGTCGCTTTGTACTGGGTGACATGCAAGGTTAAGACACACATGGTTGAGGAGCAGAGGAAAGAGGCAGGGAAACAGAGGTTACAGTGTTGATGACACTTGCTCAGAAGGGACTGTGAAGGGAAGGGCAAGACAAAAAGAAATGCCAATGTGAGCAAAGTTGGTTTTCTTTAAGAATTCAAGACATATGTGGGTATATACCCAAAATAACTGAAATCGGAATCTCAGAGATATTAACACCCCCTGTTCACTGAGGCACTATTCACAACAGCCAAGATGCGGAAACAGCCTAAATGTGTTTGGACAAACAAATGGATAAAGCAAATGCAGTGTATACCTACAGTGGAATATTATTCAGCCTTAAAAAGGAAGGGAATTCTGTACTTGCAGCAACATGAATGAACCTTGAGGACATTATGCTAAGTGAAATCAGCTAGTCACAGAAGGACAAGTATTACATGATCACATTTCTATGTGAAATCTAAAATAGTCAAATTCATACAATTGAAGAGCGGAAAGGTGGTCATGAGGAGCTGGGCGGGGGAGAGGGAAATTGGGGGCTATTCATCAATGTTTATAAAGTTTCAGTTATGTTAAGAAGAGTACGTTCTAGAGATCTGCTCTATAACACTGTACCTATAGACAACAATACTGCATTGTACATTTTAAAATTTAAGAGGGTCAATCTCATGTTATGTGTTCATATCACAATAAAATGAAATTTTAAAAATTCAAGAGACAGGAATATATTTTTAGCATGATGCCAATAAAACCCCCCACAGCTTGTATTCTAACCCAAATGAATTTGAATATATCTGAACTGTGTCATTAAAAAAGGACGACAGTCTCTTTCAGTTCATTTCCTTCAGAAAATGGCTGTGACATACAAAGACAAGGTGGCCAGAAAATGGCTGTCTACACTCCTCCAGCATCCAGCTACCACCTGCCTTCTCTGTGCAATAAACTCTGAGGGTCAGTCCCCTGTGCTCTTCCCATCTTTTGGGGCCAAGAAAGAGCTTGCATGGCAGGAGGACATTAAATATTTGTTGAAAAAAAGAATGCATGAATGAGTGAGTACTGGAGTCTAGAAACAGAGGGTCAGAGACTGGAGTGTGTTACTCTGTCACCAACCCTGTCTGGAGGAATCAAGCTCAGATTAGCCAATGCTGGTTATCAAATGAGGTCCCCAGGTGAGAAGGGTGGTTTCTTGCACTACCTTCCAAAACACCAACATGTGACCATGACTTTGTAAAAAAAATAAATCTCATACCCAGAAACAAGACAGACTAGAAGGAGAGCTGACCTAGGAGTGATTTTTTTTTCTACATACTTTCTGTGTTTTGCAATTTTTCCACACAATATTCTCTAACTCCTTTGTTCTCATTCTAATCCTGCGTGCAGAAGCTGCTTTATGACCTGTAATTTAGACTCTGGGATGGATTGAACCAACAGGAGGATGCATAATGTTCTGCACAAATGAACAAGGCTGATAACCCTGGGCCATTTACTTCCTACGACAGATCAGCAAATTATGAACCAGGCTTATAAACAGGGCTCCTCTGCCTCGAGGAGCACAGACACATACTAAGCTTGCAGTAACCACTCCAGCACAGCCCCTGTGAGGCTCAGCCCCTTTGGCAACCCAGGCTCCTGTTTATTACAACCAACCACCATTGCATCCTTTCCTACTCCTTCTGCTGAAGCGTCCCTCCATTCCTTCAAAGAAGGAAAACAAGGTGTGGAAGAGAGGAGGAGGAATAAACCAGGTGCTGGGGACAAAGCAGTTTGAGTGCCCAAAGCCGAGTCATCTGGAACACTTCAATCATCCAACTTTACTGTACATGCCCTGGAGGGAGGACGGGGGAGGTGGCAGACTATCTGGGAGCTCTGGGCAAGGTATTTGCCACCACAACAGCAAATATTAGGTCTTTCTGGAAACAGAGTGATATTGTTATTAAAACTTTCATTATCTGTATGTTTTATGTGAACTGAATTGCTTCTAGCTAATGTAATTTGGGAGCAATGAGAATGATAATAGTAGAAGTGATAATAATCAATGAAAGCACAAACAGATTTGGCATCTAGGGAAAGTGTGGGGGCAGCTTCACTGCTGGGGTCTGACAGCGCAGACCCTGAGATTCTGCTCTGGTCAGCATGAGATAGCCCCTCAAGGTCCAGGTAGGATCAGGCAGCAGGCCCAGCCTGTCCTGGTACCTGTCCTTCCAATACCACTGCCCCTGCCCCCAGAGTTGCTTCCCTATAGAATGTGGGTAATTCCTTCCCTCTCTCTGTGTTAAAATGAATATCATTAACCATACCCATAAAGTAACCTAGATTCTTCTTTCGTTTTGAAATTCATCTAACTCTGACATTTCTATGGCTTTAGTGAATGTGATTAAACTTAGATGGATGAGACAATTCTCTTCTACTATATAAGCAAAGCTGTTAATAAAAAAAATACTCTATTACATTTTATAAATCAAAGAAAAATACACAAAGTATTTACAGATTATCCCAGGCATTTTATAGTGAAGAAAGCCTGGCTTAGGTTGAGAAACTTACATATAAATAATGGGCAAAGCATTGCCCTCTGAAGCTTCTTTTTCAGATCTGACTACGAGCTTGATATTCTGTTTTTAAGTTCCATTCATTTAGCAAGCTCTTGAGAGACATTTTCAATTCTAGGCCATGAAGGTCAGGGTTTCATGTGCACAGAGAGCAACTCCTTCCTCCCTTGCTACTTCAATGGCTTTTTGAATCACTCTACAATAGCTTCAATAACCTCAATGGAAATCTGCAGAGTGGATCGTCAGTGATGGTTTGAACTTCCTCCAGATTCCGCACTGATTATCCTACTGCAGTGGCAGCAGCAACACAAAATCACGGCTGTGCCAAGGGGCCTTCAGATTGGGAAGGCCACATGTGTGGGCTCTTTGGAACTGTGAATCCTTGTGTGTCACGTTAGGAATTTAAAGCACTGTAAAAGAGCCAGAAAAGATTAGACTATTTTGGAACTGTTTTCACATTGTTTTGTATGAGCTAATTTTCTTCCTATGTATGCATCTTCCTCTTAGGGTGCAGGATTCCCTAAGAAAGCTACTGGGTTCTATTTCCTCTCTGTCCCACAATACACTGCTTGAGTAGCCTGAAACATTCTTTTTTTTTTTTTTTTTTTTTTGAGATGGAGTCTCGCTCTGTCACCCAGGCTGGAGTGCAGTGGCGTGATCTCGGCTCACTGCAACCTCCGCCTCCTGGGTTCAAGCGATTCTCCTGGCTCAGCCTCCTGAGTAGCTGGGATTAGAGGTGCGCGCCACCATGCCTGGCTAATTTTTGTATTTTTAGTAGAGATGGGGTTTCACCACGTTGGCCAGGCTGGTCTTGAACTCCTGACCTTGTGATCCGCCTGCCTCGGCGTCCCAAAGTGCTGGGATTACAAGTGTGAGCCACCACGCCGGGCCAAAACATTTTTAAAAAACAAAATTTGTCATGGAAAACTTCTCCCTAGGGCCCCCATCACATGCACACACAACTTATTTGTGTAGTTTCATTTTCTGGTTCACAGATTTCCATTAATTTAAAAAACCAGCAGGTCAGGCATGGTGGCTCATGTCTGTAATCCCAGCACTTTGGGAGGCTGAGGCGGGCAGATCACTTGAGGTCAGGAGCTCGAGACCAGCCTGGCCAACATGGTGAAACCTCGTCTCTACCAAAAATATAAAAAAATTAGCCGGGTGTAGTATCGTGTGTGCCTGTAATCCCAGCTACTTGGGAGGCTGAGGCAGGAGAATCACTTGAACCCGGCAGGTGGAGGTTGCAGTGAGCCAAGATCGTACCACTGCATTCCAGCCTGGGCAACAGAGTGAGACGGAGTCTCAAAAACAAACAACAACAAAAACAACAAAAAACCCAGCAATGAAAGATTCTTTAGCTCTGCTGCAAATACACATTTTCAACAGATTTCTCATTTCATCTGAAACACTATAAGAAGTGACAAATGTCAAAGACAGAGAAAGGTCATCTACTTTGTCTCTGCTCATTTCAAAAGACAGCTGCTTTCAAATATTCTTACGTTCTGCCTCAATGTTAACCCAATCTCCCTTTCAGGACAGCAAGTAAATGCTGACCCTCTTGAGAGACTTACGTTTTATACAGACTTGTGATTCCAATATATGGAATACTTTCCATGTTGCAGCTGAGCCACGTGAACCTGATTATGAAGCAGGAGGAAATTCTTTCTTGGAGGAAAAGGTCAGAAGGACCCTAATAGAGGAGTATGTTTCATTTATAGCCAAGAAATAGCTTAGGCCCTGAAAGAACCTGCATCAAAATGAGTACACATGTCCTGGGATTTGGACTTTGCTGAGTTTCTTAGGTCAAAAGTGGGAGAAGAATTTGAGGGATTCGCTGAGAGTCCTATCAAAATCAGTTTTTACGTTTCTCTTTATCTCATGTTTACACACTGACTTCTCTGTACTTATGCAAAATCCTGGTATTTATTTTCCCTTTTCTACTCTTTATTCCTTATTTTATCTCTCTCTTTTTAAAACAGACAGGGTCTCACTCTGTCACCCAGGCTGGAGTGCATGGCACCATCATAGTTCACTGCAGCCTTGAACTCCTGGGCTCAAGCAATCCTATTTCAGCCTCGCAAGTAGCTGGGACTACAGGCCCTCATTACCACGCCTGGCCAGTTTTAAAATTGTTTGTAGAACGACGTCTCACTATGTTGCCCAGGTTGGTGTTGAACTCCTGGGCTTATCAGCAGGCCTTGGCCTCCCAAAGTGCTGGGATTACAGGCATGAGCTACCGAGGTCGGCCTATTCCTTACTCTAGATTAGGGGTGTCCAATCTTTTGGCTTCCCTGGGCCACACTGGAAGAATTGCCTTGGGCCACACATAAAATACACTAAACTAAGGACAGCTGATGAGCTTAAAAAAAAATTCGCAAAAAGTCTCAATGTTTTAAGAAAGTTTACGAATTCATGTTGGGCCACATTCAAAGCCGCCCCGGGCCCAGGCCGCGAGTTGGACAAGCTTGCTCTAGATCAGACATGATGTTAGTGGGAATTCTGACTCCTTCCAATTCCCCTGCAACAAAGTTTGTACCAGGAGCATTTGGCGAGTGTCCAGCAAGATGTGCCCGTGGATGTGGATCTCCCCAGGCCCTGCCCTTCCCGCACCCTCGGCGGGCTCTTACCAGCTCCCCTGCGCAGCGGCCTTTTCTCCGCCGTCCTGGGCTCCTTCCTGGGTTCCCGCTCTCCCGGGCCGGCGTCGGGGGGCGCGGGCTGGTGCGGGAGCGTGAAGCTCTGCAGAAGCGGCTTCCGGGGCAGGGGCGGCTTGGAGCTGAGCGGCTCGGGGGGCCGGGCCTTCCCCTTTCCTTGGTCGCTGGGGGCCCTGGTGCCTCGAAGGGCGGGGGCCGTCCCGAGGGGACACTTCTCCTCCTTCGGGAGCACGGTCAGCGACCTTTCTAACCGGACCTCGGCACTGTACCTCTTCACACCCTTCACCTCCTGAGAGGCGCCATCCCTGTATTTGAGCGAGAGGGAGGTGGACCGGAGCTTGACGGGGAAGGGGTTTCTGTCCTCACTCGGGGCCGGCTCCTGGGCGGCTGGGCAGGGCTCTCTCGTGCCGGGCGCGGCGGCCGCCTCCTGAGGGCTCTTGCGCGGCCCGGCCGGGCTGGCCGCCCTGTCCCCCGAGTCCTGAGGGCCGCGCTCCGCCAGCTTCCGAGGGCCAGGTTTCGCGTGCTGGGGCTCGGGGAGACCCTGGAGGTCGTCAAGAGCCGCCTCGCTCCTCCAGACCGGGCCGCTCCTCGCGAGGGGCAGGCGGCCGCTGGCCCGTTCCAGCGGGCGGGAGACGCCCGGACGAGGCCGCGCTCGGCACGAGGACACCGAGAACTTCTTCGCGCCTCGCAGCTCGGCACCGCCCCTCTCCGCCTTCCGCTCTGGCGCCGCCCTCTCGGCGCCCGCCGGTGGCGCCTCGGCTCGCTCGGCCTTGGGGCGCTCCGGGGCGGCGGCCTCTGCGTCGAGGGAACCGGGGCCGGGCTCCACCGGGGGAGACTCCGCAGCGGCAAGCGGCGGGGACGCGGCGGGGCCCTCGCTGGCGGCCGCGGGCCGGTGTTTCAGGCAGCTCTTGGGCGCCGGCGGGCTCGGGGCGGGCGCCGTGGAGGGCTCGGTCCCAATTCTCTCGGGCTCGGTCCCCGCTCCTCTCTCGGGCTCCGTCTCCGCTTCTCTCTCGGGCTCAGGCGCCGGCCCTGGGGGCCCCTTCTCCTCATCCGGGAGCACGGGCGGCGTCGGCTCCGCTTCCTTCGGGACACTGCGTTCTGGCCCGTCGCGAGCAGAGGGCGCCTCTGAGGTGGCGGCGGGGTCAGTCTCGGGGGGAGTCGTGTCCCCCTCAGGGATGGCGGTGGGAAACGGGCTCGCGACGTCTTCGGGAGCACAGACCACCTCCTCCGCCTTGTCCGTGGCCGGGGCACACGGGCCTGCGGGGGGCGCCTCCCCATCCTGCTTTCCGCCGTCGGGACCGGGATTCGGGGGGCCCTCCGGCGGGGACGGGGGCTCCACGCGGAGAGTGGGGGCCGACTCGGGCTCGGCGAGCTCCGGGGTGGCCGGGCGGCTTGAGGGGTCCTCCCCGGGGACGCCCCCCTCCTCCACGCTGGCCGTGAGCGCGGAGGAGTGCTGCAGGCGGGCGCGTCTGGCACGGGCCCCTCCGGGTGGCGGCAAGGGCGCCGGTGGCCCAGGCTCAGGGCCTCTGTCTGGCGCCACGTCCTGCTGCCCAGAGCTGGGGCGCTCTTCTGGGCTGACTTCCAAAAGTGGCTTCTCCTCGTTTTCCTCCTCCTCTGGGGTGCACGTCAGGTCGCTCAGGGATTCAGACTGAGCGCGCTGAGAGAAATAAAGATAAAAAGCATCGTCGCTATAGCCAATTCCAGGAAGCCTGTCACCTCCCCACTTTTTTCAAGGCTTATAATGGTTTAGTGATAGCAGCACTATAAAGCTGGCACTTAAGTAGGCATGTACCCACGGGTGTCTTTTCTCAGTCTGTATCCTACTGGTCTACTTGGGCTCACAAGTTTATCAGGACAATGGCAGATATGCCTCCAAAGTAAATGTCTACAGCTCCTCTGGCAGAGCCTCAAAACCAGTGGACTAGAGTAACGCCAAGGGAAGGCGACCAACAGCAGCCAGTGTCTGCTATGCTCTGTGCTCCCACACTTGTTATTTCATTTAATCTTCCATTCATCCCAGTGAGGAAGGGATGATGAGTCCCTTTTTGCACTTGAGAGCCAGGAACTCAGAGAGGCCAATACCTTGTTCAAGCCTGGGCAAGCAGGTGGCCGAGCTGAACAGCTGGGACTCTATGGCTCTGTGTTCCTCCCAGCCAGTCTCCCATGTCAACACTTCAGGAATGTACCCTCATAGTAAAGCCAGACTGGTTTTCCTAAAAGATGGCTCATATCATGCCAATAGCTAACCATGGCTTATAGGATAAAACCAAAATTTTCAGCTAAATTTAAAGTCCTAGATTCTCTGGTCTTAAGCCGTTTCTTCCACTCCCTACTCAGGTCAAACCAAGCCCTCAACACTGTGCCAGACACTTGGTCTGAGTGACTGTCACCTCCCCACTCTCCCCCACCCCCCTGCCCCCAACCTCCAAGATACTCTACCAGGGCCCCCAAGGACTATTTCAAACTCTCCCACTCTATGCAGTTTAAGATTCCCCCCTTCTCTGGCCTCCTGAAGCCCTACTGGCTTGGCAAACATACAGTGCCTTGTGATAGTCTTCTTCTGAAAGACCTCTAGAATTCAGATTCCAGTCCAACTTCCTCCTATTGTCACAAAGTCAGTTCCTGCTCTCTCGGGAAGGAAAGGAGCTCCAGGTAACCAAGAATCATTCAAAAGTAACATGTGGAAATGACGAAAAGGTTGATGGTGTAGAGACTGATCTTTTAGAAAGTTTGTGATATTAGACACCAAGAGTCACCCAGGCTATTGCTCTCTCCTTCCCCTTTTCTAAAGCAGGAACTGTGACAGGGTATGTTTGCAATAGGTTTTTCTTCTTGCTGTTTGTTATTATTTTAACATTTTTCATGGCATCTGCTTGCTAATAGAATATAGGATGCCTGGGATGTTTGTGACAATACCTAAGCAAACTCTTGCCAAAATGCACAATCCTATTCTTTTGGATTTAAAAAGAGGAAGAGGCACAAAGAAAGCTACAGAAGAACTTTCAAAAGCTGCAGGTTCTTTACTTTGCCATGTTGATGGCCTTCTGCTACTACAGGAAACTGCTGATGTTGAAACCTCTTTAGGATGGAGGTCACCTTTTAAAACTATCAGTCACAGAGCCCACACAAGGCAGCAGAGGGGGCAGCATGGCTGTTCTTTCCCATCCTGGGAGCATTTAGGGAGCATCTGAAAGCACCTTGATCCCTGAGAGGGGCCAGGCCACAAGGAAGGTCCTTATGGTTGGGAAGAGGGACCTCATGACCAACGGGCAAAGGGTGCTATGGACACTGAAGGACAGAGGCCCCCGGCATCATAGGTTCCACAACAGTGGATGGAGGAAAATATGGACACCTCTGAGAACTTCAGATATCCATGCCCGCTCCTTACCAAGCAGGGAAGGGGAAAAGAGGGAAAGACCATGGATGTGACAGAGTTGAAATCAAGGAAAGGCTGTTTACCTGTTTGCCCAGGCTGGCTACATCAGGTTTTCTGTTATTCTACAAAGTGGGATTCAAGAACTAAGTCAAGTTCAAATGTAAAGAAAGAAGGATATAAGCCCTGCCCAGATGGGAGCAAGAAGGGAGGCTGTGTTTCCACCTGGAATAGACACCACGCTTCGCTCTGTCACCAAGTCCTGGCCAGGTTGTGGCTGGCTATAAACGCCCTGGCCAGAGCCAAAGACATCCCCGTGGGATTCATAAATCACAGACTTGAGGGCCAGAAGGGAGCAGGCCCTGGCCCTGTAGTCTCATTCAGCACGAGTACAGGCAGGTCTTGAGTGACCGGACCTTGTCACACTGACACAGCACACAGCCTTTAACTGTGCATGCACTGGACACACACACCTAGGCACAAGTATCCTGGTTCCTAGCTGGCACATCAGCCTGAAGGTAACTCACCTTTGCTTCTTCCTCCAGCATTAGTCCCCTCAAAAGTCTACTCTGCTGGCATGAGTTTAAAGAACACCTTCCATATGCCCAAAGGAAAACTCACTCTCTTCAGGGAGTTGCTGAACTCCTGAGTGGCCCTAGCCCAACTGTCTCCAGCTGAGGCACCCAGCTTGCCCTGGGTACTTCACCAACACACCACAATCATGTCATGAGGGAAGGACAGAGGACATTAGCCTGTGAGCATCTCTTTATCAGCACTGTCATTCTCTGTGGCCAGGCTGGTCCCCACTCCAGGGGGGACGCGTTACAGTGCCCGTCAGGTAGGGGAGAGGGAACAACCCTATGTGAACCTCGAACCTGCCAGTAAATGAAGCCAAAGTATTCCATGAGCCAGTTTCTCAGCTTCTAGGACTAGGAGGTAACGACACCCTGAGGCAGCACACCCAAAGAGGGGTCTGTCTTTCCGAGGCATGCTCCCCATGCTACTGAGTAGGCCCTCATCCAAGACAGTTGTCCACGCTAGTGTTTCAGCTTCTTTCATTCACTCATTTGTTAATTCACTCATTTGTTTGTTCAGTGGTTCATCCATTCAACAACTCTGTGACTAGAAATGTTCTAAGGGCTGAAAATGCAGCCAGGACAGGGTCTCAAAGAAGACTGGCAATAAGAGCACATCCATTTACAAAGGTCACTTTGGCATGTGGCGAGTGTTCTGAAGGAAGTGAACGGGCAGGGTGAGTTTTTCTGGGGGACTCTCAGGCCCCAAGGCTGGGACACAGCAGCACCAAGGCCTGAGGCTAGAGGCAGCTCTTGAGCTCAAGAGGCAGAAAGGTGGCCAGAACGCTGAGTGAGAAAGAAGGTAAGAAGCCTGGGGGGTAGGCAGGACCTGATGTGCCAGGCCTGGAGCGTGGACTTTCCTCTGAGTGCAGGGGGAAGGCAACCAGTATTCAGTAGTGAGTGTGTGAGGAATGACGGACAGACGGATGGATGAATGAATGGAGCATTTCTGCAAGGGAGAGACAGATCTGGTTTATGTTTAAAAAGATGAGCAACTTCAGCTCCTGCAGCATGGCTCCATCAACTGTGGGGTGCTCAGAGGGGGCATGAGACCCTGTGTGGGGGAGTGAGGCAGGTTGGGGGGGGGCATAGGGGGGTGCCAAGCCTGCCTGGCCTGCCTCTGTGTGGAGAAGGAAACCCAATTACCGATGAGAGCCGCCTCATCTTACTCGACCGCTGGTTGCGGGGCTTGACCTGGAGCTTGTGCTTAGCTGCAGAGTTGTCCAGGCAGGAGGAGGATTCTGCAGGATAACTGAAGTCAGCCACTGGTGCCAGGCTGTTGTCTGAGATCCGGGCAGAGACGGTGCTGTCGCTCACGTGGTCTGGAGACACGACAGAGACCTTCGTGGGACAAGGAACAAACACACGGAGCATGAACTTCACCGTGTGAAATAAGGACGACCAACGCAACAATGCTCTTTTCTGCCCAGGCTGTCTTCCCACACTGTCTCTGGCTTTACGTGTGTGGAAATACTTTCTTTTTTTTTCCCCCAAGATGGAGTCTTGTTCTGTCACCAAGGCTGGAGTGCAGTGGCGTGATCTCTGCTCACTGCAACCTCTGCCACCTGAGTTCAATCATTCTCCTGCCAAGTAGCTGGTATTACAGGCACCTGCCACCACACCCAGCTAATTTTTGTATTTTTAGTAGAGACAGGGTTTCACCATGTTGGCCAGGCTGGTCTTAAACTCCTGACCTTGTGATCCGCCCGCCTTGGCCTCCCAAAGTGCTGGGATTACAGGTGTGAGCCACCGCACCCGGCCAATACTTTCAATTTGATTCTCAACAAGGAGGGGTCTAGGATCCTTCTGGAGAAAGGTAAATGGCTGGGAGTTTAAAGTGTGGGGCCAGCTCCTGGAAACCAGCTACTCTTTCCCAAGACCATGCAGAGAACCTGTGTCTCAGGCTCCCCTGTCACCCTCCCATGGTGGCTGGCACAGGCACTTCAGACAAGAGCTTTCTCTCTCAAAACACACCAGCCTGATTTGTCCAAGGGCACAGTCACCTGGTCCTGTCTCTGGAAGCTGAGGGGAAGGTTCAGAGGTGTGACTTTAGAGGCTGGGGCGCAGGAAGTGCAAAGCCCACTGCCCAGTATTCCATCACTGGAGCCCTGTTGGTTCAACCTAGAAGGTCTCTGTGTGCTCATGTATCCTTTTGAAGAAATCTGGCTGGACATTGCCATCTGTTAAGTTACAGGTATTTTACTCATTTATACTTCAGCACGGAAGAACTGATAGCAAATGGCAAACATGTCACCTGGGACAAAGGGATGCTGGCAGTCATGTGAAAGAATGAAGGCAATACCCGCAGATCCCTGCCCCCGAACTTGGCCAGCTCCACCACTGAGTGAGGTCGAAGTGGGCTCCCCTGCAGACACAAGTTGGGATGAAACTCGGAGCGCCTGTGAGCACATGCAGCCCAGATGAGGGGCGAGGTGCACAGGGAGACTCTAGGAGGTGACAGGCTTTTCGTATAACTCTGTGATCTTCAAGCAAGCCTTCTATTCGAGCACGGTGTGCAATATTAGTGTCAAGTTTCCATTTAACTTAAGAATAGAGTTTTATTCACACAACAATTCAGTAAGCCCTCATGAAAACAGTGAATGAGGCAATGAGACAACACACCAGTGCCGTCCCCAGTGGCGAACTCCTAGGGTCATGGGCACATCCGCTGTTTCTTTTCTAATAACCCTGGGACCCCCACACAGAGCAGGTGCCCAGCAGCCTTTGCTAACCCGGACAGGGAACCATAAGGATGATCGTACTGGTGAGATGGGCTTCGATACGGGAGGAACAACCTCTTCTTGTTCATGTGAAGGTCTCTCCTATTTTCCAATAAAAGTGTAAGTTTATCTGTGTAAACAAGGAGGAGATAATTACTAAAATGGGGGAAAGGGGGCTAAAAGTGGACATAATCTATTTGAATTCTCTTTTAGCTACTCAGGTACTTACGGGAATAAAGCAATAAAAATTATGTTAAAAATAAGCCGCAAGTCTCCTGGCAACAAGTACATCTGTGCCTGTGGCTTTGGCTCTCACTGTGGTCACTGACAACTCAGGAAGTCACCTTAGATTGGGAAATCGATACCTTTCCCAGAGAGTCTTCCTTAAAGGTCACAAACAGGATGTGTACATTTAAAAATAAGCATACAGAATCTGTAATATTTACCCTTGTCTAGAGGAACAATGTATAAACATTTGGTTAAAAAGAAAATCTCACTGCCTAGGACTCATGAGAATAGACAAGATCAGCTGCTTTGCAAGTGCAGTAAGAATGATCACGGTGCCTGTGACAATAATACCCCTGACCACTCCTCTTTATAGAATAAAGCCCAATACCCTGAAGGCTCTGAAGGATGCACAGCAGGACCTCCTCCCTGTGGGCCGCCCTGCGTCTGTCCTGCTTGGGCAGATGTCTTGGGCTCAGGCCCACTGTGGCCCCTGGTTAGGGGACCTTGGCATGGAGCTTAACTTCCCTGACCTGTGCCCCAGGTACAAGCTCTCCCTAACTAGGGAACTCAACTCCTCTGGCCTCAGAACTCTCACTTCTGTTTCCACTGTTGCTCTGAGAGATCTTGGGGTCCAGAAAGACCCTCATCTTCATGACCAAGGAGAATTGTGTCTGTTGTTGATCAGTGATGTAACTACGTGAGGTGGTTTGGGGCCCATGGGGAGGAGGTGAGGGCTGGGAAGCTGGCTTCATGGGAGGGCTGGCAGCATCCAGAACATTCAGCTCTGCATGGCTTGCTTCCAGTCACCCAATTTTTCCTAAAATCTGTGATTCTGGATGATTCTGAAAGCAGAGGATTTAAAAGTCTAGCATGTGTCTCTCTGTTGCAGGGAAGGCAGCTCAAAGGACCCAAAGGAAACAGCTGGGGTCAGAAGCTTTTCATGGGCGGCCCTGAGTGACAGGTGCTTTAGGATGTGTGTCCTCAAAAAGAGGGGCTCAGCCGCTGAGGAGTGGGCTGGGGGCAGTGCATGCAGGAAGGACCACTGGACAGGAAGCAGGGGGGCCTGGCTGTTCGAGGGGTGAAAAGAAGCCGCTGGTCCTGCTGGGAAGGAGAGGTGCTGATCTACCCAATCTCATCTCATCCCCCCAAAACCCTCTGAGCCAAAACCCTCTCAGGACACAGATTCTAAGAGGTGATAAGCCTGCCTGAGGCCTCCCTCCGGAGCTGTGGGGCATGTATTTGTTCATTTGCCACCAGATCTGTGTTCCCTCCCCATCTTCCCTTCCCGCATCACCAAGGAGCAAAATGACTCATTGGCCTTGCCAGTTTATCACACTCTACCTGGCATGTCCTGCTTCATAGCAGGACAACTAGAATATGACCAGTTAGACATCATTTTATCTTAAAAACCACCAGGTAAACTTTCATCAGTTGTTATCACACTTGGTGATAAAATTTGAAAAATTATTCCATATATTTCCTGAAAAACTTATTCTATCAGGAAATGTCACCTTGGTTATAACATCAAATACTTGGTACTAAAGACTCTTTTTTCCACAATAATCTTAAAGTTTTCTGTCTATGTGGGCCTGTGTGTAAGCCTGTGGGTCAGTGTAAGGTATAAACAGTCTGCAGCCCATACTTTTGGGGCTTAAGGCACTATTACATCAAATACCACATATTCTA
Organism: Homo sapiens; assembly: GCF_000001405.40. Taxonomy (NCBI): domain Eukaryota; kingdom Metazoa; phylum Chordata; class Mammalia; order Primates; family Hominidae; genus Homo; species Homo sapiens. The sequence continues at coordinate 98,830,463 of NC_000002.12, forward strand.
CAAGCCCATTTTAAAGGGTGTGTTGTTTTTCCCTCTTAATCAACCAATTATGCATAAAAACTTTCAGGCCTCAAAATGCAATCATTGTGTCTTCAAAACGATGAAGACACTAAAGATTACCTTTCTGTTTTTAAGTCTTAAAAGCCCAAATTTTGGTTTCCTATGAAGCTGGTAGATTGTCCATATTACCCAATAATTGATAAAATCTCAGAACTTTTTTTTTTTAAATAAAGGACCAACCACAGGAGGTGGTTGTGCTGTGAGAGATAAAGTCAGGCTGGCCCAGCCGAGCCAGCTGTGGAATTTGTGCCTCATAGTGTCACATGGGTTTGGAGATAGGCTTGCTCTTCAATGGATGGGTTAGAAACTACCTCTCCTCTTACTGCCCGTCCTGGCTAAAGGCAGAGAACTGGGATGCTGTGAGAGTCAGAGACCTGTGGGATGGGAGGAGGGGGAGTCCATCTATGATGAGGAAAGAGGCAGCTCATGACAGACCTCTTCCTACTGCATAGCTCAGAAATACACTAAGTCACATCTGCTCCTGAGAGGGGGACGCTGAAACTGCACACAGGAGTATTTGGAGGTGTTAAAAGGGGTACAGGGTTGGCTCGGTGAAGTCTATGAAATAGGCCACCCCATCCTCCTCATCCTTTCTCCCTTCTGCTCGAGGCTGGAGAGCAGGCCTGGGTAGCCCACTGTCCTCAGACCCTGCTCCTGGAATGAGCAGGGACAGCTTCGCCCCAGAGCAGAATTCTGGAGAGAATAATTCTCTAGCCGGCTTCATGTCAGTCCCCACCCCACACACTCAGCCACACCACAGTCCTTTTGCCTTTTTCATCAGTGACGTTCGGGGAACTCACAACTACACACAAAAATTTGGTGTGGCAGGGTGTATAGGTGTCCACACTGAAGTGGCTTCTGAACACAATTCAGAGAAGCACAGAATCTGCAAGGCAGTGAGTCGCAACGAAGCTCCCCCTTCACTGTGAATGGCCCCTCGAGCAGGCCAGAGGTGACAGGGGAAGGTGTGTGGCTATAAAAAATAAACTCTGGCCTTTATTTGTTTTTCAAATGTCAGCATAACAGATAACTCCAACTCTATCCATCCTCCACAGTCAGGCTTGTCTACATGGGAAGGATGACCACCTATTTTTAACATTTATGTGCAAGTACAGTGTATGGGCATTAAGTGTTCTTACCACAATAACATAAAGAATTTAAAATGTGGCAGCATCGCGAGCTATGTTGTTTATGCACGAGAAAGAGCTCGTGCTCTTTTCCGAGTTCCTCGGGGCCCCCCTCTTGGATTCTAATGGAGAAGGTGGTGTTTGGGACTGGTTCCTCCACCCTGCTGAGGTCATCAGTTCCTCTCTTGCTTGTCAACCTTTCCCTGCTGCCCTGTTTGCCAGCAATACAGCACATTACTACCCCTAGGCCAACACCACCTCAAGGTCACAAACTCAGGCACCGGAGACCATCAGAGCCTCAACTATCACATGCTCACTACTTCCCCCTCCCACCGGCCAAATGTCATGGCAACGGAAAACAGATACAACGTGTTTCCCTACTTCTAATGGGGTTCTGGGTCTGGTCATCTGCTCAGACAGGAAAGTCAAGGGACAGGGTTGATTCTGGGTTGATTCTATCAACCTATCACCCTCATTAAAAAAAGTCACCAAAACCACGTCTCCTAACCAGACCTGAATTTCTACTCAAAGAATGAAAATAAACACAGCTCAAGGGCTGATTGTAGGCTCCAGTGACCCAGTTGGCCACACCATGCACAGCCTGGAGATCTTAGGGGCACACACAGGGGATCTCAGAGCTCCAGCACCCTCCAGGGCAGGTGTGGATGAAGACATGCAGTGGTACAGGCCGCACTTGCCTTTATGGTGGTACCAGGACCCACGTCGTGCAGCAGAGACATCTCTGGGGGGCTCCTGGGCAGCCCGTCGTCCTCAGAGCTCATGCCGGCATCCTCTCCCCGCTTGGCAGGAAGCCCCCCTGGAGGAGGTGGTGGCCCCATTTTCACATTACACTGTATTTTTAACTAGATTGGAATAAAGAACATGTGCTCTTATTTTCATCAATGATATTTATCAACAAATCCTCCTGCTCTAATTCATTCATGCTGGAAATGCCTTCAGTATCTTGGTGTGGTGCAGAGAACTGAACTGAACGTGCATCTGCCACCAGCTCTTCCACTGCCATCTCTTCTTTGTTCATCTAAGAATGAGTCGAGATCCCACTGCAGCTCATTTGGTGTGTCCTGGGGGAGCTGTCATGTACATGTGATTCTACTTTACAGCATATCAAATAAACCAAGCAGAAATCATTTAAAAACTTCTTGATGGATATTTGACTTGCACACCAGGCGACATGACCAAGGAAACATTTACCTGCAGAGCTTTAATCCGATCACACACATTTTCTTGGGAAAACACCCGCACAGGCCGAGTAGCGTCCTGTCCGGACTCAGGAATGAAAATACTGTCGTGAGAAAGGGCCCGGCTGCCCAGCGTGCCCCTCGACTCCCTAGGATAAAAGAGCCACTGTGAGACTCTGCCCACCTCCATCTTACTGACCCCTGGGGGGCTCAGAATGAGAAAGAGGGATGTGAGTGAACAGAACATCAAACAACACTCCCTCTGCTGCATTTACATTTCAGTGGTCCCTGACTTCAGTTCATCCACACGCTGTCAAATGCCAGTCAACTATTTGGAGCATTGCAGAGATAGGAATTTTCCTAGGAGATCTAAAGGTTGTGTGAATTATTTTTGTATTAATGAAAAAACCAAGGTTTGATAAGGTGTGAGGTGCAAGACAGCAAGCCTGCAGAGGGGAGGGGCTGGCACGGCCAGCTTCTGAGGAGGCCTGTCCCGGCTGCCCCAGGGAGGGTGAGGTCACGCCTTGTGGGCAAACATGCAGGCCCTCCGTGGGCTGAAGGCTGTGTGTGCAGCAGGCTGAGGGCCTGCTTGATGAACGCATCCTCACACACACCTCACACAGACCAAGACATACATCCGTGGGTGGTTTGAAATGAGAACTGCAAATCTGCAAAGCCATGGCCTCTTTTTATGACCTGGCACCATCTGTGTGACCAAAACCTCTGTGCCTGCCTAGATCCTGGAGCAGAGATGGTGGCCTTCTGTCATCGCCATCCCAGTCCTTTCCTCAGCTCTGAACTCAAGAATCTGATCTGGGACTGAACCCCCAGGACATTCACAAAATGTCCTAAAAGGATGTGGGAATTAGCTGTCAAGTTTTCCTAGCAGCACTGGCTGCCTGAACAATAGGTGGAAGGAGATGACTGAGATCTGATGATGAAGGAAGGAAAGCCTGCCTCTGCACACACTGGACATCTTGTGTGCACCACCCCACCCACTTCCCTCCTGCCACTCCCCTACCCTGGGCATCCTGTCCACTGTGGGGCATTAAGGACTCTGAGGTGTGGCCCTGTCCAACTGTAGATCAAACTGTGTTGGCTAATAATGCTTCCTTCTAATTAAACTCTCACGCCTGCAACAGTAAGCTTGCAAGTGGGAACCCATGGCTCCCAGGATGTGTGTGTCCTCACATGCCAGGGAGGGAACTACGCCAACTGAAGGAATCAGGACCTCCCTGCCAAGGGCAGCTCTTAACCCAAAGGTCACACACACACTTGGATATCCCTCCCCCAGTGGACAGCCCATGGCCCACACTCTCTGGGAACCACAACCACCACCCAAGCACCTCCGCTTTGGATGTAATGAGGAGTGGAGGCAGCATAAAGAGGCCTCTGCAAAAACACAAAATGGCACATGTGCAAGGCCATTCACTACAGCAATATTCAAAAGAGTGAAAGATGGGAAACACCTAGTGCCCCTCAGTAGGCATCTAACTGAATCAACCATGAATGTCATACAATGGAGGACTCCACAGCTGGTCTGATGGGCAGGAAGGTCTCTACACGCTGCATGCAGGCATCACCAGATACTACTAAGTGCAATAAATAACAACCACTGCAGAACAATGTTCACAGCATGTCAGCACTGCATGGGAAAGGGGGGCCTGGATATTATCTGAACATGTGTGTGTGTTTCTTATATTTTAAAAAAATGAAAATAGAAGAATAAATAACAAATAAATAAAAGTGGTTTTCTTTGGGGGAAAGAAATAACTAGATGAGGAGACATAGTGCAAAGATACCTACATTGACAACTTTGTCTTTGAAACTATGCAAACGTTTTATATAATTAAAAGATGAAACCAAACAAAAAGAGAAATAAAACAATCTCTAAAACTAGAAAACAAACACAAACAAATAAATCTAATTTTATATCAGATTGTTGGCATGACCACACAGAGAATATAATAATTTCAAGTGACTTTGACTCCACATCCAAGATAGAATACATTCTAGGAACAACAACAAGAAAACCAAAGATATCAAATTGCACTCACTAATCTTATTAGTAGTAATAATAATTAAAAAACCAAAAATATGAAATTGCACTCTGTAGTTTTATTAGCAATAACACTGATTATAAGACAGTGTGCAGAAAAGTATTTATAATATTTTTAACTTCCATATAGGGAAGGGATAAGGAAATTATTATAAATATATGATAGGTTAAAGAAAATAAGTCATTTTGTTAATATCATAAGGAGCCCTGGTTTCAAGTGTAAGAGAAAAGAGAATACAAAGAATTAAAGAAGTAAAAATGTTGTTTTATTAAACTTGAATTGGAAATATCAGCAAATTAATGGTTAATTTTTCTCTTGAAAAATAAACCATTTCCTAGCTATATCCACTGGAAAGGTTTAGAATCAGTGACAGCCAATTAGTAATCATCGCCCCTGGCAGCTGGACTGAGGTCTTTAAAAGCCATTTCACACCACAAGGAGGGAGCCAGGGTCCTGTCAAGAAAGTGCTGATTCCAGGTCAGGGGAAGAAAATATACCAAATAAACCTGAGATTTCTCATTGGACAAGAAAGTAAGGAAGCCATCAAAGATGAATGGGGTCATGTCAAAAGACGGAGCGAATTTCAAGTGACTCTCAACAGCCTAAGATGGAACAACTTGAGCATTAAAATGAATAAAGACTGTCATGGATTAAAGCAAATCAAATATATAAAAAGTAATGCATTCCCAATGATATTTGGAAAAAAAAAGAAAAAAACAAAACCCACTGGCCACTGTCAGGAGTTGCTAGGGGGCCACGTCATTACTCTGAGGGTGGATCAATAAAAGGAGAGCCAAGCATGATCCTGACTTTACAAATTGTATTTCGGAGCAACCAAGCAATTGATGAAGGAAAGTTCTTCATCAAAGAATTTCAGTTAGCAAGTGTACAGTGAATGATAGAATTAGAAAAACCACCACTTTGTGACAAAATAACAGATCATCACCAGGTGTTAAAACTGTCAGGTGAAGGTTGGTGGAGGGACGACAGTGACACACCCTGAACCCACTGCTCAGAAAGCAGGTGACTCATCATGGGATGTGACAACAACCAGCACCTGCTTGAACCTGACAGAATCTGGATCCATCGAATGATGTACCGGGAATTGGGAGAATATAGGAAAGAGTTGAGTCACACCAAGAGAAAGCAAAGCCAGAATATGGGACATTCTGCAGGACACATGGCCCTGCTCTTCCTTCAGATCAATGACGTGAAACAAAGGGAGAGGGCAAAAGGAAATCGTTATAGATTAACAGACTTAAGAAGCACAACCGCACAGACACAGACACGATAAATGGGCGTCACTTTATTCAACCCACAGGGTCCCATGTGGTTTGCTCGCACTAATGTGCCTTAGTAAATGGAGCTGTTTTCCCCACAGTGATGGATGAGAAGTTGCCGCAGACTCTCCCACAGGCCAAGCAGTACTTGCCTCTTCCTCTGTGCTGCTCTCTAAAAATGTCATTTGCACTTCCCAGGCCTCATCATGCTCCATTCCCAATCTTCCTTGCCTAGCATCAAAACCAGCAAACTGTTACCAGTCACTGAGGGCCAGCTCCCTGCAAGGTGCTGGGAATATCAAGATAAAAAGCACACCGTCTCCACTTTCCATGGGCTCCTGTGACAGGGAGGACATCAGCAAGCGGACAGGACAATTCATCCCAGCTTGCCCCTCTGGCTGGGCTCCTGTCTGTGGTTGGAGGGGCCACTCCCAGGCCTGTCTCTCCAACACCAGAACTGTGTGCTCCAGTCAAGAGACAGGGGTGGATGGGGGTGGGTGTTAGAGTTTCCCTGGGGCTTGCAAAGTGATGACATTGAATAATTAGTAATATTATCGCGATAACATCTCGTTCCCCAAGAGTTCAGAGAACCGCCTAAAAAAAATGCATGCACGCCGGGCGCCGTGGATCACGCCTGTAATCCCAGCACTTTGGGAGGCCGAGGCGGGCGGATCGCGAGGTCAGGAAATCGAGACCATCCTGGCTAACACGGTGAAATCCCGTCTCTGCTGAAAATACAAAAAAAATTTAGCCAGGCGTGGTGGCGGGTGCCTGTAGTCCCAGCTACTCGGGAGGCTGAGGCAGGAGGATGGCGTGAACCCGGGAGGCGCAGCTTGCAGTGAGCCAAGATCGCGCCACCGCACTCCAGCCTGGGCGACAGAGCGAGACTCCGTCTCAAAAAAAAAAAAAAAATGCATGCACAGTATATCCCTTCCACACTTCACATGGTGCAATGTGAGTCTATTACATTCCCTGCTAGCACCAAAAACAATCAAAACCTAAATCAAACCCAAAACTGAAAAAAAAAAAAAAAAAAGGTTCCAATCTTTCCTTTCCAGTCATCTGGTGCCACCAAGTGGCCAGCAAAATTTCTACTCCTTTAAAAAACAGGCAAGGAGGCTGGGGAGGGGCGAGAGCAAGAGAGGGGACAGGACACCACTATTGGGATGCTCAAGCCTGGGACCCATCTCAGCGTGGTCTGTACCCCAAACCTGAGGGATATTATGTTCTCTGAAGAGTTCTATCCTTAAAGGGCCAGCGTTGTCTTAAAAAAAAAAAGGTAAAAGCTAGCATAGCAACAAATCTGTTTCGTTTCCTCTTAGTCACAGGAATAACTGCTAGAATAACTGCAGCATATGTACTGTAACTATATTTTAATGAAACACAAGTTACAAAAATAAGGATTTCTTTACTAGACCTCCCCAGTTTTTTGTGCTTATTGGGTCTGTTCTTTATGATATTTTTGGATGATTTTTTTTCTAAGATAGCAAGGAGCGCCCCCTCCCCACCCCCATCAAGTGAAAATATTCTGATTAGATTACTTAACGTTCAACTTTAGAGAAATGCATTTTTCTAATATAGCATCTAGGTCCTCAAAAGAGTTTTAAGTCAAGTTAAACCAGGGCCCCTATCCTGATCCTGTCACTTTCAGCTGTAGGATGTTGGGCAAGTTCTAAATTTTATCTAGGGCTTATTTTGTCCGTTTATAAAATGGCATATAGTACCTCCTCTCCCACAGTTATTGTGGACTTAAACACACACAGCATTCTCCATCCCTAGGTTTGAAAAGACAGAAAACACAACTTCTATGGAAGAACCTCTAATGGAATTACCCAGGAGGAAAGGGGGCTCAGAAATCCAGCAAGTTACCAGGATAATGAAATCATGTATTTAGGTGCTCCTGGCCCGAGGGATGTAAAATGCAACTTACTCCAGCTCATCCTCGGAGTCGTAGCCCACTGGCCCGGATTCGATGGCAATGACCTCATTCCTCGTCTGACTTTGTTTCCAGGTGCTACTTCCTGTGGACGACGGCGATTCTTTTCTCTTCTTCTTCCCAAAAAACTTCTTAAAAGTTTTGAATTTAGATTTTTTCTTTCCTATACAGATTAGAGAAAAAAATAATAAATAAGACTGTTACAGTGTGTGTTTATGTGCATGTATGCAACAGGCACGTAAAAGAGAGAAAGCAAGATTTCCATCCATGCATCAGTTATCTGCTTCTGAAAAGTCCTTTTACTTCGCAAAAGTACATGGTATACCAGTTTTGCATACCTGAAAACACATCTTGTTTCTTTTTATTTAGGATATTTAAATAAAAGACACAAGAACACTTTGGAAGATGATCACAGAATCAAAATTAGCAACTTTCCTCTCATGTATAATCAAGTTTTGATTTCTAAAATATATTTGAGGCTGCAGTGAGCTATGATTGCACCGCTACACTCCAGCCTTAGTGACAGAGCAAGACCCTCTCTCAAAAAAAATAAAATAAAATAAAAATTATGAATTGCTTTGTCTAGTGTGAATACAGCATCAAGGACAATCAGAGGAGGCCCAACCTCATGGGCAAGAAGGTGGGTCTGTGGGGCACCAACTGCATGATGAGCTAATGACTTTTGGTGAGAAAAACAATGAGACTGGTCATCCCTGCAGGGGAGGGGTGTGGCCAGGCTGAGCCCAACTCTGCCATGCTTCCTGGATTATTAGAATTCACCACACTTTTCAACATTTTGTGATTGCTCCTCTGGTGACAGCTTCATTCTCTCCCATGAATTCTATCATACCCAGGTTTCCATGATTTCACATTAGTTGCTCAGCAAAGTTCATTCCTTTCCCGGAATAGTTACAGAACTGACAGTGGAGGGATGCAGCATCGTAGACTACCAGGATGCTGTCTAATACATCCTGAAAATTTGCACAATTTATTACTTTTTATAATAATTTAATAAACTGAATTCCTTAAAAAACCCAGGATCTTTCTGTTGTGTTTATATTATTGCCTCCTTGGGAAGCTTACATGGTCTTACTCTCATGGGGAGAATTACTTAGGATTACTTTAGTAGGAGTTCCTACATCATTACAGGTAGAACAAATCCCTCTCCAAGGATAAGTCAGTTCTACAGCACCTTCTAGTTTTCTCACCTTCTAGTGTGGAAGTGTTCTCAACTTTATAATCGTAAAAAATGTTTATGTTGTTAGTAGATGGTTCTCAATGAGCATTTATGATTTTGAAAGATTCTTAAGAGTTTTCTGCATTTGGTCAGGACACCCTGTGGCTTTTGCCTAGTCAACAAATTGGTATGCATCCTCGAAGGCCTGAATAGATACACAGCCTCAATATCATGACCATCAAAAATGCTGCTTACAGCATTAATGGTCTCCTCAAGTGTAACTGGCAGAGCTCAAGCATAACTGCTGTACACCTTTGTTCCACTGGCAGGGCTTAGCCATCCATTTGTTCAAACTATATTTCTTCTCCTACTAGGCTTTGTAATTCGATTTCTTTAATGGTGACAGGACTAGTCCATTTTTCTACTTCCTGAATCTGTTTTTTTAAGTAACATTTTTCTGAAAATGTATTTTTTCCAAATTTTCAAATGTATTGGCAAAAAATTATTAATAATATCTTTTTATCTTTCAAGCATTCACAACATCTATAGTGATTGATGCCTCTTTTCTCACCCTGATATTAATTATCATAAATGTGCCTCTTCTTTGTTCCTTGATCAATTGCACCACAGGCTTATCAATTTTAATTGCCTTAAAAAAGTTTTGCTTTGTTAATTCTTTCAGTTGAATGTTTATTTCATATTGTATTAATTTCTGTTCTTATCTTTATTCTTTCCTTCCTACTTTCTGCAGGTTTACTTTGCTATTTTCTTAAACTTCTTGAGATAAACATTTGGTTTATTACTTTTTAGACTTTCCTGTTTTTATAATATAATATTTAAGGCAATGCATTTCCCTCTAAGTCTGTTTTAGCTGCATCTACGTGTTTTAAAATGCAGTATTTTCATTATTGTTTGGTCAAAAATATTTTCTAACTTCTATTATGATACCTTCTTAGACTTACGGGTTATTTAGGAAAGTACGTCTTCTTCATTTCCAAGCAGTTGAGGATTTTCTATCTGTTATTGATTTCTAGCTTAATTGCACTGTGGTCCAATAACATACTCTGAATGATTTGAACCCATTCAAATCTGTTGATACTTGCTTTATGGCTTACCATATGAACAATTTTTAAAAATGTTCCTGGTGTGCTTGAAAATAATGCATTTTCTTCAGTGTTCTACATATGTCAATTAGAACAAAATCTTTTTTTTAAATTGTGTTGTCCAAGTATTTTATATCTTTACCGATTTTTAAAGCGTTTGTTTTATCAATTACTGAGAGAGATGTGTTAAAAATAACCCCACTCTGCTTATAGATTTTCTTATTTATCTTTAGTTGTCAATTTCCACTTTACAACTTTATTTGTTGGGGAGGTTGCTTTCCTGCAAAAACCGGAAAGCCTTCTAGACAAATTCTAAAAGAGCTGTAATACAACTTTCTATAATATGTTAATGCATAGAAATGTAAAATTATTATCTTGCTGGGGAAATGAACATTTTGTGAAATGGCCCTTTTTATGTTTAGTTATGTTTTTTGCCTTACATTTCATTTTGACTGCTATTAGTACAGGTCGATCAGACCAAATCTGAAAATCTGAAATGCTGCAAAATCTGAAACTTTTTGAGCTCCCACCTGATGCTTAAAGGAAATGCTCACTGGAGCATTTCAGACTTTGGATTTTCAAATTTGAGACCCTCAACTGGTAAGCATAATGCAAGTATTCCAAAATCTGAAAAAATCTGAAATCTGAAACACTCCTGATCCCAGCATTTTGGATAAGGGATACTCAATCTGTGTAGCTACACCATCTTCCCTTTACCCAGTGTTCACAAAGTATAGGCTTCTGTATCCTATTACTATCCTTACTTTTCTGAACCTTTATAGTTAAGATTCATATATTTAGAGTTTTGGTATCTAATCTAATAATCTTTAACTCTTAACTGGAACAATTAATGTAATTAATTAATTTAACTAGTCCACTCACACTCACTGTAATTACTGATATATTAATAAAAACAAGTCTATCATCTTATGTGTTTTTTAATTGATCTTTAAAAAAAATTCCATTTATTCCATTGCTAGTTTATAACCCTTACCTTTTGCTTCCTCTTTCAGTGGTTATACTACACATTTGATTACAGGTCAATACAAGGACCTTCGAATACTTTAATTCCATTTTTATGCACTATTGTTTTAATTCTGATTGTTAAAAAAAACCTCGAAGTTATTTCATGTTCACACAGGTGTATCCACTTGCTTATTGTTTTCTTTGCTCTTCATTCCTTCTCATATTCCAGATTGTCCACTAGGAAGATCTTCCTTTGGCCTGAGGGTGCATTTGTGTAGAATCTGTTTTACTGGGGGCTTACTGGGGCCAACCCAGTTTTTGTTTGTCCGAAAATGCTTTCATTTCTCCATCACTCCTGAAATACATTTTTTCCTAGGTATAACGTTCTATTAAGTTGGTGCAAAAGTAATTGCAGCTCTTGCCATGACATTTAATGGCAAAAACAGCAATTACTTTTGTACCAGCGTAATAGTTTGGCAGTTACTTTTCCTAAGGATATTTAGGCTATTATTTCCCTGTTTTGTGGCTTCTATTGTGTTGAGAAGTTAGGCATAAGTTACTTTTTTGCTCCTGTCCAGGTAATCTGTCTCTTTTTCTCAGACTCATTTTAAGATTTTTCATCCTCTTTGGTTTTCTGCAGTTTTACCTCATATGGATTTTCTTTGATTTATCCTTCTTGGGATTCATTGGGTTTCTTAAACCTGTGGGTTGGGTCATCTTTTTGATAAAATCCAGAAAATTCTCAGCCCTTCTCTCCTCCCGAGACTGTGCTCAAATGGGTATTACACCCTTTCACTTACTCTCTATGCCCCTTGTTCCCTTTCCTTTATTTTCCATCTTTTTACCATTCTATGGTACATTTTGCATAATTTCCTGTGATCTATCTTGAGCTGATGTAATCTGTTGTTATAACCACGCATTTTAATAATTACATTTATTTTACATAAATTTAATTTAAAATAAAATTTTAATAATTACATTTATTTTAAATGAACTTATTTAAAATAAAATTTTAATTATTACATTTATTTCTAAAAATTCCTTTGTTTTTCAAATCCGCTATACCTTGTAAAAAAAACTTATTTTTTAAATTACACACGGTAAAATTCATTCTTTTTGGTGTACATAGAGTTGTATAATTATCACCACAATCAAGATACAGGACTGTCCTCATGCTGCCCTTTTGTAGTCCAACATTCCCCGCTACCTTTAACCCCTGGCAACCACTTATAACTTCTCTGTTCCTATAATTTTGCCTTTTCTAGAATGTCATGTAGATTAAGTCACACAGTATGTCCCCTTTTCATTCCAGCTTCTTTCACTCAGCACAATGCATTAGAGGCTCACTCATGTTATACCAGATCAATAGCCTATTCCTTTTTATTGCTGAGTAGAACTCCATTGTGTGGATATACCAGTTTGTTGAACCATTTCAACCTGCTGAAAGACATCTGGGTTCTTTTCAGTTTTTAGCAATTATAAATAAGTTGCTATAGTTTGTGTGTGTGTGTGTGTGTGTGTGTGTGTGTGTGTGTAAACATAAGTTTTCACTGCCCAGTAAATACCTAGGAGTTGGATTGCTGAGTCATAGGCTAAGTGTATGTTTAACTTCACAAGGAGCTGCCAAAATGTTTTTCCAAAGTGGCTGTGCCATTTTGCATTCCTCCCTTCAATGCATCCTTATCAGCTCCTGTTGTTATGGTGGTTTTCTCCAGACGTTTAATACGTGTGTCCTGGTATCTCATTGCAGTTTTACTCTGCATTACCTAATGATTATAGATATTGAGCATTTCTTCATATGCTTCTTTGCCATTTTGTACATCTTCTTAGGTAAAGCATGATTTAAAATTTGCTCCCCATTTTGTAACTGAGTTATTTGTTTTCTTATTTTTGAATTTTGAGAGTTCTAAATATATGCTGGATGTAAGTCCTATATCAAGTGTGATTTATAAATATTTTCTTCTAGTCTGTGACTTGTCTTTTCATTTTCTTAAAAGTGTCTTTCACAGACCATATTTTAAAGTTTTGATGAAGTCCAATTTATACATTTTTTCCTTTTATGGATTCAGGTATTATATCTAAGAACCCTTGCCTAATCCTTGGTCATAACTATCTTCTGCTATGCTTTCTTTTAAAGGCGTTAGAGTTTTACATTTAGGTTTATGACACATTTTGAGTTAATTTTTGTATAATCTGTGAGGTATATTTGCATATGAATGTCCAATTGTTACAGCACCATTTGTTGGAATATTATCTTTTATCCAATGAATTGATTTTGCAATTTTGTCAAAATTAATTAACCATATTTGTATGGGTCTGTTTTTGAACTCTACTCCCTTCTGTCTCTGTGTATCTATCCTTTTGCCAATACCATACTGTCTTGATTACTGCAGCTTTATAGTAAGTCTTAAAAACAGGTAGTATGAAGCTTTCAACTTTATGTTTTTTCAAAATTGTTTTACCTATTCTAGTTCTTTGCTTCTTCACATACATTTTCAAGTCAGCTTGCCAATATCTGCAAAAAGTTTTGCTGGGATTTTGATTGCTTCATCTTTACCCCTCCTCCTCCCTGTTTCTGATGGGTTATTTCAAAAAAAATCATCCCAGGCACTATTATTATTTCACCTCTATGGACTTGGCTTTTTCCTAAATGAAAAAAATCTCTGACTCCTCATGGAAATCAAATTAAATTATTACTTGTCAGTATTCTTGCTACAGAATATTGAGCTAACTGTATGTCTGTCTTCCATAACTGACTTTTAAAGAGTGCACTGCAATCTCGGTATATTTGTGTAACAGTTCTAAGTGCTTTTTTGTATATGTTGTATAAACATGTCATCTATAAATAGAGATAGTTTTATTTCTTTCTTCCACCTCTCTGCCTTTTATTCCTTTCTCTGGCTTTATTGCACTGGCTGGGTGCTATGCCACTTTTCCCTGGATGTTTTAAAACTTTTTTATTATCTTCAAACATAGTATGCATAGTTGTTTTATAGGATGTATTTGGTAATTCTGATATTGATGCCTTCATGTGTCTGTTTCTCTTGTCTGCCTTCATGTGTGCATGGTGTTCTCCTTGTGTGCATATCTGTGGCCATAGTTCCCCTTTTCATAAGGACACCCATCATATTGGAGTAGGAGCCCACCCTATTCCAATATGATCTCATCTTAACAAATATGAGCCCACACTACTCCAATATGATCTCATCTTAACAAATTACATCTGCAATAACCCAGTCTTCAAGTAAAGCCACATTTGGAGATACTGGAGACTTCGACATATGGATTTGGTGGGAGCACCATTCAACATACAGCATGTTGGTTCTCATTCATAGTATCCTGTTGCCTTAGATGCCTGGTTATTACTGACTATATGCTTGTCATGATACTGAAAATATATTTTCTGTGATAATTTGAAGTCTAAATAGAAGGCACCTTCCTTTAGTGAATGTTATTTGCTTCTGAAAAGTACCTGGGTTTGCATCCAGTCTAGAAGCAATATTAATCAAGTTCAAGGGTTGAGGTTCTCTGAATTACCCAAATGATGCAAACTCAAGCTACAAATCTACAAAAGGGTTGGTTTACCCCTAGTTCACACCTACTCAGATTTGGTAGCTCCTTGGCTCCCCTTTATTGTAGAGAGTGTCTTCTATTAGACAGCCTACATTATACAGGCCTTGTCGTTTGATATTTGACCCTTGCTCTCACCTTCCACCCCATGAAGACATGAAAATTTCCAAGACTGGTAAATGATCTAAGGGCAAAGTGGCTTTTATACTCTGTTGTCTCTCCAGGTTGCCATTTTCCTTTTCTTTTCTTTCTTCTTCTTCTTTTTTTTTTTTTTGGAGGCAGGGTCTTGCTTGTTGCCCAGGCTGGAGTGCAGTGGCATAATCATGGCCCACTGTAGCATTAACCTCCTAGGCTCACACAATCCTCCCACCTCTGCCTCCCAAGTAGATGGGACTACAGGTGTGTGCCACCATGTCCAGCCAATTTTTAAATTTTTTTGTAGAGACAGAGTCTCACTATGCCCAAGCTGGTCTTGAACTCCTGGGCTCAAGCAATCCTCCCACCTCGGCCTCTCAGAGTGCTGGGATTACAGGTGGAAGCCGCTGTGCCTGGCCCATTTTCCTTTCAATTCTGGCCTTATTATTTCTTACTTTGAAAAATATTTTAAAGAATATTCTTATCTAGAATTTTAAATTTTAAGTGGAAGAGGGTTGGTCTGAATAACTTAAGATCACTATTTGAAAAAAAGAAAACTTAGTCCCTTTTCTTCAGTAACCTCTGTATGTATTCAGAACTAGCACTTATTGAGGTCATTTCAGGCTGATGAAATATTTATTCAAACATTTATTGTTTACAATAAGTAATAATTCAGTGTCCCATAATATGAGAAAATGTGAAACTCAATTTTTTTTCAGGGCTCATCTAAAAACCCTCACCTTATATTTGGATTTATTTGGTATCCATTGAAATGTGACAGAGGAAAAATGGTTCTAATATGAAATAATAAGAAAAAATCTATCTTTAATATCTGAAATGGAGTATTTGCTGAAATTAGTATCTGAAGCTAGTGGCTAGCAGCTAGGATTTAATATTATTGGGAGCTGTTTCTCCTGAACTATATCAAAGAAAATCACTACTGGCATTTTCAGTGTAAATAAGAGAGAGATGGAGGCCTTGGTCACCAAAATAAAGGGAGTATATGAATGGCAAATCTAGAGAAAAGGTACATTGTGGGGAGATTAATTTTTTAATGTCAATTTTACAACTCTATCAGGACATAAATAGCAATATTTGGATAACAGTAAACCAATGACATAATTGGAGAACTCTTAGAAAGTCTTATGAGATGGTGATTCATGGGCCTAGAACTCAGCTCAGCAGACAACATACTAAAGATCTCCTTCAGAACAAAAGTCATGAAGGAGAGGGATCAAAGGCTCTCTCCTGATGTAATTATTTTTTTACAGATGATCAGGCTATCAGGTACTTTGCTCAGCTTCCTACTGATGCCTTTGGATATTCTTAGATGGTGAATGAATCCATTTAGTACCTCTTCCTTTGCATTCAAGTCAGCCAAACATGGGGACATGCTTACCTCCAGAAAGGAGGAAAATGAGCTGAAAGGTCCCCGTGCTTGACACAGAAGCAGAGGAAATCTGCCCCGAGCAGCCTTAAATAATGTGCATGTGCCCCCAGTCACAGCGTGAAGGGCCTGGGGGTATCTGAGCACACTGGGAACTAAATCCCCACTTTTCATACAGAAAGCCCCAAAGGCCTGCCTCTGTCAGTCCCTCTCCCTGCCCCACAACAAAGCAAGTGCCCTCCCCAGAGCAGGGGAAGCAGGGCCTTACCTGTGCTGTCCTCCCCAAGGCCTTCTGCAGCCTCCCGAAGCTTAATGTCCATCACCCTTGTGGAAATCATGTCAAGCTCGCTGAAATTATATGGAAATTCACGTTAAAGAAACATGGTTAGCAGAAGTTACCAATGAGTGAAATGGTGTTCGTGACTGCATTTGCCATGATCTGGCCTGCACACACCCCAGCAAAGACAGTCCAGGGCAGAGTGCAGCACAGTACAGGCCAAAACCATATCCACAGCCACAAGATCAGTAACCGCATAAGCGTTTAATCACTGACTGGGGCAATTTAATGGAAAACAGATCACTGAAACAAATGCTTCACTAATTTACACACTGCAGATTAGGTTTCTTTCAAAAAAGCTTTTCTCAAATTATAAGAAATGATTTTTTTCTCTTGTTTACTACAGGAAGTTTGGAAAATAGAATGAAAATCACCCATAATCCAACCAACCAAGGATAACCACAGTTAATGTTTTCATTTCCTTCCAATAATTTTTTACGCAAATATTTTATCCACATGCACACATATCATATTAGGAAGCTTGACTTCCTGATTTTCTTACTTACACCACATCATTAAAATTATTCACGTGTTATTTTAATGGCTACCTAATATTTTGATATACTACTGTACCATTATTTATTTACATTGAAATTCTTTTTTGAATGCAATGAAAAATGTCAAACAGATACAAAAATATGAACAACATATAATGAACTCAAGGTATGGCTAATCTTGCTTCATCTTTACCCCCACACCCCATCCCACTCCTATGAGGTGATTTCTAAGCAAATCATCCCAGACATGATGATCATTTAATCCATATAAATTCAGCTGCTTCCTGAATAAAAAAATCCCTCACTCTTCATGGAAACCAAATGCATGATCACAGGTCAATATTCCTGCTACAGAATACTGAGCTAGTGGTGTCCATGCCTTCCATAACTGACTGTTACAGTATGCTCTACCTCCATATACTATCACACCATTTATTTAGAAAGCTATTTCTTACTGTTAGGTATGACGAATCCTCACACTTAAAAAGGGGGGCTTGAATATTTAACCAATTCACGTTTACCACTTGTACACAGCACAGAATGGGAAATGATGGGAGAAATGCAAAGAAAACACAAACAGAGAAAAGGATTTGCGGGTGTGTGCCCGAGTTGGCTCTAATATTTCGATTTCTTCTAATGTTCATCCTCCCTACCAGCCAATCCCTCAAAAGCTGAACAAAGTTTCACCAGCTCCAGCTCTCAATGTTCATACAATTTGGCTTCAAAAAAATGTCCGGTCTTGTGTCGGCTCTGCCAAAAACTCTTGGAACCTCACCAGATTTGACTCATGATCATGCTATCATTATCTATAAAATGAGGGTTGGACAGAAACAGTATTTTTCAAATCCTTTACCACTGTTTTAGGCTTCAAAGGACATCCTTGCTTTCATCATCTGTGTTCACATTCAAAGCAACAGACAATGCTATCAAACAGCAGAATGATAGTAGTTCTAGGCTGATGGCCCAACCCAAAGGCCCAGGTGTTCCAAAGGTCACCCCCTCAATCCCCCCTGCAATATGTTAGTCAGTCAGCAACCCCCTCATCCCCAAGAGTCCTTTAGAGGTGGTAGCTGCCGGGGATTCAATGGAAGAGGCAATGGAGAAGGAAAACATACGGTGTAAGGGGAAGAGTGAAGATGGTGAGGGTGGCCTAGGAGTCACCATCTGTTCCCCTCAGTGCCATCTCCTGAGGCTGCCACTGAGCTCTAGCTCAGTGCAAGAGTTTTCCATTGCCTGAATTTGGAGTTAACCATGGCAACTGCAAATTACTTATCAAGCATGCAGCTATCACCTGAATTATCTCATTTAATCCCCAAGAACTTTTAATATTCCCATTTTGGAGATGAGAACATTTTTAGCTCACTGCATCCTCAACCTCCTGGGCTCAAGAGATCCTCCCACCTCAGCCCCCCCACAAATAGCTGGGAACACAGGCCCACGCCACCACACTTGGCTAATTTTTTGTATTTTTTGTAGAAACGGGGTTTCGCCATGTTGGCCAGGCTGGTCTTGAACTCTTGAGCTCAAGCAATCTGCTTGCCTTGGCCTCCCAAAGTGCTTGGGATTACAGGTGTAAGCCACTGCACCCAGCAGAGAACATTTCTGATATTAAGCGGTTTATTAACTTGCCTAAGGTAGCAGAGCAGATATGGCGTCTACACTCACACTGACTGCATACCCAGCATGGGCAGGTGCTTCTGAGGCACTGGGATACAGTGACAGATGAGACCCACGTGGTTCCCACCTCTTGCAGGTGCTGACCCAGTGAAGGGCAGAGCCCTGAGCTGTCCCCAGTGGGGCTCAAGAGAAGCTGGAGAATCCAAAGGACAGGATCTCCCACTGAAATGGCTCTGCCTGCCAAGAAGCCTTACCCAGGGTCAGGCCAGAACTCAGAGGCTGGAGGAGCCCCGAGAGATCATGCACTGGGTCTGATGGGGTTTCTTCGTCTGGGGAAAGGAACCGGAGGCCACTGTGATGTGTCAGCTAACTGGGAAAGGATTAACACTCTGGAGAAACCATGATGTTACGCAACACATCAAGGTCATGTGGACACCTTGCAAATGAAAAGTGTCCTTGTTGGGAAGAACAAGGTGAGTGCCAGAGGTGTGTGTGAGAATGTGTATGAGCCCTGTGGGTGGGTGTGCAGAGGGGCACCCCCTCCTGCCAAGCCCGGATCAGTCCAGAGGCTCAGGCTTGCTTCTCCCTGGGTTGAAGGACATGGTTGTGAGAAAGCTGCACGGGGCAGAGGGTTCAGATGCAGATGTAGGCGGAGGGCCGGGGAGGGGGGAGCATGGGAGGGGATGCAGACTCACCTGTGTAGGTCCTTCCACCCTACTCTCAGCCAGAAGATGCAGACAGCACCCCCAGACCACCAAGACCACCAAGACCACCAGTGGACTCACACAAGGAGGCAAAGGTTGCCCACCGACAAAGGGACAACAAATGGATCTCATGTCACATGGAAGGTTTCAGAACCTACTCATGTTTTATGTCCCAAGCATCTTCATACAGATAAGAGCATAACATGGGGTGGAGGAAGGTGGCAAAAACTTGAATGTTAGGCAGTCCCGGGGTGGCATCTTCACCCTACCACCTACCAGTGCCAGGCCTCAGTATCCTCATAGGCAAAAGGAGGATAATAATACTATAATCAAATGAAACCAGGACATGGCATGCAGCAAGCACAAGCTGAGCCCTGCTGTCGGTTTCTGCAGCCCACTCCTCACCACCACGTGATACTGTTTATGGACAAAGGCTCCCAGAGCACACATGCCCGGCATGCCCTGGCAGCAGGTAAGCGCCAGTCTTCCAAGCAAATGGCTCACTTCAAAGTCACCATTGTCAGTCACAGGACAAACACCTGGCTTTCCAGCTGACCCCTGTGCTTCCTGATCCCCACCGCCCAATGGGCTCAAACCACTGCCAGGTAAGTGATGAAAACACGTTCAGGGTCACAGAGGAATGTCTGTCCGGAGTCCGCAGGCTGCAAAGGTGGAGAACTGTTTCCTTCATGTGGACATTCCAGGTGGAAACACCCCACAGCTGTGACAATGGAACATCATCTCTGTTGGGCCAAGTAACTCGCCTTTCTGAATATGCGTTCCCCAAGCCGCAGTAAAGTTCAAGGAAACGCCAGATGTAAAACCGTAATTAGAAAGGCAATGTGGCAAATACCCAATACCTCCCAGACCTCCTTTTGCTCCTCACACGAAGACAGTGCTTCTCACTGGAGCTCCAAGGTCAAGTCAGGCCACCTCAGTGTCCCCTCAACCAGCATCTGCCTTCCACCCTTCCACTCCTGGAGTTCTGAGAGCTCCAAGTCCAAGTTAAAGAAAACTTACTCTTTAAGCTAAATCTGGACCGCCAGGGCCTCTTCAGGGCTTCTAATGAACTTACCAGAGGGCTGAGCCTCCAGGCCCTGCTGCGGGGCACAGCACTTTGTCAGTGTGTATCTGGGCACCCACAGAATCCAAGGGAGTCCTGCATCTAAAAAGACCCCTTAATGTGGGGGCCGCCCCACTCCCTCTCCCTCCACCCTAACTGACCACAGCCTCCTTCCCAGCTTATAGCAGAGTTCTATCATTAGTCTCAGCTTCTATAGAAATATTTCTACAAAAGTTAATCCACATAAAGAATGAGAACAGATTTTAATATGGCATTTTAAAGGTTTCAATCCATTATATTTACCTACACAATGCAAAGAAAAATATCTGTACCCTGACTCCATACATCTGAGCACATAATTATGTATGAAAGCTTTAGTGTTCACCCTACAGATTCCCTAATCCCACACCACTCTCCAGGCTGTTTGGACCCCTGTGGATTCTTTCTTAGCTCCCGGTACCGTTCTTTCACATTGCTCACCAAGGTTGTCATCAATAACTTGTTTGGGAGGTGTCTGCTGAACATCCCTTCCTCCCAAGGCTGTGGGTTTTGAGGGGTGAGTGCTATGCCTATTATATTCACTGCTCTTTTACCAGTACCCAGGACAGTGCCCGACCAGAGAACTGAACAGATCACACCAAACAAGAGAACTGACAAACTAGAGGGGCTTCTGGGTATTAGAATCCTTTCAGATCTTTGAATATCAATTCATTTAACCTCAGAGAGCTGTAGAGAGACCCAGAAAGAGTGACTCTTGGTTCACCTTTCCCTTATCAGTTTGAAGAGGTGATTTAATCTACCTGAGGTCAGCGTTAGGGAAGACAGGGAAAACACCCACCTTTATTCAATCTTTACACCTCCCTTTCCAACAGTGCTTTCCCTCACTTTCTTCCCATAGCAGGGTTCTGCCATCTACCCTGCATCACCTTCTCCAGGGTCTCTGTACCCACCAACTTTCAGGTCAGTATCAGCAGTGATGCCCTCTCAGAGCTAAGTATTTTAAATAGAAAACTCCAATGAAAGAAAATAAGTGCCAACATAGATTCTAAACTCCAGAAAAATATCCTTCAAATTTAAAGGTAGGTTAGACTTCCAAGTGGTAGAGTAGCCTACACCACAGTAAAACTTTCCACTGATGATAAGTATAAACTGTGGAGAAAAGATGAAAAACAATCATTTGAAGGCAGTTATGAGCAATTGAAAGCAGAAATTAAAGTGGAATCAACTCTTCTTTTCTTTTTTATTATTTTTTAGTTTTTTATTTTTGGAATCAACACTTAAAAAAAGGGAATTGCAGTAGGAGTGATTTATGTGTGTAGGGCTTTTGACCTGGAAAAGCTCTCAGGTATGTGTGTTGTGGAGTGGCTGGAGCTCAAATACAAAGCCATAATCTTATGGGCTTGATGAATCCAAGAATGGAATTTAGGGCTGCCAGAGCAGATGGAAACTGAGGGAGAATATCTTAGGAAGGAAAAAACTTCAGAGAGAGGAGCACCAAAATCCACATGTAAACCCTATCCTAATTCTTGGCTCCCCTCCCCTGAATTCTGCACATACTGGGGAGACTCCAAGGAACCAGGCAGAAGATAACAGCTGGGAGGCTGAGGGAAATGAACTAAGATTTTTCTACTGCTCACTGCAGGAGAGACAGAGTTCACAGGTAACAAACAGCCTGCTAGAACAAAATCAATAATCTTCGGGACAGCATAGGTTCCAGAGTTCCTATGAAATATCATTTACAATGTCTACCATATAATCAAAATTTACAAAACATGCAAAGAAATAGGAAAATATGACCCATAGTCATGAGAAAAAAAACACCTAAGAAAGAATAATCCTGAGTGACCAAAATGCTTAAATAGCCAACAAAGACTTTAAAGAAGCTACTTAAAACAAAAATGTAGCCATAATATATAAAAAGATAAAGAATTTCAAATTAGAAACATACAATATAAAGAAGAAACACATGGAAATCATCAAGATGAAAACTGTAATTTCTAAAATAAAATATTTATTAAATGGGCTTAACAGCAGATTGAAGACATCAAAAGAAAGGATCAATCAAATTGAAGAGAGATCAATAGAAATGATCCAATCTGAAGAACAGAGAGAAAAAGACTGGGAAAAAAGTGAATCTGAACACAGCCTCAGTGACCAGTGGTGCAGTATTGATTGGTCTAACATATATTTAATTGAGTCCCAGAAACAGGGAGTGGGGGGAGTGTGAAGAAGCAGGAGAGAGAAAGAGGGAAAAGGAGAGAGAAGAAGGAAGGAGAGGGAAGGGGTGGGTGCGGGAGAGAGAGAGAGAGAGGGAGGAGAGGGGAGGGGAGGGGAGGGGAAGGGAAGGGAAAGGGAAGGGAAGGGGAAAGGGAAGGGGGGGCATTAAAAATATTTGGAGAACTTACGAATAAACATTTCTCCAAAATGGTGGAAAAGATAATGTTACAGATCTAAGAATCTTAGCAAACTCCAAGAAAACCACAACAAGGCACATCATAGACCTCACAGAAGTGTGGAACACAGCATAGTGTACTAAAACCAAAGATGAAGAGGAAATCTTGACAACAGCCAGAGAAAAATGACACATCATAAACAGGCAAACAACAATATAAATGACCAACAATGGATAAGAAAAGCCAACAGAATAGTCTCTTTAAAGTGCTGATAGAAAACAAAGAACAACCCAATATTCTATATCCAGAAAAATTATCCTTCAATAATGAAGGCAAAATATAGACATTTTTAGATAAGTGAAAAGTACTTTCACTTATCTAAAAAGTGATATGTACTACACTTTTCTAAAAAGTGATATGTACTGCAGATATGTACTACAGGAAATGCAAAACAAAAGTTTTTTAGGATGAAAGAAAATTATACCAGATTGAAATTGAAAGCTATAGAAAGAATGAAGCATAATGAATGTGGTAAATATGTGGGTAAATATTAAAAAGTACGTGTTTTTCTTTTCTAAATTTATTTAAATGCATATAACAACTAAAAAAACTATTATGAATTTACAATGTATGTAGATGTAATATGTGACTATAACATAAAGGTAGGAGTTGTATGTATGACTAGACTATCACAAGGTTCTGGCATTTTACGTGAAGTGGTACAAGACTAACTCTAAACAGACAGTCACAATTTCAGAATTAATACTGTGATCCCTAGAGAAAACACTAAAAAATTTAATGCAAAGAAGTTTAGCTAAAACGCTAAAATAAAATTTATAATGGAACACCCAAAAATTCAATTAACCCCAAAAAAGGCAGAACAGAGGAACAAAACAAATAGGAAGAACAGAGGAACAAAAACAAAACCAAGCTGGCGCAGTGGCTCACACCTGTAATACCAGCACTTTGGGAGGCCGAGGTGGGTGGATCACGAGGTCAGGAGTTCGAGACCAGTCTGGCCAACATGGTGAAACCTCATCTCTACTAAAAATACAAAAATTAGCTGGGCGTGGTAGTGGGCACCTGTAGTCCCAGTATTCGGGAGGCTGAGGCGGGAGAAGTGCGTGAACCCGGGAGGCAGAAGTTGCAGTGAGCCAAGATCATGCCATTGCACTCCAGCCTGGTGAGAGAGTGAGACTCTGTCTCAAAAAAAAAAAAAAAAAAAAAGAAAGAAAAGAAAACCAGATGGGATACATTAAAAAGTTGAAAAATGATAAATATTAAATAAAAAATATATAAAGCTTCTAAAAAATCATCAGAACCTATCTACTTGACCTTGAGATAAGCAAAGATGTCTTACAGATGCCTAAAAAAACCATAAAAGAAAAAATTTATAGTTTGCACTTCATCAAAATGAAATACTTCTGCTCATCAAAAGACAATGTTAGAAAAATGAATAGGTAAGTGACTGGTAGAGAGAAAATATTCGTAAAAAATATCTTACAAAAATAAAACCACTTGTATCTAGCATGTATAAAGAATCCCTAGAACCCAATAAATGAAATGCAAACAATCCCCTGCCTTAAACTTGGGCAAATGATTTGAAATATATGCAAATAGCCAATAATGAAACGTCACATGAAAAAGAATATAATTAAGGAAACATCAGACAAACCCAAATGAGAGACATTCTGTAAAATAACTCTCTAGTACTATTAAAAACATGTCAAGGACAGGAGGAAGGCCAAGAAACCATTTCAGAATAGAAGCAATATATGATCCAGGACTGGAGAATGAGGAAGTGCTATAAAAGCCATTACTGGGACAAATGACAAAAGTTACATATGGACTGTGGATTACATAATAACATCACATCAACTTAAAGTTTGCTGATTTTGATCATTGTAACTATGATTATTAAAAAGAATGTTCTTGGCTGGGTGCGGCGGCTCACGCCTGTAATCCCAACACTTTGGGAGCCCAAGGCAGGTGGATCACGAGTTCAAGACCAGCCTGGCCAACATGGTGAAACCCCATCTCTACTAAAAATACAAAAATTAGCTGGGCATGGTGGCGCATTCCTGTAATCCCAGCTACTTGGGAGGCTGAGGCAAGAGAATTGCTTGAACTGGGACTTGGGAGGCAGAAGTTAGGGTGAGCCAAGATCACACCACTGCACTCCAGCCTGGGCTACAGAGCAAGACTCCATCTCAAAAAAAAAAAAAAAAGTTCTTGTTCTTTGGAAGTACATATGTGATTTTCTGAGCTCACTAATAGTCCAAAAAATGTTACAAACATATAGATATATATGTTCTTTATATAAACATACAAAGAAATAAGGATATATCACGAGGCAAAATGTGAAAAATTGGTAAATCTGACTAAAAATTATATGATAAATTCCTTCACTATGTAACTTTTCTGTAAATTTGGTATTATATCAAATAAAAAGTTATACAAAAGTTATCCAAAAAAAAGGGAAGCAGTAATTTCAGAATGGTAGTGTGAAGAATTTGGTGAAAAGTCTGACTCATACACAGGGAAAAAAGCAGGCAATAGAAACTGCCTTTAAGAGGGCACAGGTGTTGAACTCCTCAGACAAAACCTTCAAAGCAGCTATTATAGATATGCTCAAAGAAATAAAGGAAGACATGCTTAAAGAGTTAAAAGAAGGGATGATTACAGCTTATCAAATTGAGATTATTAAAAGAGGTAGAAACTATAAAAATAAACAAACTGAAAATTCTTGAGTTGAAAAGTACAATAAGTGAAATGAGAAAATTCACTGAAGAGGCTCAACAGGAGATTCGAGTTGGCACAATAAAAAAATCAGCAAATTAAAAAATAGATCAATAGAGATTATGCAATTTGAAGGAAAAAAATGAACAGAGACTCAGAAAAATTCAAAACATCATTAACTATACAAATATTCAGAATGGGAGTCCCAAAGGAGAGGACAGAGAAAAATGTAGAAAAATGATTCTCTGAAATAATAGCCAAAAACTTTCTAAATTTGAGGAAAAACAGTAATCTACATATCCAAGTAGCTCAAAAATCTTCAAGTAAGATAAACACAGAGAACTGCTCACAGACACAGAGTGAAAATGTGAAAGCTAAAGATAAGGAGAAAAACTTGAAAGCAGCAAGAGAAAAGAGTTATATAGTTGAAAATCATCATAAAATTTACAGCTAATTTCTTATCAGAAACATTGGAGACCAGAAAGCAGTAGGGTGACATATTCAAAGTACCAAAAGAAAAAAATTTCAACCAAGAATTCTGTATCCAACAAAGCTATATTTCAAAAATGAAGATGAACTAGAGATATTCAAGAAAAACAAAAACTGAGATGATTTCTTGCTAGCAGACCTGTCTTACAATAAATATTAAAGGAAGTTCTTCTGGCCAAAAGCAACACCAAGCAGTAACTTGAATCTACACAAAAAATCAGAGGCATCAATAAAGGTAATTTTGTAGGGAATTATAAAAGACAGTGTAATTGAATATTTCTTCTCATTTTTTTTATAGCTGATTCAAAAAGCAATGGCATAAAATGGTATTAAAATTGCATTGTTGGGACTATAATGTATAGCAATGTAGTATATTTGACAATAACAACAAAAAGGAGGAGGGTAGAAATGAAATTTTGTAAATTTTTAAAACTTCATATTTTCCTGATGCCTCAACGTCCTCACAAACAGGCTGTGAACATCATGCCCAGGCAACCAGGTGTACCAGTGTGAGAAGGATGGTCCCTGCAACAAGTTCCCCTTCTTGTCCCCTGACTATGACCTAGTGACATTCAACATGCAAATGAACCAGTAAGATCTTCTCATGATTCTTTTATTAGGAGTCATGATACCCTGACCCCTAATAAAAGCACTTGCCCAGGGATCCACACTGTTACTTATCTCTCCACCTGCTCTGTTGAGTCTGCTCCCTAGGAGCTCCTCCAATATGATCCCATGCATGGTGTGGCATGCCATGCCTCCTTCTCTAGGACCTGCAAGTATAATAAATCCTTTAATGGCATCTGTCTCTCCAGGTGCAATTTGCATAGTCATGTTGGAATGATCCTTAAACACCCTAAAAGGGGAACTTATTACCCCGTTTACAACACAGCTACATTGGAGTAAGAAAATGACATCAGATGGTAACATGATCCACAGGAAAAAGAAAGAAAAACAAAAATGGTAAGAGGTTGATATATTTTGTACAGACTCTATGAATATATTTTTGTTCTCTCTTCTATTAGTTTCTTTAAAAGACAGAAAATGATATAAAAATATAATTATTGGGCCTATGACAAACATAGATGTAATATGTACAACAATAATAGTACAACAAATAGAGCAGGGAATAAAACTACTAAGGAGTAATGTTTTTATATCTTACTGGAACTAAATTAGTATAAATCTTAAATTGATTCTGATATATTAAGATGTATATTATAAGGCCTAGATCAGCTACTAAAAAATAACAGAAGAAAATAGAATTAAAAATCAATAAGAAATTAAAAGGTATGACTGACAATATACACTTAAAGGGAAGTAGTAAAGAAGTCACAGAAGAACAAAGTACTCTGATATAAATAGAAAACAAAAAGCAAAATGGAATTTGTAGATTTAACCATACCAACGACATTAAATGCAAATGGTTTAAATAATCAATACCAGATAGAACAAATAAGCAGAAAATCAACAGTGATATAAGAGACTTGAACAACCCTATAGAACAACTAGACCAAAGATGTGTGTATGTATGTATGTGTATGTGTATGTGTGTATATATATGCATATCTATCTTATCTCCCTATGGAACATTAACAATGATACCATATGCTCAGCCATAAAACAAAACAAAATATATTTAAAGGAATTTAGTTCATGCAAAATATATTCTCTAACCACAACAGAATCAAATTAGAAATCAAAAACAGAAAGAATTTTGGGAAGTTCATAAATAAGTGGAAATTATGCGATGAACTCCTAAATAACAAATGAGTCAAAGAATAAATTACATGAAAAATTATAAAGTCCTTTGAGATGAATAAAAACAAAACCACAACATACCAAAACATATGTGATGCAGATAAAACACTGCTTGGAGAAAAGCTGTGCTTATAAACACCTACGTAAAAAAGAAGAAAAGGCTGGGTGCAGTGGTGCCTGCCTATAATCCCAACACTGTCTGTAATCCCAACACTGCTGAGGCAGGCGGATCACATGAGGCCAGGAGTTCCAGACCAGTCTGGCCAACATGGTGAAACCCCATCTCCACCAAAAATACAAAAATTAGCTGGGTGTGGTGGCCCATTCCTGTAATCCCAGCTACTTGGGAGGCTGAGGCATGATAATCTCTTGAACCTGGGAGGTGGAAGTTGCAGTAAGCCCAGATCGCACCACTGCACTCCAGCCTGGGTGACAGAGTGAGACTCTGTCAAAAAAAAAAAAAAAAAAAAGAAGAAGAAAAATCTCAAATCGCTATCATAACTTTCCACTATATAAAACTAGAAAAAGAAGGGCAATCTAAACTGAAAACAAACAGAAGAAAGGACAAAATAAATATTGAGCAAAAGGTAATAAAATAGAAAATAGAAAAACATTTTAAATAATCAATGCAACAAAAAGTTGGTTCTTTGAGAAAATCAATAAAATGAACAGACCTATCGCTCTACTAACCAAGAGTAAAAGAGAGAAGATTCAAATTGCTAAAACCAATAATAAGAAGGCATCACTACCAACCTTACAGAAATAAAAAGCATGTATTTTAAGGGAATATTATGTATTACTGTATGCCAAAAAATTAGACAACCTAGATGAAATAGACAAATTCCTAGAAAGACACAAACTACTGAATCTAAGCCAATAATAAAAAGAAAGTTTGAATAGACTTATAATAAGAAAAGAGATTAGTAATTGTAAAACTTTCCACAAAGAAGAATCCAGCTCCAAATGTCTTCATTGGTAAATCCTATCAAACACTTAAAGAATTAACAGAAACCTTTCCCTTCACAAACGCCTCTCAAAAATATAAGAACAGGTGACACTTTCCAGCTCATTGTGAAGCCAGTATTACCCTAATACCAAACCCAAAGACATCACAATAAAAGAAAATTATAGACCAATATCTCTTATGCATATAAACACAAAAATTCTCAACACAATACTAGCAAGCTAAATCCAGTAAGATATAAAAGTGAGTTTTACCTCAGGAATACAGGTTGGTTTAACACATGAAAACTAATTAATGCAAAAGCCATATTAATAAAATAAAGGACAAAAATCACATGATCACTTTAATGGAGGTATAAAAAATAAAGATGCAAAACTCCTCAACAGAATACTGGCAAAAACAACCCAGCAACATATTAAAGAGATTACACAGCATGACCAAGTAGGATTTGTTGAAGAATGCAAGGTTGGTTCAACATACATATGAAAAATCAATGCAATAAACCATATTAATGGAAAACTGACAACTATTACATTATTATCTCAGTAGATACAGAAAAAGCACTTGACAAAATCCAACATCGCTTCATGATACAAACACTCAAACAAACTAGGAATTGACAAACGCTTCCTCAGCATGACAAAGGGCATCTATGAAAAACCTACAGCTTACATCATACTCAGTGGTGAAAGACAGAATGCTTTTCCCCGGAGATAAGAAAAAAGACAAGGACATCTACTGTCACACTGATAATCAACTTTGTACTGGAGATTCTTGACAGGGCAAGCACTTAAGAGAAAGAATAAAAAGCACTGAGATTGAAAGGGAAAAAATTAAATTATTTCTATTTGTAGATGACATGATCATGCACATAGATAATGTTGAGGGATCCATTAAAACACTATTATAACTAAAGTTTGCAAGGTTTCAGGATTTAAGACCAATACAAAAATAAAACCAATTGTATTTCTACATACTAGCAATGAACAATCCACAGACAAAATTAAGAAAACAAACAACTGCATTTAAAATACTATCCAAAAGAACAAAATAGGAGTAAGTTTAACCAAGGAGGTAGAACACTTGTACACTGAAAATAACAACGTTGAAAAAAAATTAAAGAAGACATAAATAGATGGAAAGATATCCTGTGTTCATAAATCAGAAGACAATATTATTAAATGGCAGTATTCCCCAAACTGATTTACAGAATCAATGCAACCTTTATCAAAATCTCAGCTGGATTTTGGGCAGAAAGTAACAAGCTGATCTGAAAATTTATGTGGAAATGCAAGGGACCTTGCAAAGTCAAAATAATCTTGAAAAATAACAAAGATGGAGCATTCACACTTTCCATTTTCAAAACTTACTACAAAGCTACAGTAATCAGGACTGTACTGTACTGGCATATTGGTAGACATATAGTTCAACAGAAATAAACACATACTCTTATGGCCAATTGATTTTCAATGAGGGTGTCAAGACAACTCAATGGAGGGATATCATCTTTTCAACAAACCGGGCTGGAACAAGTAGACATCGACATGCAAAAAATAATGTGTACTCTTACCTCACACTGGTTACATAAAAATTACCCCAAAATGGCTCATAGATCTAAATTGTAAGTGCTAAAACTATAAAGCTCTTAGAGGAAAACAGGAGTAAGCCTGTCATTTTAGGTTAGGCAATAATTACTCAGATGTGACATCAAATGCATCAAAAGAGAAGATAGGTAAGTTTGACTTCAACATTATAAGATTTTAATTCAAAGGACTCTCAAGAAACTGTAAAGACAACAGACTAGGGAAAATACTTGTATATCATCTATCTGATACAGGATTGGTATGCAGAACATGGAAAGAATTCTTATAACTCAATAATAAAAAGATATCCCATTTAAAAACAGACAAAGGATTTGAACATAACTTGCACAAAGAAGGCAAACTTACACAAAGAAGGCATAAAGTAGGCAAATGAATGGCTAATAAGTGCATGAAAAGATGCTCAACCCTCTTAGTCACTAGAAAATTGTAAATAAAAACCATAGTGATGGCTCATGCCTGTAATCCCAGCACTTTGGGAGGCCAAGGCGGGTGGATCACTTGAGGTCAGGAGTAGGAGACCAGTCTGGCCAACATGGTGAAACCCCATCTCTACTAAAAATACAAAAATTAGCTGGGCGTGGTGGTGCATACTTGTAATCCCAGCTACTTGGGAGGCTGAGGAAGGAGAATCGCTTGAACCTGGGAGGTGGAGGTTGCAGTGAGCTGAGATCATGCCACTGCACTCCAGCGTGGGTGACAGAGCAGGTCTCAAAAACAACAACAACAACAACAACAAAACCACAGTGAGTTACTACTTCATACTCACTAGAATGACTATAATAAAAGAGATAGATAATAACAAGCGTTGCAAGGATGTGAGGAAACTGGAGCCTTCATTCATTGCTGGTGGAAATGTAAAATGTAGCAGGTACTTTGGAAAAGCTTGGCAGTGCCTCAAAATGTGAAACGTAAAATTACCATTCAGCCCAGCAATTACATTCCTAGATATCTACCTCAGGGAAATAAAAACATATGTCCATGAAAGATTCTGAGAAAACGTTAGTATAGAAAGCACCAGGAATCTGTTTCCCCACTGTTTCTGCTAGTGCAATTGCACTAGCAGAATCTGTCTGATGTAATTATTTTGAAACTCTGGAGTCAACTGAAGGCTTGCAACTTCCAAGGGAAGGACTGGGGGGTACATTGTGGTTAATTTCTGCCCATTTCTGCTCTTAGCACAGTAGCATCCACCCATCCCCCCACTTCTCCATGCATGTGTTCCAGGAGCAGCTTGTATGCAGCTTGCAGAAGCCAGTGTAAGCAAAAGGGACCCTGTCCTCCAAACACTAGGGATCTGTCCTCTGGCTGTTGCTTCTGATAACAGAGGTGCAGACAAAGAGGTGGCAGCCATTGTTGTTGCACCTCTCCCCATTGTTACAAGACTCCCTCCAGCCCCAGGTGACTCCCTGCAGATTTAATGGGCTGGTACCCTTTTTCTTCCTTCACTTTTCTTGTTTCTCATTCTCGGAGCCAGATATCAAAGACTAGGTCACTCAAAAGCAACTACATAAGGGGAGATTAGAAAGTCACCATGCATGCCTGCAAAAAGGCTCAGTCTCAGGAAAGATCTGGGAAGGCCTTAAGTTTATACTTCAGGCTGATCATCAGCACTAAGACTGCCTGCAACAATTAAAACAAACAAACAAAACCCAAAAATCCAAACCAGCAAACCCTGGGAAAAGGACAGAAGCTAATTTCCAGAGTTACCATACTATTAGACTCAAATATCCAGTTTTCCACAACAAAAAATCACAAGGCATACAAAGGAACAGGAAAGTATGGACCATCAAAGGAAAAAAACCAACAGAAATGATCTCCGAAAGACACCTGATGATGGATCTACTAGACAAAGACTTTAAAACAGCTATCTTAAAAATGTTCACCAAACTAAAGGGAGATGTGGAGAAAATCAAGAAAATGATGTCCAAACAAAATTGAAATATCACTGAAGAGATTTTAAAATCTTGAAACCAAAAAGAAATCTGGGAGGTGAAAAGAACAATAACTGAAATGAAAAATTCACTAGAGGAATTCAAAGGCAGATATGAGCAGGCAGAAGAAGAATCTGCAAACTTGAAGATATAACAATGGAAATTATCAAGTCTAAGGAACAGAAAAAAAGATTTGAAGAAAAGTGAACAGAAAATAGGGGATCTGTGAGACACCATGAAGTGGACCAACATACACATTGTAAGAGTTCCAGAAAGAGAAGAGAGAGAGAAATGGGAGGAAGAATATTTGAGAAAATAATGGCTGCAAACTTTCCAAATTTGATGAAATATACATTATATATTTCTACATTTATATGTTTATACATACATATATCTATATATACATTTTACATTTATACATTTATTCATTTATGTGTTTATACATACACACACATATGTTTATGTGTGTGTATGTATAAAACATCCATTTAGCTCAATGAAATCCAAGTAGGATGAACTTAAGCCCACAACAAGACACATTATAATCAAACTGTTGAAAGCCAAAGACAGAAAATCTTGAAAGCAGCAAGAGAGATGTGACTTGTGACATACAACAGATCTGCAATAAGATTATCAGTAGATTTTTCATCAGAAACTTTGGAAGCCAGAAGGTAGTAGGCTGATATGTTCAAAGTGTGAAAAGAAAAAAATGTCAAGCATGAGTCCTATAACTGGCAAAAGTATCCTTGAAAAGTGAGGGAGAAATTAAGACATTCCCAAATAAATAAAAGCTGAGGGAGTCTGTTACTACTAGAGCTGTTCTGCAAGAAATGCTAAAAAGAGTCCTGCAGGTTGAAATGAAAGGACACTAGATATTAACTTGAAGGCATATAAAGAAATAAAGATCTCAATAAAAGTAAATACACGGGAATTATTAAAGCTACTCTTATTGTAAAAATGGTTTGTAACTCCATTGTTTTGTATTTTACGTGATTTAAGAGACTAGCACTTTTTTAAAAAAAGAGGTACAGGCTTTTAAAACCAACTTATGATGGTTCAATTTATGATTTTTGACTTTACAATGGTGCAAAAGTAATACCCAGTCAATAGAAACCATCCGTCTCTTGCAATGCTGGGCAGTGGCACCAAGTCTCCAGTCAGCTGTGCATTTTCAACTTAATGACATTTTCAATTTATGATGGGTATATCAGGACATAACCCCATCGTAAGTCAAGAAGCACCTGGAATTATTAGTCTCAAAACTAGATTCCACCTATATGAGGTACTCAGAGTAGTCAAAATCGTAGCATCAGAAAGTAAAATGGTGACTGCCAGGGGCTGAGGGAGAAGGGATTAGGAAGTTACTTTTTAATGCGTAGTGTTTCCATTTTGCAAGACCCCAAAAAGAGTTCTGGGGGTGGACAGTGATGATGACTGCACAACAATCTGAACGCACTTAATACCACTTAAAATGATTAAGATGGTAAGTTTTATGTTATGTGCATTTTACCACAACTAAAACGTGCACAAAAAAACCTGTACACCAATGTTCATAGCAGCATTATTTATATAATAATCAAAAAGTAGAAATAACCCAAATATCCATCTCTGGATAGATAGAATAAAAAACATGTTACATATATGTAATGAAATATTATCCATCAAGAAAAAGGAATAAAGTAATGATATATGCTACAATCTGGATGAATCTTGAACACATTAACCTAAGTGAAAGAAGGCAGCTACAAAAGGCCACATACTGCATGATTCCACTTACACGAAATGTCCAGACTAGGCAAATCCACAGAGACACAGAGTAGATTAGTGGTTGCAAAGAGGTGGGGAGAGGGATGCTGGGGAAACACAGGTAGAATGGGAGTGACTGCTAATGGGCACAAGGTTTCTTTCTGGGGAAATGGAAATGTTCTAAAATTAGATTGTGTTCCTTGGTGCACAACTCTTTAACAAAAACCCATTGATTGTACCCTTTTTTTTTTTTTTTTGAGACGGAGTCTCGTTCCATCACCCAGGTTTGAGTGCAGCGGCACGATCTCGGCTCACTGCAACCTCCGCCTCCTAGGTTCAAGCAATTCTCCTGCCCTAGCCTCTGGAGTAGCTGGGACTACAGGCAGCCACCACCATGCCTGGCTAATTTTTGCATTTTTAGTAGAGACGGGGTTTCACCATGCTGGCCAAGCTGGTTTTGAACTCCTGACCTCAGGTGATCCACAGGCCTTGGCCTCCCAAAGTGCTGGGATTACAGGCATGAACCACTGCGCCTGGCCTGATTATACATTTTAAACAGGTGAACTTTATGATATGTAACTAATATGTCATCAAAGCTGCGGAAAAAGGATGAAATAAAGACATTTTCAGAAAAGAAAAGTTGATACAATTTGTTTCCAGCAAACTCACACTGAAACAACTGTTACAGGAAGAGGGATGCAATCTCATGGAGAAGACTGGAGGTGCAGGCAGGAATAGGGGAAAACACAAACGTGGACAGACACAAACGTCAACAAGAGGAGGTGGTGGGCTGGACTCCAACCCAAGCCCTGTGCACACCAGCAGAATGCGTGCCTCAGCCCTGCTCTCCCTCCACCAATAGCACTCCGTTTCCTTCCAGCTTGGAGCCTTTGCAGATGTTGTTCCTTCTGCTTGAACTTGATGTTCCCTGCACATTCCACTTTGGTCTTACTCCTACTCATCCTTCAGATTTCAGCTTTCATTCCACTTCCGCAGGAAGACCAATCTGTCCCTTCAGGATGTGTCAAGACCTCCCGCGACATACTATGGGAGACCCTGTGCCTTTTGTTCACAAAACTTACCCATTTTACATGTATACATGTTTGTGTGATTCTTTGATCCATTTCCCCTTTACAGATTCACGCCTGGTTACATTCCCCATACTTTTAATCAATTTTTCCCTTTCCTGGGGAAAAAGATGAAAATAAATTATGACTTAACTATTGTTCTCTAGTGAGTCATGCCAAGATCTGCCTGTACCTTTTTTTAGAAAAATAAGTTTCACATTACTGAAGCAAATGGAATGTGAAATGCTTGCAGAGTTCCTGTGAGAAATCTCTGTTCAAAAATTGTGCCAGCTTGCTGCTTAATGATATTATTATCCTCAAAAGCAGAGGGACTTGACAGCTGTACCCACACCAAAGAGGCGTCAAGACCGGACCTCACTGCAGCCAACCCTTTCTCCCTGAAGGTGTCAAGAGGACTTTCTGCTTTTTTTTTTTTTTTTTTTGAGACGGAGTTTCGCTCTTGTTGCCCAGCCTAGAGTGCAGTGGCGCAACCTCAGCTCACTACAACCTCTGTCTCCTGGGTTCAAGTGATTCTCCTGCCTCAGCCTCCTGGGCAGCTGGGATTACAGGTGCCCACCACCGACCTCAGGTGATCCACTCACCTCTGCCTCCCACCTCCTGCTCTCTGAAGCTGTCATCCACTTGTGTGCAAAACCTTCTCTGTCCTCTTGTCAGAAAGGATAGCGAGGACAGAGAGACAGATCTGCTCTGACATATAAGAGAAAAGAAAGCAAAGAAATCTCATAATCAAAGGGCTGAAACTAGAGAATATTCAGATGCTAAATGACAGAGCTCTAAGTAAAGCAAGAAGGGCGAGTAAAGGAACTTGGCTGGTCAGATTTGAAGTATCTTATTGCCCTGTAGTTACTGTTTGTCTGATGTTTAAAAACTAAAGTAAGGCGTGGCCTAGAGAAAGCCCCTTTCTTGCTAAGTAGGTAAAACTGGAAGACTAACTCCATGAGGAGAGATAACATGTCACCAGCATAGAACAGCTGCATGGTAGTGCTCAATAAATATTGTTAAATGAATGAATGAATGAATGAGCAAATGATCCAGAGGCACTTAGCAGTAACACCTGATAGATGAAACAATCACTTCTTCTTTTTTTTTTTTTTTTTTTTTTTTTTTTTGAGACAGAGTTTCACTCTTGATGCCCAGGCTGGAGTACAATGGCATGATCTTGGCTCACTGCAACCTCCTCCTCCTGGGTTCAAGTGATTCTCCTGCCTCAGCCTCCTGAGTAGCCGGGATTACAGGCACGCACCACCACGCAGGCTAATTTTTTGTATTTTTTTTTTAATTAGAGACAGGGTTTCACCATGTTGGCCAGGCTGGTCTCGAACTCCTGACCTCAGGTGATCCCCCGCCTCAGCCTCCCAAAGTGCTGGGATTACAGGTGTGAGCCACCGTGACCAGCAGAATCACTTCTTAATGATCACCCAACACATTAATGCCTCAAGGACAGACTTCTTTCAAAATCTATGACTCAGCTAGACAATGTCACATTTCTTTAGCCTGAGTTCTTCTTGCCTAGTGTCTTCCTATAAACATCATCTACCCTATAGCCACACAGAGCTGAAGTCTGCTGGGCTTTGCAGACCCCTCGGTTTGGGAGTAAAGGAATATAGAAGCAGAGGAGGCCCCTGCTTAGAGGCCTGGTTTACTTCCCCAGGCTTCCCCTCAGCCGTGGGCAGGGCAGGGACAGTGAGGGCATCTAGAGAGAATGGCAGGCCACAACTTGCTGGGCTGCTTCTTTGCAAGAAAATACCATAGCTTCATTCCAACACTCAGTCAGCCATGAGATAAACAGCATAGTTTATAAGCATATAAATAGTATCTTATATAAACTACACTATTTTTTAGAAACTACCTACATAACAGTTGATTTAGTGGTATTCAGAGTCCCTATAAATGGACAAATTAACTAACTTAGCTAGGCATGCATACAGCTATCCAACACAGTGTATACTCTATATATGCACACATGAGCCTATGTTCACATGGGCCACCTAAGCCTGCACGAACACCCCTGAATACAATTCATGTCTTAGACTGCAAAGCATGACAGCTTTCATAACAGCGACCTGTTTACACATTCATTGAGGTGAATGTTTTCATATGAGATTTGAAAAACATTAGTTTAGACATTTTCAGGTCATTAGACTAAAAAAAAAACTATCAGAGACTTTTACAAAACCATTATTTCAAAAAGAGCTAAGCATCAGACTTCATAGCCTTATTTTAGAAATTCTATTTGCATAATTCTTGGGAAGATACAATATAAATTCACTCTAACGCTGAGGAGTGTCTTGCAAAGAGGCCATCTAACTTGGCAACGTTCAGTCTCTGAGTGAGAGCTATGACTCGTGCTGACTGCTGCACACATATGTGACGAACAGGACACCGAAGCCCTGGGCACAGTTTTGCAAGGGCTGGCTTATTTTTAACTTCATGAGTTTATTGAGGTAATATACTCCATTTTTCTATGCATATATCCCCAAAATACTGCTTCATTTATCTAGAACCCTACATTTATGACTGACATTTCTGCAGCACAGCAGATGTGGAGCTGAATTTGTTTTTGTTTTTGTTTTGTTTTTTCAGTAGGAAATAATGCTCCGAAGCCTATTACCAAGACATAACATCACCACTCTATCCTGGCCCATATAAAATGGGCAGAATCAGGCACTGAGGTTTCATTCTTAGTAAAAAGAGTTTTATGAAACAGTAACAATGATGATGACTTATATGCACAGGGTTTTACCCAGTACAAGGCCCTGTCTTCACAAGGAATCCTTGAGTTGTTGGGTTACTACTCCTTTGTAACAAACGAAAGTGAGGCTTTGAGGATGGACTGTCTGCCCCAACTCCCAGAGCACCCTCCAAGCCCTGCTGCCAGGCAGTGGGTGGGTCTTTCCAAAGAAGCAACAACAATTTCCCAAGACCGTTCGCCCAGCTCAAGTGATGTGCGGATATAACCATCACCTGTACTGACAGAGACTGCCCTACTGGGAATTTTCCATGTGGGGTATGAGAAACACAAATCTGTTTATTTATGCTAAGCAAATGAATTTTAATCAAGCCATAGCTCTATTTCCCTCTGCACCACGGTGCACAGAGTCAAAATGCACTGAGAGCCAAACACCTTCCAGGGATAAGGTCACCTACAGCAGGACAAGATGTCTCTGTGTAGGGCCCCTGGCTTTGGCTGTGCAGGAGCTCAGGCAGAGCGTCTCCCAAGGCTGTGGCTATCAGTTGAACACAAGTCCTTTGGTGCTGAGCTTTAGGTAGTGGCATAATTACAACATCCTTAAACTTTGACCTCTGCTGCCTTCCCTTCACTCAAAGCATATCAACTATGCCATGGAGATCCCAAGTGTAAACACGGTATGGTAAGAATGGCACACTCTGCTCACCCAGCCCTCCTCCCCTTTCCCTCTCCCTTTCTCTTTATGAATATGCGTGTGTGTCATAAAGGAAACAAAGAAAATCCTTATTTTGCTCCAGAATTTACACAACTCAAGGAGATAAAAAGTCTGTTAAGTAAGGAGGTCACAAACATTCTAGAACATAAGGTAACAGACGCTGCAGATTTATCCATAGGCCTCAGGGGATGGTGGCCACCCACGCCCCGGGAGTCACGGCCTGGCCTCCCCTCCCTCGCGACTCTCCCCCACCACCTCTTTGCTCTCAGAGGGCCCACCTGGGGTCAGGCCTGATGCACTGGTAAAAGGCAGCCATCCTCCTGAGTGTGCTGTGAGCCTCCAGCTC
Organism: Homo sapiens; assembly: GCF_000001405.40. NCBI lineage: Eukaryota > Metazoa > Chordata > Mammalia > Primates > Hominidae > Homo > Homo sapiens. The sequence goes on from NC_000002.12 coordinate 98,869,146, forward strand.
TCTCATCCTCCTGGAAGCTAGCAGCAGGGAGAAGAGTGGGCCTCCCTTTCCTCTGAGTGGCCTAGGGCCCACGGGTCACCACTGGTTGCTGATCAAGAGCCCTTGTCCCCATCTCTCACAGAAGTACCCGTGCGCCAGGAGGAAGTGGGGCTTCTGCCAAGCCCAGCCCTCCTGTGCCCCGTGAGCTCCTTGGGCGGGTGCACAGGCACACAGCAGAAAAGGCCGTCTAAGAAACGCAATGCACTTCCGCCTTCCACTCCAAGCCCTGAAGGCCGGGATGGGGGTGGCCTGGCTCTGTAGGGAGTTGGACTCGCCTCCCTGTGATTGGCATCCCCACTGAGTTGCTTGGGCTTTGTTGACTGTGCTCACCATGGAAGCAGGCAAAGGGCAATGGCAGGTGAGGCTGCATTCCCCATCTGAGGAAGGGCAGGGCCCAGGAAGAAAGAGGAATGCTGAGAAAATCGGAAACAGCTTCTGAGCCAGACACACCCAGGCCCAGGGCTCTCCTCTCTCATTCCAGCACCAAAACCACCCGGCCCCTCCTGCCTCGCCTTGATGTCCACTTGCTATCTCAGTGCGAGGGACCCTGTGGGAGGCACGCTCGTCTCTGCGCTGCACACTTGCTCCCCAGTTTCAGTTTTCTTTTTACTTTTCCTTAAAGGCCCATCGTGTTACCTCAGGTCCTTGATATGCTTTGTTAACTGCTTTCCTGGGGCCTTCCCAATGCTCCTTTACCAGGGACCTGCTTGCCCCACTCATTGTTGCACTGATGGGATTTCCAGCCCTCCCCCTGGAGCCCAAACCTGACAGGTGCAGGGGCCACACCCTCCCAAAAATCACCCACTGAGCCTGCCCAGCCGGCTCCCCAGCCACCCCACGTGACACAGCCACTTGCCCTGGTGGCTCCTATCTGATTACCTGCAGCTGCCACTTCAAAATAATAGACTCCTGCAACTGGCATCACAATGCCACCTGACTCAAGTTCCTCCCAAGTCTGATGGCTTGCCAACTGCAACCGGTACAGTCAGCAGTTTCCAGGCAATATCTGGAGTGTTGACAGAGGGCTCTGGGTGGCAGGTGCGATTCTATGTTAGTAAAACTCAGGAACAGGCAGCAGCAAGGGCAACTTCTGAAGATGGTTCTGAAAAAGCCCTAGTTTGCTTTTCTGTTTTCCAAATGGCAACTGTATATAGAATTCTACTCAAATGGCCTACAATTTAATTTTAAAGCACAACGAATACATTTGATGATGACAGAAGAAAGCAGTGAGTTCAGAGGAGAGCTCAGATGATAATCACGCAGTGCGCTGAAGGTAGTTTATATACATTTGCCCTTTGTGCAGCCCACTGTGCTCCTGCCAACGACTTGGCCTTCTCCCAGGGAGAGGGCCAATTAGCTGGTGGAGAGTCCCCTGTATCCTGGGAGGTGGTGCAGGGGCCCCTGCAGCAGAATGGATTATTGAAGGGACAGGGACTGGGCCCCAGGGCTGAGGTCTCTAAGGACTGTCCCAGCCAGCAGCACTCTGCCCAGCAACACGAGCTGGCCAAATCCCACAAGGCCCACAGTGGCAATTCCACCCCATTCGGTGGGCCGGGTTGAGCATGCAGCTTGCCTCTGCTGCTTGCTTTCGCCTGCTCTGGGCATGTGACCTGCCCTCTGTCAGTAGTAGGGCCCCCTCAGGAGCCTCTTCAGCACTCTGTCCCCGTGGAAGCCCAGCATACAGGTCATGCCCAGCACAGAGTGGCCCAATGCCCGAACAAGACATCACTCCACACTGAGACAAAGTCCCCGAAGGGAGGCGCTGTCACATCGTGTGAATGCCCAGGGACCGCGAGATTCGCGAAGAGCAGGGGTAGCAAGACACCTGCAGGCCTTGACACCTCTCACTGCCCCTCCACCGCCTCCCAGCATGCTCTCCACAGCACGGTGCACACATGTTACCTCTCTGCTCAAATTTCAGGAGCAGAAAATTTCAGTTTTCTTTCTTTGCCCTTCTTTGCTGTGCCCAAGCCATACGTTCCCTGAGACATCAGAGAACCAAACGAAAAGGTCAGTGACACCCATGTGCATCTATTAGAATAGAATTTATAAACTGCAACAGAAAATATCTTATGCAAGGACATCTAAGGACTTTGTGATAGGACCTCCTTAGGCCCTGGGCTCATTTTCATTCAGAGGGAAGGAAATGAACATTTATTAAGCACATCTCAGGCCTCATTTAAGGCTCACAACCAGCTATGAGTTAAATGGTCCATTGCTTTTTTTGCAGGTGAGGAAATAGAGGGCCTGAGCAGCTAAGCAACCAGTCCGAGATGACTGAGGCAGTCAGTGGAATGTCCGACCCTGAAATCAAGGCCTGTGCCTCCGCAAGTGTGAGCTCTTCCCCATGATGGCAGCTGCCTCCCAAGAAACCCTGGCAAGGGTCTGAGTGACCAAGCAAGCTACATCCTTTCTGGGCTGGAATCTGGCAGCATGTATCAAAACCTGCTGCTCTAGTAATTTCACTTCTGGGGAATTTGTCCTAAGGAGATAACCCAGCATTCTTATAACAGTGTCCTGGAAACATCCTGAAGGCTCACCAGTAGGAGACATAGGCAGACCAGACACAGCAGCAGGACACAGTCATATGAGGGATGTTATCCAGTCACTAGAAATCATGATACAGGAAAATATTCAGTGACGTGGGACAATACCCACCATACATTGCAATGGGGGGAAAATCAGCTATGACAGACTGCTAAGAGTATGCAATAGCAAAGTCAGGGAATCAACCTGAGTGTCCATCAACAAATGACTGGATAAAGAAAATGTGGTGCATGTACACCACGGAATATTACACCGCCATAAAAAAGAATGAAATCATGTCCTTTCCAGCAACACAGATGGAGCTGGGGGCATTATCCTAAGTGAAACAACTCAGAATCAGAAAATCCAATACCAGGCTGGACGTGGTGGCTCATGCCTGTAATCCCAGCACTTTGGGAGGCCGAGGTGGGTGGATTACTTGAGATCAGGAGTTCAAGACCAGCCTGGCCAACACCGTCTCCACTAAAAATACAAAAATTAGCCGGGCGTGGTGGCACATGCCTGTAATCCCAGCTACTAGGGAGGCTGAGGCAAGAGAATTGCTTGAACCCTGGAGGAGGAGGTTGCAGTGAGCTGAGATCGCACCACTGCACTCCAGTCTGGGTGACAGAGTGAGACTCTGTCTCAAAAGAAAAGAAAAGACCACATGTTCTCACTTATAAGTGGGAGCTAAACAAGGAGTACACATGGAGATAAAGATGGAAACAATAGACAATGGGGACTTCAAAAGGGGGAGGGTGGAAAATTATTTATTGGGTACAATGTGGACTATTTGGGTGATGGGAACACTAGAAGCCCAAACCTCGCCATTATATTATAAAATATATCCATGCAAAAAACCTGCACTTGTACCCCCAGAGTAAAAAAATTAAAACTAAATAAAATAAAAGTGAGAATGTATCCCCGTCATTTGAAGAGCTTGCTCATCAGGATTTTGCTTCAGTAAGCCTGGGCTGCAGCCCGAGATGCTTGCATTTCTAACAAGCTCCCAGGTGATGCTGACGATGCTGCCCGTGGACCTTCCTTTGATGAGTATGACGTGTACAAAATGATGTATGCAGTAAGAACCCGTTTTTATTTTCGTAAAGCTCTTAGTGCACAGAATAAATAAAGGAAGGATCACAAAATGATGTGAACTGACGTTATCTGTGGGTCATGGAATGATGTTCATTTTAAACTGTCTCGTGCTTTTTCACGCTTCCTAAGTTTTCTGACTTCGCATGCATTTTGTTCATAATTAGAAGAAGCTCCAATAGTTTCTTTTAAAGACAAGGCAGTGTGATGTAAATAGACTGGGATTTGGGGCCGAGGATTTGGAGTTAAGTTACTTCCCTCTCTGAGGCTCAGTTTCCTAACTTGGAAACCTCATACCTCAGCGGTTGTGAGAATTGAAGCAGATCCTACGTGTAAGTTTCTATGCAGTGCCTAGCACACAGAAGGAACCCTCGATGTCAGGACCTACCTTCTCCACTGCTGGGAACAAGATCTCATGTCTATGAGGGGCAATTTCTGTCTTTTTCACAAAGTACTTTTGCACCGGCTCCCTTGTTTGTCTCCACATCATCTCTGTGACAGAGGCAGGAAGAGAAGCTATCGCTGTAGAACTTGAGAGCAACCAAGCTGCCCAAGGCCACAAGGCAAGTCAGCACGGGTGCCTAGAACCTCTGTCCCCAGAACACAGCTTCCCTTCTGGGCTCCACTACCTCTAATGTAGCAATGCACAACCCACACACAGGGACCACAGTGGCTGAGCTCTGACCCCAGGGTGGGAACAGATCCACTGCTGAACTGGCCTGGGACAGGGATACAGAACTGGAGTCCCTCTGGGCCTGCCAGGAAATAGGCGAGAGGATCCCCCACATGATGTGCCACTTAGCCCACCGCCCCTCTAAGAGGAACCCTCACCCACTCATGGGGATTTACAAACATTACAACGTGCTTTTCCTCACGGAATATTTTGAACATCTAGTCTGTTGAAATAACTCCACAATTGGCTGGGCGTGGTGGCTCATGCCTGGAATCCCAGCACTTTGGGAAGCCAAGGGAGGCAGATCACCTGAGGTCAGGAATTCCAGACCAGCCTGGCCAACATGGAGAAACCCCATCTCTACTAAAAATACAAAAATTAGTTGGGCGTGGTGGCACATGCCTGTAATCCCAGCTACTCAGGTGGCTGAGGTACAACAATTGCTTGAACCCAGGAGGCAGAGGTTGCAGTGAGCTGAGATTGTGCCACTGCACTCCAGCCTGGGTGACTGAGTGAGACTCTGTCTCAAAAATAAAAAAAAGAAATAATTCCGCAAGACAAGTTTGCTACTGGTAAGTTCTTTTCAGCTGCAAAGGCAGTCAACCAATTATAGCCCCAAAGCCCAATTGAGCACTTAAATTACTTAGATCTATTGTTAACAATGATCAGAAACGAGTTAGGTAACTTCAGAATCTTCCCTTTGCTGTGTGTTGTTCAGGGTGAACTTTTATAAGTGGTACCTGCCACAGATACGTTCTTTTCTCGCTTAATACCCCAAAGTGATGCTATATAGAACCCAACAGCCATCATAGATTACATTGATCCCTGATCAAAATCGAAACAGGAAACCGCAGCTGCAGCTCATGTTGCCCCCCTGATGGTTTCTCACAGTTCCTTCCAGGTGGACATGGCTCTGTGGGAACACCAGAGTGAAACCTGAGGGCTATGCCCTAGCCGGGAGTCAGGAGGCTCCGCACGGGCTGCTGGGCAGAATCATTGCACCTTGCGCCTCGTGGGGCCAGTCTCCCTCCGCATGCCTGGATGCACCCCTCCCAGTGTCCAGGAGGCAAAGAATAGTCATTGGAGAACTTGTTCTTAAAGATGGGACCTGTGTGGTGACCTCCTCCACGGCCTCCAAAAATCCACACTGTGGAACAACAAGGGACTGCAGAATCTCTGGAAGGTTTTTGGGCAAGGAATGGTGACAGAACCAGTGGTTCCTTCTGTTCTGGTCTTGGGCCAGCCCAGTATTGTCATCATCTGTCACCCCACCACCCCACCATTAGAGGTAGCCCAAGGCACAGGGGACAAATGCTGGTGTTTCTACAAAGAAAGTCCCATCCTCGTTACTGATCACTTCATGCTGTTTCCAAGGGTGTCACAAACACAGACCCTCGGCTCATGAAGGCAACCTAGGCTCACCCCGATTCTGTTCCTCTGGCCATCTCCAAGGAAAGCAAGATGTCCTCCCCAAAACAACCCCACTGTAGCAATGCCCCCGACAAGGCCTGCTACACAATTTGTTCTTCACTTCCCTCCCACCTGGAGCCCATGTACTGCGTGCAGAACAAACACAGTCTGCATAATAAGCATCTTATGAGATCAAACCACATTCGCAGGAATGCCTTGCAAACATCACCTCCCAAAGTGCCGTCACTCTGTACAACCGCCTAAGTTAAGCACCTCACTGTCAGGGGCAGGCACGGCCCCCCGCCCATGTACACCACGAGTCACAGAAGAGAGTGTGGTCGGGCCCTTCACTCAGCACATGAAGACGCAGCTCAGAGAAAGATTTGGCTGCTGGCTCAGGTTTTCACAGTCACCTAGTGGGAAAGGCACAACCAGATGCCTGGCCTCCTAACTGCCACTTCCCTGTGCTTCTTCACACAAGACAGGCCACCGCTAGTCAGCTCAGCAAATTAGCAACTCCCAGCTGTGTCATCTCAGACACTGTGCTCCTCACCGACATCTGTCACATCTGTCAGTCGCTCTGTATGGGTGTGATGAGACAGGCCACTGCAATCTCTGACAGAGGGAAGAAGGAAAGTCCCAGTTGACAGACAGCAAGAGAGAACAGAGCAAGCCTGGGACAGTGGGCTGTCACCCGACATTCTATCAGCTGGTGGTCTGGGCAGAAGAACCGCACTCAGGATCCTTGTGGCCTGACACGTAAGACATGCAGACATAAATGATTCAACACAGGGGCATCATGAATTACTGGGAAATAACCCATTACAAGAGACTAAGAAAATAGGCTTCAGCACGAAGGACAGAAATACATGTTCCATACAGAGCTAGTATCTGCATTTATTAAACAAAAATAAACATGATAGGAACCTGTCAGCTAATGAGATTACACATTTGCCCCTGGTAGGCTGGCACTTTGGAACTCTGATGACATAGAGGCCACAGATGCCAACGATTTGCCCCGGTGGGGCTGCAGAACATTGTCTGTAGGCACATCACATGGCCTGCCGGCCTGCTTGCTTTCCTCTTGGTCAGCTCTCAGGTTTTCCATCAGTCAGCCGGACCCCAGGTTAAGCCACAAGCTTGCAAACTGGTTTCTTACACTTGAGAGCAAAAGCCAGTGTGCTCCAGTGATCTCCCTGACCTGGGAGAACATTCAGGTTTAGAGTTGGAGATGTAGATATGAGGAAATTATACAATTATTGAGAACAAATAGTATGTCTGAATTTGTTTGCCTTTATTTTCTTAAATCGAGAGTAAAAATATAGGTAATATTTAGATTCCTTTACAGATCTAAAATCACCTTGAAAGTTTAGTAACTGAAAAGGTATTAATTTAGTTTTTATTTTAAGTTAAAAAGAGTTTAGACAAGCAGCATGAATGCTCTAGAGTGGGGGTCCCCAACCCCTTGGGCCGTGGACTGGTACCAGACCGTGGCCTGTTAGGAAGCAGGCCACACGGCAGGAGGTAAGTAGCGGGCGAGCAAACATTACCCTCTGAACTCCACCTCCTGTCAGGTCAGCAGCGGCATTAGATTCTCATAGGAGTGCGAGCCCTATTGTGAACTGCGCCATGTGAGGGATCTGGGTTGCACACTCCTTATGAGAATCTGGCTAATCCCTGATGGTGTGAGGTGGAACAACTTTATTCCAAAGCCATCCCCCTGCCCTTCCCTGGTCCATGGAATAATTGTCTTCCATGAAACTGATCTCTGGTGCCAAAAAGATTGGGGACTGCTGCTCTAGAGAGTTTAAATCCACTATTAAATTATTTTCACATTTTCTCATTGTGTACAAGTTGTTGAAATCTCAGGAAGTTTCCCTACTGAACAAGGCTTTTGCCCTAAGACTGTGAGCCTGTGAAGGACCAGGCTAGGTGAAATTCAGCTTTGTCTTCCCAGCACCGACAGCATGTGTTAGGCCCCAGTAAATGGTCACAGACTTAAATAAATGCATTGTAAGTCTACTGTCTAATGGGATTAGTAACCACAGCTTCCACTTTTAGAGATACATTCTTTTCATCACCACAAGGAAAGATAAAGCAAAAATGCAACACCGGCACATCCATTGCCACGCTCCCATTACCTGCCCTTGGCAGAAATCAGTAATCAATCACAGTGTCATTCTCAGGTTGCTCACAGCACAGTGTATACTCCAGGCAGCTGTTGCCAGTGGCTCAGGGCAGCACTTGGCTAGACGCTTGCTGCCTCTATTGGTAGAAATAGCAATAAGTCTGTAGAACTGGGTTCTACCCTCGACTTTACCACTAACAAGCTCCTAAGCAGCTGAGTGACTTGTGATCAGTCATTTCCCTCTCTGGGCCTCAACTGTGATCCAAGTGGTTTGGGCTCCGATATCTAACATTCTATTATGGTCATGCACCACGTAACGGTGTTTCAGTCAATGATGAAAAGCATACATGACAGTGATCCTAGAAGATTATAACGGAGCTGGGAAATTCCTATCACCTAGTGATGTTAGAGACATTGTAACATCATAGTGCAATTAGTTTTAAAAATAAATTTAGTTGGTGGCTCATGCCTGTAATCCCAGCACTTTGGGAGGCCGAGGCAGGCGGATTACCTGAGGTCAGGAGTTTGAGACCAGCCTGACCAATATGGTGAAAACCCCGTTACTACTAAAAATACAAAAAAATTAGCCGGGTATGGTGGCGGGTGCCTATAGTCCCAGCAACTCGGGAGGCTGAGACAGGAGAATTGCTTGAACCTGGGAGGAGGAGGTTGCAGTGAGCTGAGGTCGCGCCACTGCACTCCAGCCTGGGAAACACAGTGGGACTCTGTCTCAAAAATAATAAAAAAATTTAAAATAAATAAATTTAGTATATCCTCGGTTCATAGTGTTTATAAAGTCTACAGTAGTGTACAGTCATATCCTAGGCTTTCATATTCACTCACTACTCACTCACTCAGTCACCCAGAGCAACTCCTCCAGTCCTGCAAGCTCCATTCATAGTAAGGAACTATAATGTTGTACCATTTTTAATCTTTTTTTTTTTTTTTGAGATGGAGTTTCACTCTTTTGCCCAGGCTGGAGTGAAGTGGCACGATCTTGGCTCACTGCAACCTCTGCCCCCCAGGTTCAAGCGATTCTCCTGCCTCAGCCTCCGAAGTAGCTGGGAGTACAGGCGTGCGCCACCATACCCAGCTAATATTTGTATTTTTAGTAGAGATGGGGTTTCACCATGTTGGCCAGGATGGTCTCAAACTCCTGACCTTGGGTGATCCACCTGCCTTGGCCTTCCAAAGTGCTAGGATTACAGGCATGAGCCACCGCACCCGGCCCATTTTTAATCTTTTATACCATCTTTTTACTGTCCCTTTTCTATGTTTAGATATGTTCAGATACTGTCCCTTTTTACTATCCCTTTTCTATGTTTAGACATGTTCAGATACACACAAACTTACCATTGTATTACAATTGCCTACAGTGTTCAGTATAGTAACATGCTGTTCAGGTTTGTCGTCTAGAAGAAACAGGCCACATGTAGCCTCACTGCATAGTAGGCTATACCATCTAGGTTTGCGTAAGCATATTACATGATGTTCACACGATGAAATCACCTAAGGATGCATTTCTCAGAACATGTTCCTGCTATTAAGTGATCCATGACTGTATTTTACTTTTGAAAAATAAAAGTCTGTAAAATTGGCACAAACTCAGTTTTACGTGAAGATGTTTTAGTTAACCAACATATGAAACAGGTACAGGAGCTGAGACCAACAGGTACAGATGCTCCTCGACGTACTATGGGGTTATGTCCGGATAAACCCATCGTAAGCTAAAAATATTGTAGTGGCAAACGCATGGCTGACTGAGAGGCGCCCAGCATCACGAGAGAAGTACAGTTTCCATTGAATGCGTATGGCTTTCATACCATCGTGAAGTTGAAAAATCCTAAATTGAACCACTGTACGGTAGGGACCATCTGTATTGAAGATATATTTTCAAAATCTGGTTCTCAATATACAGCTTGTGTGTGATCCAGAAAAATGAATGCTATGACCACAGAAAGTCCCTCTGGCCTGGCCCAGTGCACCTCACCTCCAGCCATTACCACCACCCTGGCCCTGAGAAATCTTCCCGCTGCCCTGGCAACCTGCTCCCTTCCTCCGAGCCCCTGCCCACTCACACCTGGTTTCACACATCTCCCTCCTGGACTCTGAGCTCCCTGAGGGCAGAAACCAGTTCTTTTCATCTTGGTAGCCCTAATACATATGCACAGTGAGGCTTGATAAATGTTTTATGAATGAGTGAGCCTCACCACCTATGCTTAGAAAACCTAAGGAAAGAATGCCTCAGATACCAAACCTGCACTCGCTTTTATTAAGGTCTTTCACTGTGTTCATTTCTTCTGAATCTCTAAGAAAAACAAATGTCAAATAGTTGATTTTCTTTGAACTGTTTCATAGGATTCTCTGTGTGATGTGGATGTGGGGTTGGCCTGGTTCGACATCAATATCTTCCTAGTTTGTAATTCTGAGACATGCATTTAGAGAGTGAGGACACAGAACAATATGGAAATGCATTTGGCTCATTATATGAGACACCTAACATTCCAAATCATTCTAGCCTCTGTATTTTATTTATTATTATGTTTCTCAGAGATGGCGTCTCACTCTGTTGCCTAGGCTGGAGTGCAGTGGCGCAATCTCGGCTCACTGCAACCTTTCCCTCCTGGGTTCAAGCAATTCTCCTGCCTCAGCCTCCCGAGTAGCTGTCCCAGGTGCACACTGCCGTGCCCAGCTAATATTTTACATTTTAGTAAACACAGGGTTTCGCCGTGTTGCTCAGGCTGGTCTCGAACTCCTGAGCCCAGGCAATCCGCCCGCCCTGGCCTCCCAAAGTGCTAGGACTACAGGCGTGAGCCACTGTGCGCAGCCTCAGCCTCTGTATTTCAAAGATCTTTAAAAAAGCAGCGAAGCCTCAATTTTCTTCAATATTTCCATGGGGGTGGACACAGTATACAGGTGGCCCACACCATTTAGCACATAATGACTTCTGCGTTGCCTCATGGGTCATAACTGGCCTCCTCAGTTAGACTGTAAAGTGCGTGTGCACGGTACCAATAAACTTGATAAGTTCTGCATATCCCACAGTGCTGAGTACTTGGTAGGTGTTAAATAAATGCAGAGTTATTAATACAGTGCAACGCGTACACTGTGTAATCCTCCTATTGGTACAGGTTATGTTGGACGCAGCACTGGGCATGGTACTGTAGTCACTAAGGGAGCATTTGCCTGCGTTCCTTAGTTGACTGATGCACGGAAGAGTGACCAGAGGAGGACGGGCTGTGCTGATCAGACAAGATCCTGTGAACGAACAAGGACATTGGAGAATTCTCCAACTTTACTGTTCCAGGAAGCCAAGGCATGATGATGATGGCAGCTTACCCTGTGCTAGGCGCTGTTCTAAGTAGCTGATATATGCTTACTCCTTAAGCAGTAGCTGAATAGAATATTATGAGCACCAAGCCAGGCAACTCGGAGTTGTGACTAAAAGGTAGCATCATCAGGTGGCAGTGAGTGACATCGCTGCATCAGTATGGGCACGGCGGGCAGGTGGGCCCCCCCTTCTCTGGGCATCCTGAGTCCTACAGACGATAGGATGGAGTGTGTTTCTGAGCGGGTGTTTGCAGGGTGTCTGCCCCTGGGTTAGTAAGAGGATTTCCAGTTCTCTGGCCGCGAGGTCAGGTGGCCACAAAGCCAGGAGAGGAGCTGACAAGGTCTCCTCCCACACCTGCATCTAGTTGCTCCAAGGGCAAGGCACTGGAGCCAAACTCAACCCAGACTTGCCCCAATGGGTCCCGAGGGAAGGCAGGTGTCGGGAGAGCCCCCAGCCGGGGGGCTTTCTGGCCACTGTGACAGATGGTCATTTGGACAAGTGTGACACATCCACCTCCCCGCAAGGGGGAAGCCTTGCCTCCCCTACTCACTTGGCCCCTCGGCTGCTGTGGCTGAAGGAGAACTTGCAGAATGCCCTTTTTAATAGCTTGAGGGGCTGTGAGCTAAAACCCCCTGGAGAGGCCTCACCCCTTCCACTCTCAGGATGGCTATCAGCGCCACTGCAGGGCTCCTAGTGGCTTCAGAGCCGACACGTCAGATGGGCCGCACTCGGCACCTGCTTGAAACCAGATGGACACTTCTGTGTCTGGGGAGGCTGTGGCTTTGGTTTCTACCTGGAGGCAGCCCTGTAGGACCAAGTCTGTGATGGTGAGCATGGTCACAGGCTGATGTGCTCACCTGCCAGGGCATGTTCAGAAGCCTCACGGAGGGAACGCTGGTACCCCTGCCCCTCAAGTGCAGCCTGGGGCCCAGCGGCCTCAGCCCCACCTGGGAGCAGGTCGGAGATGCAGACACTCAGGCTCCCCGCAGACTGGGGAATCTGAATCTGCACTTCACCAAGGTCCCCAGGTGGTTCCTCTGCACATTCAAGCTTGAGAAGCACTGCCTTACAGCTCTTGTTCTCAACCCCAGCTGCACATCAGAATTGCCTGGGAGCTCTGACAAATCCTGACACTCAGGTTATGCCTCAGCCCAGCTGCTGGCAGTGGGGCAAGGGTGTGTAATTTTTGAAGCCCCACCCTGGTGATTTTGGAATGCAGGCAGAGTAGAGAACCACGGTTCTAGAGGTGTATCAACACCTTTGAGTGTGACCCTCGTGTCATCAGGGGAGCCTTCAGCTGGGGCGCCATGTATATGCAAATGGGGCTCACCCACAAGGACAAGGAGCTGCCACAAGCTTGGTTTCTGCACCATCCAGGCGATGGAAGCCACTCATGGCCAACGAGTGTTTTCCGGGTCTGTGACCTGGTGTGGAAGCTGGGCACACAGCATCATGGCGGGGAGAGGAGGGAGTCTCTGAAGTTGATCCAGTCCACTTCTGAGAGGTGCCTCTTCCAACACAGGCTTAAGGCAGCCCAGGAAGACCCAGCCTCTAATTGTTTAGGCTGCACTCAGAAGGCCTGGACAACTGGAGTTCCCTGGGAAGGGGCATGATGCTTTCTAATCCTGGGGGAGGACCTGGGAACAGTAGAGTTGATGGGACTAAAACACAACATGGTTGCTGTGTGGGGGCACCTGGTTCCACGTCCCATACGACAGTCTCCAGAACAAAAGGTTTTCCTTTGAGTCACTGAAGGCCAAATAAAGGAGAATGGAGGGACTGCAGCCTCCTAGAAATGGGAACTCAGCCGGGCGACTAAAGGCCACTTAGGCTGCATTTCACTTGAAACCAGTGGTGAGGCAGCAGCTCTACTCAGGGCACTACTGAACAGAGGGGACCACTCCTCCAGCAGGGCTAGAAATTGTGATCACCCAGGAATTCAGTTAGCCAGACTCTTAATACATAGTATGGCCCAAGACAGAAACTGCAGACATGGCCCAGGCCTAAGCCAGTCAATGTAGTTCTATCCCCTGGCAAGAGTGGCTGTTTCAGGGACAGGTATGTGACTGGTTTCAGGCCCAGGAGAGTGAAGCTCATGGATTTTCAGAATTGTTGCAAGAGAATATTTCTTTTCTGCTGGGCCTGGGAAAATGAGAGTCTATGAAGGAAGGAAGCACCGCACAATGAAGAGAGGAAAAGCAAATGCCTCTGGGGACTCTGTTGGGAGTCCTGGATCCAGCTATTCCTGAAGCTAGCTAGCTGTGATTTTCCAGATGAGCCATAAAACCTGTCTCTCTGGTTTTTTTAAAGCCAAACAAGCCTCATCTGCAACAGAAAGAGTCCCAACTCATTCCCTGAGCAAACAGGGGCTGGCTGAGTGATGTCAAACCATTTGAACCCCCCGATTCCACACGGAATGCTTTGTTTGGTTCCATTTTTAGATCTGTAGAACAAAGGGGCTTGGGATACTTTCAGGACTTTCAGTGACAGCCAGGACAGGCTGAGGCAATCTCTAAGGCAGGTATCAGTAGAAGCAGCATCTGTTTGTTGTGGATTCACAGGGTAGAGGGATGACCCCTTTGTATCAGGGTGACTTTTCAACAGCTCAGTAACCAGCAGAATAAGCAAACCTCAAGCTTTGGCCCATCCCCTGCACGTGCCCAGTGTGATCTGATGGCCACACTTCTCCTGCCAGGTGGGAAAGAACCTAGCAAAGGATGAAGCGTCTTAGAGTGAGACAGACATAGGCAGACCCAGGTAGTGGCAGCAAGGTCCTTGGATAGAAAGAGCTGCAAGTGGTGTTTGGGAAAGGAAGCCTTTGGATGTCTCATACAGTATTCTGTGCCCATTGGGAGCAGGGGCGGGGTGCCCTAGGGCAGGGCAGGTCACCAAAAACAAAAGAGACCACAAGACAGAAGGCTCCATGCCAACCCAGGGTGACTGGCACAGAGCTGGGAGGATGGAGGTCTTGTTGGCATGGAGGAACAGTGGTGTTTCTCCCATCCACATGCCTAGGCACCACAATCCACCTCCCAGAACTTGGGTGCTGGAGGCTGGAAGAAACACCAGGCTGGGTGGGATTAAGATGGCAGGCAGTCAGCCCTAGGGGCTCAAAGCATAAACAAGGCTGAAAGTTCTCAGGCGCCTGCACTGCTGGCCTGAGACCTGCACCTGGAAAGCTCAGCCTGGAGTCATGTACGTATCAGGTGCTCGGCAAGGGGCAGCAGCATATTGCTCCCACTGGTTCCCTGGCCCGTTGGGAAGAGCGTGTTTGTATAAAGCTAACACAGCCAGTGCAACGAACCAGAGATGACAAATTTCTACCATCCAGAGAATAAACCCGAGCCCGGGTAGAACAGAAGTAACTCCAAGTTCTGTCTTTACTGGAGCCCTGGTGTTGCTTAACAGCCTGGGCCTAGTAAGTTTCTCACCTATCAAAAGGGGAAAACAAGGCCTGTCATCCAGGCTGTTGTTTAGGACCGAATGAGATGATGTAATGTACAAAGGAGGGATGAAGCTAATGGCAGGGATTATTGCTCACTGTTATTTTTGGCATCTCTCAAAATGCAGCACATGGGCACCCACCCACACCACCTCCAGACAGACCTGCTCTGGCTGTCCCGTCCTAACTCACTGGGATTCAGAAATAGTGCCGCCCACAGGAGCTGATCGGTGGCTGGGAAGCGGCGTGTGTTGGGGGGATGGGGCAGGAGCGGGGCAGCAGACCCACAGGTGCCCCACCCACCTGGAGATACGGGCCAGTAGAGGGCATGAGGGGGGCGGCACGGCAGAGCCTGGTGCTAAGGAGGCCTGGAAGCACAGGCAAACACCTGCCCCTGCCTGCCACAGACCAGCAGCACTGAGTCCAAGAGGGAGCCTGGATCAGCAGCAATCTCCTACACTGGCCAAATAACTCAGGGGCCTGCACAGCTCACACAGCCAGGAGAAAGGGCTCAACACAGAAGGACAGGGAGGGCAATAGCCAGATATTGCCAAGTACCTATCACACTCTCTGCACAGGTCTTCAGAGAAGAAACATGCAGGGCTGGAAGCAGGCAAAATAGAGTAAGGTGGTGGGGCTGGACCTGAACCCCACCCTCTTCCACAGTGACAGAGCCAGGCAGCAGGACATCCCTGCCCATCACTGCCACCTGACCCAACTCCAGTGGACAGAGGATTGCATGGATGATCCTATATACACAAAATTGTTAGGTCCCCTGCCTAAAATTCACGTGTTGAAACCTAATCCCCAGTGCAATGGTATTAGGAGGTGGGACCTTTGGCAGGTGATTAGGTAATGAGGGTGGAGCCCTCACAAATGGGATCTGTGCCCTATAAAAGGGACCCCAGAGTGTTCCCTCACTCCTGCTATGTGAGAACACAGAGAGAAGACAGCTGTCCATGAACCAGGAAGGGGACTCTTGCCAGACACCAACCTGCCAACGCCTTCATCTTGAACTTTTTGGCTCCCAGAACTGTGAGAAAGGCACTGCTGTTGTTTGTGAGCCGCCCAGTTCATGGTATTCTGTTAGAGCAGCCTGACAGGACTGAGACCTATCCCCACCTGCAGGCACCTGAAAAACAGGAGGATGGACTTGGGCCTTCCAGAGAGTGCAGTCAGATCCTGTGCCTGCTTCTTCAAACCTTGGAACAAGTGACCACTGAGTCAGCTTCAGCTCAAAAGGAAGGTAGCAAGAGGGTGCAGGGCATAGAAAGGTGTAGGAGTGTGGAAGGGTGTGTATCTATGGCAATTAGGCATCTGTACCATGGGACCATCAGAAGAAGTCGAAGCTCAAATACAGGGGCTGTGGTTCATAGAGATGATCCAGTCTAGACAGTGACTGAAATCTGCTGCTGGGGCCAATTCCTCAGCAACTATGAAGGGTGTGTGAGACGTAAGGCTTGGATAATATGGGATCGGAACTCCTGACTTCATATCAGTACCCTGTACTAGGCTGATTTAAAGGTCTCTCTTTTAACTTATGCCGAGGAGCTGCTAAACCAAGGGGGAGGATGTTGGTGGGAAAAGCTACTGCATTTTTTTTCCAGTTTTGTTATGGTGGTAAAATACATAGCAACTGCATTTTTAAAGTTTCTCAGCAGAAATAAATAACAGCCAAAAGCCATAATGATGCTGTTGGATGCTAATGTTTACCATTCAGAATGAAATAACTGTCATGAAAATATGACTGACAGGGTGTGGTATGAACTTAAAAAAATAAGCTCAATAAAACTGCACAAGGGGATAATAGAAAATGCAGATGAAAATATGGCCTTCAGAGGCTCAGAATCTCAGAGGTGGTAAAAACTGGAGCTCTCACTTGGCAACCAACCAACCATTTTTCAAGCAATGGAACTGAGATTGACAGGTTCTGCAACTTGCCTCAGGACACAAAGTGAATGAGTGACAAAACTGATCTCTCTTGGTTAATCAAATATGATGATATCAAACATTCAATGTGATTCAAAACACTTTAAATAATAAAACCAAAAGCAAGTGACATCAGCAAAAATGACAGAATAAGGATCTCCAAAAACTCTCTCCCCCATGAAAATAATGAGAAAACTGGTTAAAAAAAAAAAAGGTCAGAATGAACTTTGTCAGAACTCTGGAAATTAATGCAATAATTCAGGGAACATTTATTTGAGATAAACAGCCAAATCTCGGTAAAATTAGTGAGCTCTACAGCATTTTAGCTTGCCATATTTCACTACCCTGCTCTCTAGTTCCATGGCAGCCTTGACAACCAACAGCTTCCTAATAACTGTATAAACCAGCAGCCTGGCAGCTGCTGGAAGGGGACAACTGGGTTGAAGATTCTTCAAAGCTTCATTCTCAGAGATTTGTCATTAATTGACCTGGCTGGTGGTTCCCTGAAAAACCTCACTTGCAAGAAGGAAAACCCACTATGACCTGAGTCAGAAGTCACCCAGTGTGAAAAGCCTTTTCTCTCCCACTGAGGTGCTTGCTGAAGACAATTACCGGCAAATATTTAACTTCACAGCTGCCTGAGGAAGTGAATAACAGTTGGGGCAAACAACAGATTGTCTAAAAAGCTTGCAAGGAAGCTCAGCATATCCCTGGGTATCTAGAATATCACCTGCGCATATACTCAGGGAAGGCCTGAGAAGGCCCTAACTAAGCTCTCAAGGCTGATCTTGAGATTCTGCACAAATAGGAAGAGAGGGTTTAGACAGAGTCATCAACTGCCTGGTTGAGTGTTGAAAGGAGTGTCCCAACATGCACACAGAGATTTCAGCAAATATTGGGAGGTTTACTAGTTCTAAATGTTTAAGAAAATCTCAGTCTGATCATTAGCTGATTGCTAAGCCAACTAGGCAGAGACTTCAGTGGCCACACATGACAAAAATATAAACCTTACAGAATTAGTTCAGAAAAGTCAATAAACAAAGAACAACAACAACAAACCCTAGGGAGAGAGAAAGAATCTAATATTCTAAGTTGCCACATTATATTTTTAAAATTTTCAGCAAAAAATTACAAGATATAAGAAGAAACAAGAAAATATGGTCCACATATAGGGAGCCCAGTCAGATCTGCTAGACAAAGAACTTAAATAAATTCTTTTAAATATTTTCAAAGAATCAAGAAAACATATATAAAGGAGAGTATGAGAATGATGCCTCATCAAATAGACAATACACATAAGGAAAAATTTTTAAAGAGAACCAATAGAAGGTCTGGAGTTGCAAAGTACAATTACTGAAATTTAAAAATCACTAGAGGGGCTCAATAGCATATCTAAACTAAAAGAAGAAAGATTCAGTGAACTTGAAGACAGGTCAATTGAGATTAGCCAATTTAAGGCATCGAAAAAAATAACAATGAAGAAAAATGGCTTGGCACAGTGGCTCATGCCTATAATCCCAGCAGTTTGGGAAGCTGAGGCAGGAGAATTGCTGGTCAGGAGTTCAAGACCAGCTTGGGCAACATAGCAAGGTCCTATCTCTATTTAAAAAAAAATTAAAAATTGGCCAAACATGTTGTGTGCACCTGTAGTCCCAACTACTCAGGAGGCTGAGGCAGAGGATTTGCTTGGGCCCTGGAGGTCAAGGCTGCAATGAGCCATGATCAAGCCACTGCACTCCAGCCGGGGTGACAAAGAAAAAAAGAAAAAGAAAAATGAACAGAGCCTCAAAGACCTTGGGGTAGGATACCACTGAGCATACAACGTGTACACTGAGAGCCACAGAAACGGAGGAAAGAGAAAGGTGCAGAAAGAATATTCAAAGAACTAGTAACTGAACACTTCCAAAATTTGAGGAAAACACGACCCATTCAAGAAGCTTGATGACCTTCAAGGAGGATAAACTCAAAGAGATCGACACCTAGACATATCATAATCAAACAGTCAAGCCCAAAGACAAAGAGAGAATCTGGAAAGCTGCAAGAGAGAAGTGACTTATCACATATAAGATAAAATTAGTAACTGATTTATCATGAAAAGTTATGGATGCCAGAAGGCACTGAGATGAACTATCCAGGCTGAAGGAGAAATACTGTGGACCAAGAACACTATATCCAGCAAAACTACCCTTCAAAAATAAAAGGAATGGGGAGAAATTGCTTAACGAGTATAGAGTTTTCTTTTGGGGTGAAGAAAATGTTTTGGAACTAGATACATGTGGTGGTTGTACAACACTGTAAATGCACTGTCACTAGATCATTCAGTTTAAGATGATTAATTTTATGTTACATGAATTTCACCTCAATTTTTAAAAGAAGGGAAAATTAAGACATTCCAAGATAAACAAAAACCATAGAGAAATTAGCACTAGCAAACCTGTCTTACATGAAATGAGCATTGAACAGTAATCCAAATCCAAATGAAAGAATAAAGAGTACTAGTTAAGGCAATTACATGGGTAAAAATAAAACATAGTATAAATATACTTTTGTTTGTAATTTTTTCCTTCTAATTTAAAAGACGACTGTGGAAAGTAATAGCTATAAATCTGTGTTAATGAGCATATAAAGACATAATGTGTATAACAACAGCACAGAAAAGGGAGGAGGGAATAGACATATGTAAGAGCAAAGTTTTTGTATATTATTGAAATTAAGTTGGTATTAATCCAGACTAGATTGTTATTAATTAAGATGCAATCTGAAACCCCCAGGGCAATTACTAAGAAAATAACTAAAAAAATGGTAGAAGAAATGGCAAGGGAATTAAAATGGTACACTAGAAAATATCTGTTGAACATCAAAGGAGCAATGGAGGAATAGAGACACAAAAAAGACATGAAATGTACAGAAACCAAAGGGCAAAATGGCAGATGTAAATCCCACCTTATTAAAAATTATGTTAAGTAAAAATCACTCAAATACTCCAATTAAAAGGCAGAGGTTAATAGAATAAAATTTTAAAAAGATCTACATCTATGCTGTATACAACAGACACATTTAAATTCAAAGACACAAATAGGTTGAAAGTAAAAGAATGGAAAAAAATATATACTATGAAAACAGTAACCAAGCCGGGCGCAGTGGCTCACGCCTGTAATCCCAGCACTTTGGGTGGCCAAGGCAGGTGGATCATGAGGTCAGGAGATTGAGACCATCCTGGCCAATATGGTGAAACCTCATCTCTACTAAAATACAAAAAATTAGCCAGGCATGGTGGTATGCACCTATAGTCCCAGCTACTCGGGAGGCTGAGGCAAGGGAATCGCTTGAATCTGGGAGACAGAGGTTGCAGAGAGCCGAGATCATGCCACTGCACTCTAGCCTGGCAACACAGCAAGACTCTGTCAAAAAAAAAAGGGGGGGGAAGAAAAGAAAAGAAGGAAGGAAGGAAGGGGAAGGAAAGAAGGAAGGAAGGAAGAAAAGAAGGAAGGAAGGGGAAGGAAGGAAAGAAAGAAAGAAAAAGAAAGAGAGAAAGAGAAAAAGAAAGAAAGAAACAGAAAAAGAGAGAGAAAGAAAGAAAGAAAGAAAGAAAGAAAGAAAGAAAGAAAGAAAGAAAGAAAGAAAGGAAACAGTAACCAAAACAGAGCTGGAGTGGCTATACTAATAACAGAAAAAATATTGTCTGTTTAAGATAAAAATTACTACAGACAAAGTGGGAAATTGTATAATGACAAAAGTACCAATGAATCAAGATTAAACAACCACACACATATGTGCATCTAATATCAGAGGCCAAAAATACATGAAGCAAAGCTGACAAAACTGAAGGAAGACAGCAGTAATAGTTGGAATCTTCAATACCCTACTTCAATAATTCATAGAAAAATTAAACATAAGATCAATAAGGAAATAGGAGACTTGAAAAGCATGCTACGCCAACTAGACCTAGCAGACATCTATAGAATACTCATCCAGTAATAGCAGAATTCACATTCTTCTCAAAGGCACATGGAACATTATCCAGGATAGACCATCTCTCAGGTCATAAAATAAGTCTCAACAAATTTTTGAAAATTTAAATCATGCAAGGTATGTTCTCCAACCACAACAGAATTGTTAGAAATCACTAACAAAAGAAATTTGAGAAATTCACAAATAGATTGAAATTAAACAACACACTCCTAAATAACCAATGGATCAAAGAAGAAATCATAAGAGAAGTAGAAAATACTTTGATATTAATAAAAACAAAACCACCACATACCAATATTTATGGTATGCAGTTAAAACAATGCTTGCAAGGATATTTATAGCTGTAAGTGACAATGTTAAAAAAGAAGAAAAGTCTCAAATCAATTACCTAAACTTCCACTTTGAGGAATCAGAAAAAGAGCAAGAGAAACTGAAAGCAAACAGGAGAAAAACAATAATAAAGATTAGAGAAGAAATTAATAAAATTGAGAGTAGAAAAACAAAGAAAACTAACAAAACCAAAAGTTAGTTCTTTGAAAAGACCAATGAAATCAACAAACCTTTAGTTAGACTGACCAAGAAGAAAGGAGAGAAGGCTCAAATTACGGAAATTAAGAATGAAAGAGGGGACATCACTACCAACATTACAGAAATAAAGATGATAAGAAAATAATACAAACAATGGCATGCCAACAAGCTAGATAACCTAAATGGTCAAATTTCTAGAAAGACACAAACTACCAAAACTGACTAAAGAAGGAATAAAAATTATGAATGGACCAAAACAACCGAAGAGATTGAATTAAGACTTTTAAAACTTCCCGCAAAGAAAAGCCAAGGCTCAGGTGGCTTCTACCAGATAAATTCTACTAAATGTTTAAAGAATAGTACAAATTATGTATCCCTTATCCAAAATGCTTGGGATCAGAAGTGTTTCAGAGTTAGGGGTTTTCCAGATTTTTGAATATTTTACATTATATATACCAGTTAAGCATTCCAAATCCAAAAATCCTAAATCTGAAATGCTGCAATGAGCATTTCATTTGAGCCACATGTCGATGCCCAAAGCATTTGAAACTTTGGGGGCTGGGCGTGGTGGCTCACACATGTAATCCCAGCACATTGGGAGGCCGAGGTGGGTGGACCACCTGAGGTCAGTAGTTCGAGACCAGCCTCGTCAACACGGTGAAACCCCGTCTCTACCAAAAATACAAAAACTAGCTGGGCATGGTGGTGGGCACCTGTAATCCCAGCTACTTGGGAGGCTGAGGCAAGAGAATTGCTTGAACCCAGGAGATGGAGGTTGCAGCGAGCCAAGATTGTGTCATTCCAGCCTGGGTGACAAGAGCAAGACTCCATCTCAAAAATAAATAAATAAATAAATAAATAAAAGATTCCAAACTTTGGGCTGGACGCAGTGGCTCACATCTGTAATCCCAGCACTTTGGAAGGCCAAGGTGGGCGGATCACTTGAGGTCAGTAGTTCAATACCAGCCTGGCCAACATGATGAAACCGTCTCTACTAAAAATAAAAAAATTAGCCAGGCATGGTGGTGGTCACCTGTAATTCCAGCTACTCAGGAGGCTGAGGCAGGAGAATCACTTGAATGTCGGAGGCAGAGGCTGCAGTGAGCCAAGATCACGCTACTGCACTCCAGCTTGGGTGACAGAGGGAGACTCCGTCTCAAAAAAAAAAAAAAAAAAAAAAAAAAAAATCCAAACTTTGGAGCTTTTTGGGTTTCAGAATTTTGGATTTGGGATGGTCAACCTGTAATGGGTACATGGTTTCTTTTTCGGGTAATGAAAGTGTTCTGGAATTAGATAGTATTGATGGTTCACAACCTTGTTTGGGGATATGCTAATTATATGTCAATTATTTTAAAAGTAGAGAGGAGGAAGTGAAACAATAGCAATCTAAGACAGTTATAACAATGTAAATCCTGGATATTTTTTTTCTTTCTTATTTGGTCAAGTTGAACATAATTTGGAAGGCTGTATACAAATCATAAGCCCTTTACATTTTTTGTCCTAAAAGTATGTGACTTTCTATTTTATTTATTTCAAACCTTTTCCACATTGTGAAAGCTTTCAATAAAGTTGGAAGGCATGAGTCAGACTAGGAGGAAGTATATATAACATATACAATAAAGGGTGTCTGCGTGACTGTATCCATCCTTGATTTATAAAGAGGTCCTATAAAGCAGTATGAAAAATGGTAAAAATTCAATTGAAAAGTAGGCAAAGGACATGTAAAAACAATTCACATGATAGCAAATTCAAAATGGGCAATCCTACTGAAAACTAAATGTAACAATCAGACTCCTGGAAATTTAAGAAGGTAGACACTACTCAATTGGCAGAGTATGAGAAATAGGCATGCCAACATACTGCTTGTAGGAGTAAAAAAATCATATACCTTTCTTGGACAGCCATTTGGCAATTTCTATCAAAATCTTAAAAGTACTCATCCTTTGACCAGGCAATTCCACCTCTGGGAATCTATTCTACAGAAATATTCACAGAGGCAAATGTAGATAAATGAATAAATATATTCCCAGCAGTCAGGTTTGTATTAAAAAATTATACATATCATAAATATTCCTTGGTAAGAGAATGATTAGCTACTAAAGGGTAGCTAAAAGAAATGAGGTAGATCTATTTATGGACATAGAAGTATCTATAAAATATATTGTAAATTAAAAAAAAAAGATCTGAGCAGGCCAGGCGTAGTGGCTCACACCTGTAATCCCAGCACTTTAGGAGACTGAGGTGGGCGGATCACTTGAGGTAAAGAGTTCGAGTCCAGACAGTCAACATAGTGAAACCCCATCTCTACTAAAAATACAAAAATTAGCCGGGTGTGGCGGCAGGCACCTGTAGTCCTAGCTACTCCGGAGGCTGAGGCAGGAGAATCGCTTTAACCCAGAAGGCAGAGGTTGCAGTGAGCCAAGATCACACCACTGCACTCCAGCCTGGGCGAAAGAGTGAGGCTCAGTCTCAAAAAAAAAAGAAATAAAATAAAATTTTTTTAAAAATGATCTGAGGAAAACATGCATATATACAGTATGATTTTATTTTTGGAAAAAAACCCTAAACCCTAATATGCATATTATATATATGTAAATGTAGCCAGTGATAGACCCAGCTGGACTCCTTACGGTGAAAGCAGAAACCCACTGCACCCTTCCTCACACTCTTACTAAACTCACTCTGTGGCCCTGCTCTGCCTCTCCGAGGGACCTCAGCCACAGATTTTTTTGGTTTCTCTGATACCTGGGCCTGGCCTCTCCACCGCCAGCTCACAAATCCCTGGCCGGCTCCCGTGTGGGGAGCCTATACCCTGACATCACCCCTTGCAGGAGCATCTTCGGCCCAGAAAGGCCCTTCCCAGGTGCCCTCAGCCTCCAGGCACAGCAGCAGGGAGCGGGGCACAGGGAGGGAAATGGGCTCCTTGCACCATTCTCCAAGGTAATCCTCTCCACCTGAAAGTGCACCTCTGTAGCAGGCTGGAGGTCACTAGATCCAGTCTGCCTTCACCACATCATGGGACAAGGAGCTGTCTGATGCTACCAAACTGTCCTCAGTCAAGAGAAGGAACCCTATTTTTTTTTTTAGACGAGTCTCGCTCTGTTGCCCAGGCTGGAGTGCAGTGATGCGATCTCAGTTCACTACAAGCTCCGTCTCCTGGGTTCACGCCATTCTCCTGCCTCAGCCTCCCAAGTAGCTGGGATTACAGGTGTCCATCACCACACCTGGCTAATTTTTTGTATTTTTTAGTAGAGACGGGGTTTCAACATGTTAGCCAGGATGGTCTCGATCTCCTGACCTCGTGATCTGCCCTCCTCGGCCTCCCAAAGTGCTGGAATTACAGGCATTAGCCACTGCACCCCGCCTGAAGGAGCCCTATTTTCATATCCTGCTGTGTAAACATATCAAAAAGATCTGGAAGGATACACAATGGCTTTATCTCTGGGGAAGGGATTATATCTTTTTACTTCTATTGCTTCTGTAGTGTATTTTCCCCCAATTACATCATGTAATTAAGCGATAGTTAAAAAGAAGGAAGTCTCCCACGTCTATTTCTGTCCCCCTCATTTTGAACAGGTTGTCTTTTACTGAGGAAATCCATGCCGTCAGGGGTAGCCCAGTCAGGGCATAAGAATCAGCAAATACTTATGATCGCATCCACACGAACGCCCGTGCACCACACAGTGGAGACCCTGGGTGCCACCCCCAGAGGCGCTGACTGAATTCACTGGGCATGGGCGTGGGCATCAGGCTGTGTTCAAGCTCCCCAGGAGATTCCGAGGGGCAGCCAGGGTCAAGAAGCAATGGGCTTGCTCCTCTCAACAGGGCCCAGAGCACACTCAGCTACTCCGTGCCTGCACTCACCTCCCCTACACACCACTTCCTCTTCCTCCGCCAGTGGCGCTGGCTATATAGTTCGAATCAGCAATGCTTCTGCTTAAGCTCTGATTCAAGACACTTCTTTCCAAGCGGAAAGCGATATTTTAGGTATAGGGGGAGGGAAAGCAGAGTGGGAAGAGGGTGAGAACACCCCCTCCCATCACATCTCCATAAATGATTTGGCTGCGAAGTCACCCTGAAGGAGAGAGATGGCTCAGGAGAGGCCACATGAGGAAGAGCGTCAATGTGAATTAGCACACAGAAGCAACAACACAACCACACCACATAAAAGCAGCATGAACCTGAGAGGCTGGGCAGAGTGGCCATATAAAATAGCCGGAGATGTGATTTCCCAATGTACGATGGAAAATCCCCGGAGTTACCTAAAGTCACGCACAGAGGGGTGCGGGGCGGGCCCTCCTGGCCCAGCACTGGTGAGTGGGTGGCAATCTGTGTAGTGAGAGAAGTGAGGCCAATATATTTATATATACGCAATGAGAAAACAGGCAAGAAACGGTGTGGGGAAAGAAGCTCTGAGAACCTTCTCCAACAGCCTCAACTCCTCAGCCTCTGTCCTCTCCCTGGATGGCATCTGGAGATCATGTCCCGTGGTTTAACACACTTATTTTCAAGTATGTCAACAGTTATGATCTCCCTAAGCAGAATGTAAGCAAATCCGAAGACAGTGACCTGCACCTAGATGTCACTGATTACATTCCTGTTGGTGGCTGTGCATGGTGGCTCATGTCTGTAATCTCAGCACTTTGGGAGGCAGAGGTGGGAGGATTACCTGAGCTCAGGAGTTCAGGACCAGCCTTGGCAACATAGCAAGAGCTCAACTTTACAAACACAAAAAATTAAAAATTTAGCCAGGTGTGGTGACATGCACCTGTGGTCTAGCTACTCAGGAGGCTGAGGTTGGAGGATCACTTGAGCCTGGGAGATTGAGGCTTCAGCGGTCCATGATCATACCACTACGCTCCAGCCTGGGCAACAGAGGAGACCCTGTCTTAAAAAAAAACAAAAATATTCCTGTTGGTGGCTGGCTCTGGGATCTCATAGATGCCTCTGTCCATTCATCAGAAAATTTGTCCTCAGCAGCTTCTAGCTACAAGCACCATGCTAGGTGCCTAGGATACAACAGTGACAACAGAGGGAGGGCCTTGATGGCAAAGATCTTATAGCCTAGATCTAGAATTATGACACACACAGTTGGGCAGGTGCTGGGATAGAAGGATTGGTGGTTTTGAGGGCAGGAAGGACGGACGCTCAGCTTGGAAGACAGAACTAGGCTGAAGTTGGACAGGTGAACGGAAAACATACCAGACAAATACGGTGCGTGGGAAGGAGGGAAAGAACAGGGAAGACGAGATTCCAGGTCCAGGGAATGGCAGATGTAGAGGCCCGGAGGCAGGGGGGAACATAACCTGCTCAAGGCCCTGGAAGAAATTCAGTATCACTGAAGTTTTGAGAGCTGGATTAGGGTGGGGAAGGGAACTAAGTAGAGGGGGCTAGATGATTCCAGAACATTACACCATGCTAAGGTGTTTGGATTCTATTCTAAAGGTAATTAAAGCACGGCAAGATTTTAGTCAGAGGATCTCATGATCAAATTCAACTGTGAGGAAGATCCATCCCCTTGGTTACAGGGTTGCTATGGTCTGAATGTTCATGTCCCCTCAAAATTCGTGTGTTGAAATCTTAACCCCAAGCTGATGGCTTTAGGTGGTGGAGGCTCTGAGAGGTGATTAGGTCATGGGGCTGGGGCCTTCATGAATAAGATAAAAGAGAACCCAGAGAGCTCGCTTGCCCCTTCCACCATGAGAGGACACAGCAGGAAGGTGCTACCTACGAACCAGAAAGTGGATTCTCACCAGATACTGAATCTGCTGGCGCCTTGATCTAGGACTTCCGGCCTCCAGGACTGTGAGCAAACAATCTCCAGAAGTTTGTTACACCAACTCAAATGGACTAAGACAGGGCAGAACCGGGAGTGGGGGGCTGTGGCAGGAGGGCTGGCTGGTGGCATGGGACAGGAGGAGTAGGCCAATTTGAGGACAGAACACACAGGACACGGTGCCTGAAGCAAGGCCAGGAAGTGAGGAGAAGACACGGCAAGCATGCACCCAGGTTTCACATGCGGGCATGAGAGTGGATGGTGGAGTCCCTCGCTGAGACAAGACACAGCTGTGCTGGGGAGAGTTTTGGACACATGCATGACTTCAGACAAGAAAATATTTCAGAGGAATAAATCAAGAGCTGAACAGGAATAACTCTTCTAAATTCATCAATTTCATATAAACAAACATATTCATATAAATAGTCTCAAAAGGAAATAAATCCTGAGAGTGGCCCAAAAAAAATCCACCCAAACCTGTGCCCTACATTCACCTTAAGGGGCAAGTCTGGGGCAGAGCTGCAAACTCCACAATCTTTTATGCAGCAGAGGAAACCAGACTGTGACCTTCAGGGAGTCCTGACAGCTGCTGTCGGCAGAATGATTGACACTCACAACATGGAAGTGAGCCCTAGGCTGGGGATGTGTTTAAACCTCAGCACAGAACCAACACCCTGCGTCTGGAGGGAGGGCTGGGGTCTGAGCCTGTTGTCAGTGACTACCAAGCTTGTCCAACCTATCTTACTTTGTTGTTGTTGTTCTGTTTTGTTTTCTTTTAGGCTTTTAGCAGCCTGAAGCCATGGTTTTTAGTTTCTGTCTCTAGCGATAAGTGGAAAAGAGGGATGAGGAAGGGGCTTTACTAGACCAGCCAGAAATAGAAACTAAGAACCCATGACTGTACTCTCTCTCCCTTGGACACCCCTGGCAGGCATTGCTCACCCTTCTGGAAATATTTTGCGTTATTTCTAAAGGATAGCACCATAAATCGGCCTTGGGTTTGACATACAAGCCCATGGGTTTTGACACACATGTAGAGTCATGTAGCCACCAGCACAGTCAGGATGCAGAATTGTCCCATCACCACCCCACCCCTAAAATCCTCCCCCATGCTGCTCCTTTATAGCCACACACTCTTCCCCCTGGCAACCACTGATTTGTTCTCCGTCACGATCGTTCTGTCTCTTTGAGAATGTCACAAAAATGGAATCGTACAGTATGTAACATTTTGAGACTGGCTTCTTTCACAAAGTGTGATGCTTTTGAGCTTCATCCAAGCTGTTGCATGTACCGGTGGTTTGTTCCTTTTACCCTTCTGGTATTAAACGTGAAGGCACTGACAGCATCGCTAAATATATATTTGCCTTGCTCCTCTTAGCACCTACCTTTTATCTTGCACGGACGCCAAAGAAATCATCTCAGTCACAGGTGTCCTTATCTCAGCATACCAGATTCATTACATGGAGTATGCAGAAAATCAGTGACTTCTGCTGAAACAGATGAGCAAAACACCAAAACCTTGAAGGTTTCATAACTTTTTCTGGTCACTTTAGATTCCTAAAGTAGGGAGGTTCCATGTAATCCAATGAAAGGAGAAAAATTAACCTTTATTTTCATTATTTACAAACCTAACTTGGGAGATATAGTTAAGACTCAAGTTATAGTTTTTCCTTACCATTCCCACAAAAATAAGAGGGGACTAGAGGTGCATATAATCATGGGTTCAGCTGTTCACAGACTTTTGAGCTAGAAGGCAACTCTGGATAATATCCTTGTTTGACAATGTACCCAGCAAACATTTACTGGATGCCTGCCTGTGCACAGCACAGTACTAAAAACAGAGACAGGGGGTGCAGCTCCTGCCCTCCAGGCGGACAGTCCCAGGAGATCCCAGTTGCGGAGCCCACTGTGAGGTTCAGCGGCTGGCTTATTACTGCCCTCTCTGCACCTTGCTTAGGTTCCATTAAAATCCTGATGCTCCCCAAGCTTTCGCCACCAGTGGGTGGGTCAAGGAGCCTCAATGCAGCTGGGGAAGCTGCTAAGGGATTTACAGGTTGTCACATATAATCCAAAATGGTGAATTCATAATAAAGAATCAAGAGTTAGTTATATTAGGCTCTAGCAACTCTAAAGGTCAAGATACAAAGATGATGAAATCCGCTGAAGGAAAATCCTCTGTTGGTCCCTTGACTGGAATGTGAATGTGAGGCTTAACTCTCAGACAGTATTTCACACATAAAAGAGAAAAAACAGCAATGATCAATACTCAAGTGAAGAGCCATGGGCAAGCCAGCTTGGTATGCAATGTGGGGGCCTCAGAGAGGTCACCTCGCTAAGAGCGTGGGGAGAGAAGACATGCCCACAGTAAAAGCATCAAAGCATGGTGTCATGTGACAAGTGACAAATGTGAGGCCTAGAAGAGAAATGTCGCAGAAGTTCAAAAAACGGAGGGCCAGGGTGACCAGCCAGCTCTTCGCATCACAGTCAGGTAGGGCACACCTCCAGTCACATTACCTGGTCACAGTGAGCATGCTCGGGGCCAGGGCACATGCACCAGAGTCAGATGGGCTTGCGGGAGCTGAGTCTGACCTCCTTGGCCTGCCCTCGTCTGCCCAGACCCACAGCATCTGCCTGTGGCTCCCACATTGTCTAGAGCTCAGCAGGGCCCACGATGCCCTGAGCGTCTTTCTGACAACATGGAGAAAAACTGAGCCGTTGTGCGGATGAGGAAGGGAGGCCACGTGTCCCATCCCTATGTGCCTCAAGGATGAGTGCAACAGAGCCGCCGCCGCTGTGTTTAAGCAGCATAAAGGCTGACCTGTTCTCATGCCTAGAATAGCAAGAGCCTATTTCAAAGAAGATAATATTTTTTTTCTTAAATAGAAGATGAATGCACTTATTTCTGCCAGAAGGTAATCGTCTCCCAAAAGGGGGAAGACAGGCTGAAATCCAGACAGGGGTCACAATTCACAGCCTCTTTTTGTTGTAACTGAAAAATCCCCAGTGATAGTTCATGGCTACCAGGCCTCCCTAAAGTCAAGACGCCAGCAACACACCCTCTGCTTTGTCAAACCAAACAGGGACCTGAATATAAACAAGCTGACATGTCTGGGATGTGCCCCTCCCACCCCACCAAGGCAGGGTGGTGGCAGGAACATGAAATTCACCTGCCACCATGCAAACCAGACCATTCCCCAGACTCCAGTGAAGCAATTCCCTGCAGCCACTCCTCTGCCAGCCTGCGGGCCGCTGGGCCACACAAAGGGGTGACACAAGAGCTCTTAACCTCAGACGTTAAGCCTTTTAAAAATGTACAAGTATGTAATAAGCACCCAAGTGACAAAGATACACAAGAGTCCTCATAGGACCTTGTAGTCAGAGGGAGAGCAGACATAGACAGTTGAAGGAGTCTCCACCAGAAAGAGAAGAATGTTCTTACGGCAGTGCAGGAGCAGGTGCCAAGTGGACAGCCCAGACGCTGTGATCCCATGTGTGTGGAACACCTGGGACTGCAGTTGAGCCTGAAGGACAGTGAGGGAATGGCCAGGGGTGGCCCCACAGGCAAGGGGAGTGCCCTAGCAGGGGGCACTGGTGGCAAAGAGCAAGATGTGCTCAGCAGTCAGAGGGGCCCAGTGAGACTGGAGTGAAAAAAAAAGGCATCTATGGAGGAAATGAGAGAAAAGGGCTGAAAGGCCAGGGTGGCCTGATGCTGGAGGCCCGAGGCTGGCGCTGTTAAGAAGTATGTCTGAGAAGTCTTAGCTCAGTGGGGAAGCAGGTGGACAGAGGCTCAGCAGGAGGGGAGGCAGGGAATGGAGGCTCAGTGGGAGGGG
Source organism: Homo sapiens (assembly GCF_000001405.40). NCBI lineage: Eukaryota > Metazoa > Chordata > Mammalia > Primates > Hominidae > Homo > Homo sapiens. The sequence goes on from NC_000002.12 coordinate 98,899,822, forward strand.
AGGCAGATGGACAGAGGCTCAGCAGGAGGGGAGGCAGGGAATGGAGGCTCAGTGGGAGGGGAGGCAGATGGACAGAGGCTCAGCAGGAGGGGAGGCAGATGGACAGAGGCTCAGTAGGAGGGGAGGCAGATGGACAGAGGCTCAGTAGGAGGGGACACAGATGGACAGAGGCTCAGCAGGAGGGGAGGCAGGAGGACAGAGGCTCAGCAGGAGGGGAGGCAGATGGACAGAGGCTCAGTAGGAGGGGAGGCAGATGGACAGAGGCTCAGCAGGAGGGGAGGCAGATGGACAGAGGCTCAGCAGGAGGGGAGGCAGGGGGACAGAGGCTCAGTGGGAAGGGGAGGCAGATGGACAGAGGCTCAGTAGGAGGGGAGGCAGGGGGACAGAGGCTCAGTGGGAGGGGAGGCAGGGGACAGAGGCTCAGTAGGAGGGAAGGCAGGGGACAGAGGCTCAGTGGGAGGGGAGGTAGGGGACAGAGGCTCAGTAGGAGGGGAGGCAGGGGGACAAAGGCTCAGTAGGAGGGGAGGCAGAGGATGGAGGCTCAGTGGGAGGGGAGGCAGGGGGATGGAGGCTCAGTGGGAGGGGAGGCAGGAGGATGGAGGCTCAGTGGGAGGAGTGCCCTGGTACCCCTGTGGCAGAGGCAGGCCACAAAACCCACCCAGCAACCACACCTCCAATACCCTCCTCCTCTGGCTTTTCAAAGGAGTCTGGGGGACTAGGTGAGAAAAAGAACAGGGGTGGGAGTAGGGCCTGTCCCCTCTGTGTGCACACGTTTGTGCATGTGTGTGGGCGTGTGCATGCGTGCGTGCAGGTGTGTGTGCATGCGTGTGTGTGGAGGGTGGCGGTGCTGTTTAGTAAAGTACTGTTTGTCAGCTCCTTGGTCCCAAGAGATGGAGAAAGGCAGGCCTCTCAAGAACACTCAGCACCCTCCTTCCATCCTGACTTGGCACCCTGAAAATGACGCAAGGGCCCAAGCCCAGCCAGGGAGAAATCTGGCCACTCCACTCCACAGCCTCGTTGGGCAGAGCAGATCAGTCACAGGAAACAGAGACTCCAGTGTGGCTGCGGGAGGGTGCCTCACCAGTGAAGGAGAAGGTCACCCGGCTCCACCTTCTATAATGGTGCCAGGAGGCAGGTGAAGGAAGTCAAGCTCCAGAGGAAGGAGCGCTGAGCCCTTCCCCTCACTTAGGACAGAAAGCGATTCTGCAAGCAATGGGGTTGGCGCACAGGGTCAAGCATGTAAAAGCACGTGGCTCTGCCAGCCCTGAGTTTTTCCCTTGGCTCCACTACTTAGAGTACCGTGACCTTGGACAGGTTCTGCAACCCCTCTCATCTGTGAAATGGGCTCATCCCTCTTTGCAGGGTTGTTGAGAGTTAAATGCCGATGTGTTGGCACAGAGCCTGGCCATAGAAAGGGCTCAATAAATGGTGACCATTTTGACCATGATGGGCCACTGAGCCTCTGCCACAGTGGGAAAGTTGCCAGCATGACACAATAGGACCTCTGGTTTTAGTTCCCACCAAGATCTGCCCAACACAGTGCTTGGGAGAACCCTGATCTTCTATATACAGATCACAGGGCATGGCACAAACCTCAGTCCCAGGGCTCCCCCCATCCAGAGCTCAGAGCCCTGAAGGGCAGAGCAGATGACCTGGGTGGCCAGCCCACGTGGCCTGAGGCCCTAACCAACAAGCAAACTGGGGGCCGCAGGTGGACAGCACAGCCCACAGGGCACCTTATCCTGGATGTGTGACGGGATCTCACACAAAAATCACATCAGACCACAGGGCCTGCAGTTCTCCAGAAATCCTATGTCTTCTCAAAGTCCTGAATCACAAAAGAGACAGTCTAGAGTCTCCAATTTATACTCTGGGATAGGGCCTCTTTGTTAGAGTCTGGAATCTGGGGTCAGAATGAGCAAAATTGAGTGAACCCCCCTGGGTGTGCATCAAGCGACCTGATGCCAGTGAGTATTAACAACAAGTGACCTGGTGCTGGTGAGTATTAACAACAGCTTGCTGGGAACACACTGCGCCCAGCTGGCTGCACATCAGGATCAAACACAGCCCCTCCCCAAGAACTCGCGAGCCGGGCGAAGCAGTAAGACAGGAACACAAGAGAAGCTGCGAACAAAGGTGGGCGCAATGAAGTCTGGACACCAACCGAGAAAGCGGGACGTCATAGATGGAAGAGCCCCCCATGCCAGGACAGTCAGAAAAGGCCATTCTCCACTGTAAAAAGTTCCAAAGGTCTACAAAGGGAACAACCAGGGCTAGTGACTCTGACACTGACCGATCCTAAACTGTGACTTGGAAACAGCTCGCAAATGAGATTTATAGGTCAGGGCAGCCCATACGGCACAAGGGAAGAATGTCATCAATGAAAGGAGGCAGCACAGGTGTAGTCATGGACACAAGTGGGCTCGCCTCTCTCAGTGCTGCCAGCCCTGTGCTGAAGGGGTCTCCGGCAGCCTTCACCCCTGCTCTGCCTGCAGGGCCCCGAGTCAGGCCTCCGGAGAAGGCCCGTGATGACCCTGCCTCTCAGCCAGGAAACATAATCCTTCTGCTGAGACGGGATCAAGACCTTTCCCTTGAGGACTCCAGCCACGCCAGCAAATGATCTGATCAATATGAAGTGGGCTCCCCGAGTGTGTGGGGCGCCTGAGTGTGGGGGTGTCAGGGGCTCCTGAGCAGTGGGCACAGGCGTTCTGGTCTTCGGAGTAGATGTATCCCCTCTCCCAATTCATAAACCAGGCTTCTGGCTTCAAAGTAGTATAAAATGAGCGTAGGTGGGGATCGCTGGCTACTGCCGGGGCCTGACCATCCCTGGAGCTGGAGGGAAGGGTCTGTAGGACAGAGGGCCCTGTGCTAGCTAGGCCTCTCATCACCGGGCAAACTCTCAGAACTTGCCACGGCCCAGCCTCCCTGGCCTCTGGGACCCGGAGTCACCCCCGATCTCAGTATTCCAGGCTCAAGTCACCTCTTCATCCAGAAGACATCCTGGCCCACAGGTCTTCTCTCCCAAGGTAGGCAAAGAAGCCCCAGAAAACATGCCCCCACATTTACTACCTCTACTTAGGAAAACGAACCGACTGTCCTAGAGCCTACGACCAGCTTTTACCACTCCCTCCAGGAAGCTTCGCATCCTGAGATGAAAACACCCTTCCCCTTGGGGTGCACCCCCAGGGCCGCGCTAGCACACTCTCCCAACTGCACAGCAGCAGGCGGGGGACCCTCATCCCTATGACCCGAGTGCTCCTGCCCATTTGCTGTGGGGATGGGATCAGCCTCTGCTCCTTAGGAGACCTAACCTCAATGATGCAGAAGCCTGCGGAGAGCTCACTTCTCCGAGCCCCGGGGCTTCACATGAACTGGCAGATTCAGCACCTTGATCAAAACAGCCTGAAGCCACAAGGAGCTCCCTTTGGGCCTCAGCTTCCCTCACTGCTGCATAGACTCACGGCAAGGCTCACACCGAGTGCGTTCACTGCTCCATCCCTGGGGGCGCATGGACCATGATCGGGGGGCTGAGGGACCCGCTGTCTTCAATTTGCCAAAAGCCCACCTTCAAGACACATCGCTTGTAAAAATTCCCTGATTTCAAACCCATTTTGTTTCACCCCATGCCTAAAAATCTCACTAAGAAAAAAATAAAGGAGTCCTCTAACTGTTTCTCAGTGAGGCATAAGAGCGGACATCGTCTTCACCTCACTCCGTTAAATAATTCCACCTTGCGGAAGAAACCACTTCTCAGTGGGCATGCGGAGGAGACAGATGATTTAAACTACTGCAAACACTTAAATCAAGGAATAATTCTTTTTCCTAATGTGCCAATATACCAATGATGAAACCATTTGCATCTGATTAACCTCAAACTCTGAAAATGCACTAGATATTCTCACAAGCTTCCCCCTCTAATTGCTTTTGAAGTTAGTCTCAGTAGTCATTTTTAAGTCAGATACATCACTAAATTATGAAGAAAAAGATATTCTTTCCAGGATCATCCTTCAACATGCACACGCGTCCACGTGCATACACATGAGTGTGGTCCTGTGATTAAGAAATGCTGCTGCATTCAGAAGTCCTGCTCTCCCGGCCCTCAGCCTGGGTGACGCTCCTTTGTCTGATCTCTGGCATGTCCCCTAGCTGCTCGGTGCCCAGAAAGACATCTGCAAAACAGAGGGACACAGCCTCATGTAAGAGAGCCCTGAGCCACTTTCATCCCAGGTGTCATCGATACTTGGAGTTCCCGTCAGCCTCAAATGCTGTGAGGACAGGGTAAAATGATCCCTAGAGAGTTATACAAACAGAAGGAACACTGAGTGGTCAGACACTGAACACAAAACAGTGTGATCGAGGGGCCCACTTTCCACGCACCCTCCACTGAGCTATTGCAATCCCTTTCCTTACTTAGGTACACCCTCATTGTCCTTTCCTCAGGAACAGATCTCCAGGAAGCTCCCCACTGCAGTTACTACAGCATCACAGTTGCCATGTGACTCTCTGTCCCAGCCACACACCCCATCATTCATTCAGCACAGGAAGTCTCTCCATGGGAGCCCTCCAGCAGGGAACCGGCCTTGCCGTTTGAAGACCTGGATCCTTGTCCCTGATGAGCCACCACATATGGGAATGGCCTTGGGAAACCCACGTGATTGTTCTCAGCCTGCTTCTTCATCTGAGCAGATGAAGACGTCATTTTTTCTTATCCAGTTTGAGGATCCAATTAGATACTGCATATGAATGCCCAGCCTTCCAGGTGACAATGGACCCATGAGTGTTTATTGATTCAATTTTCATTCAAGAAGAACAAAGCCACCTTTAATTTATTTCGTTTCATTCAAGAAGAACAAAACCATGTGGGCCCCCTCACTGCTCAATTTGTTTTATTGTGTCTCTATGTTTATGAAGAATATTGGTTTGTAATTTCTTTTCCTTTTTAAAACAATCATGGTTATACCTGCTGATATAGTTTGGATATTTTGTCCCCTACCCAATCTCATGTTGAAATGCGACCCCCAATGTTGGAGATGGGGCCTGGTGGGAAGCACTCCGGTCGCGGGGGCGGATCCCTCCTGAATGCTTTGGTGTCTTCCCCATTGTAATGAGTTCATCCTAGATCTGGCTGTTTAAGAGAGGCTGGGCCCGGCCGGGCGCGGTGGCTCAAGCCTGTAATCCCAGCACTTTGGGAGGCTGAGGCGGGTGGATCACGAGGTCAGGAGATCGAGACCATCCTGGCTAACACAGTGAAACCCCGTCTCTACTAAAAATACAAAAATTTAGCCGGGCATAGTGGCGGGTGCCTGTAGTCCCAGCTACTCGGGAGGCTGAGGCAGGAGAATGGCGTGAACCCGGGAGGCGGAGCTTGCAGTGAGCCGAGATTGCACCACTGCACTCCAGCCTGGGTGACAGAGCCAGACTCTGTCTCAAAAAAAAAAAAAAAAAGAGAGGCTGGGCCCTCATCTCCCTCTCTCTTGCTGCCTCTCTTGCCATGCGACATGCTGACTCCCTCTGCCTTCCACCATGCTTGGAAGCTTCCTGAGGCCCTCACCAGAAGCAGATGCCAGCACCACATTCCCTGTAGTCTGCAGAACCATGAGTCAAATAAACCTCTTTGCTTTATAAATTACTAAGTCTCAGATATTCTTTTATAACAACTTTTTAAAACTCTTTGCTTTTTAAGTTACCCAGTCTCAGGTATTCTTTTATAACAACACAAATGGACTAACACACTGACCTCAAACTTATTTGGGAAGCGTTACTCCCTCCTGTGTAAAAGATTTAGTCTAAGACTGGTGTTACCTCATTTTTTTTTTTTTTTTTTTGAGACAGAGTCTCGTTCTGTCACCCAGGCTAGAGTGCAGTGGCACGATCTCTGCTCCATCTCCTGGATTCAAGTGATCCTCCTGCCTCATCCTCCCGAGTAGCTGGGATAACAGGCACATGCCACCATGCCTAGCTAATTTTTGTATTTTAGTAGAGACAGGGTTTCGCCATGTTGGCCAGGCTGGTCTCGAACTCCTGACCTCAGGTCATCTTCCCACTTCGGCCAACCAAAGTGCTGGGATTACAGGCGTGAGTCACCATGCCCGGCCTAGGTGTGATTTTTTTTTTAAGTTTACCCTGCTAGGGGTTCCCTGAAATTCTAGAATCTGTAGGCTGATATTTTTTCATCAAATTTGGAGAAATTTCCTCAAATATTTTTTGGCCCCAATCTCCCTCTCATCTCCTAAATTCCAATTGCACGTGTTGGGCTATTTGATATTATCTCTCATATGTCACTAAGGCTCTGCTAATTTCTTTTCAGTGTTTCGTCACTCTGTGACTCAGTTTGAATGGTTTTTATTGATTTGTCTTCAAGCTCACTGACATTTTCTTCTGCCAGTGTCCAAACTGCTCTTAGATCCATCCAGTGAATTCTTTTTATTTTTTCTTTTCCTTTTTTTTTTTTTTTTGTTTGAGACAGAGTTTCGCTCTGTCATCAGGCTGGAGTGCAGTGGCGCAATCTTGGCTCACTGCAACCTCCACCTCCCCGATTCAAGCAATTCTCCTGCCTCAGCCTCCTGAGTAGCTGGGACTACAGGCGCATGCCACTACGCCAGGCTAATTTTTGTATTTTTAGTACAGACGGGGTTTTGCCATGTTGATCAGGCTGGTCTCAAACTCCTGACCTCAGGTGATCCGCCTGCCTCGGCCTCCCAAAGTGCTGGGATTACAGGCGTGAGCCATTGCACCTGGCCATCCAACCAGTGAATTCCTCATTTGAGATAATATATATTCTAGCTTGGGAATTACCATTTGGTTGTTTCTTAAATTGCCACTTCTCTGCTGAAATTCCTATTTGTGCACTCACTATGTTTGTATGGGTTGGTATTTATCGACCTTTTCTCTTTGTTATTAGTCTCATTGTCCTGCCTGTCTAGTGATTTTTTTAATTGTATGCTGGATATTGCAGATAATAATTTGTTTGAAGAGTGCTGAGTTTTATTCTGGCAGAGAGTTAGTTGACTGGCATAGCATCTGGATCCTAACAAGGCTTGTTTTTAGGTTTTGTTATGGAGAGTTTAGCGTGGTCTTGGGGCTAGAGCAGTCTTATTCCTAATGTATGACGTTTCTGTGATCTCAGATTCAATGTTCAAGGTGCTCAGTAAGGTCTCCTCACTCTAGCAGATTGGAACTGTAAGTCTTGGCCAGGTGCAGTGGCTCACAACTGTAATCCCAGCACTTTAGGAGGCCGAGGTGGGTTGATCACCTGAGGTCAGGAGTTCAAGACCAGCCTGGCCAACATGGTGAAACCCTTTCCCTACTAAAAATACAAAAATTAGCTGGGCATGGTGGTGGGCACCTATAATCCCAGCTACTCAGGAGGCTGAGGCAGGAGAATCGCTTGAACCCAGGAGGCGGAGGTTGCGGTGAGCCAAGATCGCGCCATTGCACTGCAGCCTAGGCGACAACAGTGAAACTCCATCTCAGGAAACAAAACAAAACAAAACAAAACAAAAACTCTTAGTCTCCCAGCACAATGTGACTGTGTGACTTCCAGGTTGTGCTTAGCTCACCATCCTCCCCACAATGTCCTGGCCAGTAGTTGTTCTCTGCCGAGCCTCAAAGAGTTGTTCCCTGTGCAAATGCAGCTTAGCATTTGGCCAAGACTCAAGATCACTTTGAAGACTTCTGAAGTCCCTTCTCTGCTCAGAACCCTCCTCTCCACTACCATCCCCGCAAGTTCCAGCTGCCTGCACTCTGATCTCGGTTTCTTGTGCTCAGCTCTCTGGTGGCCTCTGCTTCCCTTGTACCTTGGTTTTGAAGGCACTCCCAGACAGAAAGCCAGAGTGAATGTGGGGCTTGACTCACATGCTTCCAGTTGGACCAAAGACCTGCACTGAGTGTTGTTCCATTCTCGAAAACAGTTCCTTCATGCATTCTGTCCAATATCACAATTGCTTGGGAAAGAAGAGTAAGTCTGATATTCATTATGCCATCATGTCTGGGATTGGAAGTCTGATTACATTTTAAAAGGTGACTCTGGTTGCTGCATAGAAGAAACTGCCAGGTGAACTACATACACTAAGACCAGATGAAAAAGGGTGATGAGGGAGTATTTCTTGAAGCAGAAAACCTAATGTTTCTGCACGTGTTAAACATCTCTGCAAATTTTGCAAGGCATCAGGAGTAAAACGTGTACCTTCAATAAACCCATGGGAATAGAAGGCCAGTTTTCATCTCCGACGTCAGGTAGAACATGCAGTTTTGAAGCTGGAATGGGAGGATCTCACCTCATGGTTTTTCTGGCCCAGCCCAGCCACTCCGTAGCAGGAGCTGCCAGTACCCTGGAGCTCCTTTCATGTTCAAAGCTGTAACCAGTAGACGGACTGGCTGTCTCAACTGGGAGGCAAGCCACAAGAACAGAAGAGCCTAAATGTGTGGCCTAGAGAGAGCTCCGAGGTCACCCTCAGGTAGGGCATCTCTTCCAGACAATTCCAAAATCTCAGCTGTGGGACAGGAATGGGTCCCACACCGCCTCTCTTGCACATGCCATTCCATGTCAACCCTCCAGCAAAAGTTATTTACCTGGCAAATGCCTGCCCTGTCCCTGCAGTGAGTAGTCTGGCAGGGGAGAGGCTAGCCATCCTTCCTGGCCACACAGCTGGATGGCTCCACAGTTTCTCCCATCCCACAGCCTGTGGATAGCCTGTCGACCCAACAGCTTGGAAGTGAACAGAAAGATTTTATCAGCCCAAACAAAAACCCAAAGCCAAACTCACTCTATTGCTGCAAATGCCTATCAGGCAGATAAACTCCATTAAGGTCTGTCCCCTCCCTTCCCTGGTACAAGCTGCCACTTGCCCTGGACAACAGACCAAGGCTCGGGTTTCCAAGGTGGCTTACAGTCCAATGACCTTCCCCTCTCTGGTGTTGCCTCCATCAGTGGTGCAACGACATTCAGAGTCTACCGAAGGCTGGGACCTACACTTGGGAAGTGGAGTGAGCCTCACAATTTCCACTAAAAGTCCATCTGTACAGAAATAAATTTCATTCATACCTCATCTGTTTTCTCTCAGCCTAGCCAGAGTCCCTATATTTATTTGTATCAGTAAATTTGCACAGCCAGAATAATCCTAAAGGTTCAGAGGTCTACACACGGAAAAAGCCCACTGCCCCAAACTTGTCTTGCCCAGCCCCGTGTTTAAAAGCTTCATGCAAACACTGAGAGTACAGGATGTATAAATGCGTCCTGAGTTTAAGCCTCACACAGTGAATCAGCATCTCAGCAGCTCTGCTTCCTCTGAGACTCTGGGGAGGTTTCTTCAGTGAAAATTCAGAAGAGATTGGCAGAAAGCTGTCAAGCGATTGCTATGTATGGTTTCTCTGCACATCAGGAGATTCATGAGCCCTAGATAGCAACAGCAGATTCTTAACTGTCCCTTATGATATTTGCATTTGATTCCCAGTGCTTCTCAAGGGGAACTTATTTGTTCACAAAATTGCTTTCTTTATTTTGGTTCAACTTGCTTCTGGTTTACACATAAAAACTGCGATGTCACTGCTGTAACTTATAAGAAGGGGTGAGCAGGTTCAGGAAAACCCTTATTACAAATCTGAGAAAGCAGTTATGATTACGAGATAAGGATGCAATCCCAGGGGAGGTTCTAAATGTTTCCATGTAATCTGGACCCAAGCAACCGTCGTCAAACCACTGTTCATGAAATCTGTGGGTGCAAACAAATTGAGCTGTCAGGCTGCAGGACGCGAGCAAACACTGGCCAGGCAAATGGCATTTCCTCCCTCCAGCACATTTCTGCTGCTGACCCGCCTGCTCTAAGGCCCACTGAAACCTGACACCCAGACCAGCTGGCCTCTCCAGGGAACGGGCCTGGCACCAAACGCTCCATCTGTTAGCACACCTCAAGCCACCTGGCCACTTTGCTCTTTTTCCCTGGTTCCCTTACAGGCAGGAGAATCTTGTTCCTCTGCCACCTGTAAACTCACAGAGCCTGTCTCGAGGTACAAAGCCCATAAGTGAGAGTGGCAGAGGGCCAGCAGAGTAGCTACGGAAGCCAACAACAAAAGGAATGGGTAGCGGGGCTTGGGCCGCTTTCAAAAAGGGGAAACTTAATTCTGAAGCAGGAAATGGCTGCATTTTGCCCCGATTCCCACCCCTCCGGATTAGTACATCATGAGTAGTCAGTAACGCCATCTCTCCCACATCGCACTTTCCCTATAACTTGGCACCACTTCCCACCTCGGAAGGATGGCTCTGTCTCCTCCTCCAGCTGCTCCTACCTGCAGGAAGCCGATTTCAGAGACCTCTTACCAAGGGGGCTGTGAGCTGGGATGCACCCTCAGGCAGGACCTCCCACTTCCCCATTGAGAAGAGGAGACTGTCTCACCTCTGAAAACTAAGAAGCTCCTTGAGGCCAGGTGTGGTGGCTCACACCTGTAATCCCAGCACTTTGGGAGGCCAAGGCGGGTGAATCACCTGAGGCCAGGAGTTCGAGACCAGCCTGACCAACGTGGTGAAACCCCGTCTCTACTAAAAATACAAAAAATTAGCTGGGCATGGTGGTGCATGCCTGTAATCCCAGCTACTTGGGAGGCTGAAGCAGGAGAATCACTTGAACCTGGGAGGTGGAGGTTGCAGTGAGCCAAGATCACGTCACTACACTCCAGCCTGGGCAACACAGCAAGACTCTGTCTCAAAATAAATAAATAAATAAATAAATAAATAAATAAATAAATAAATAATGCTCCTTGTTTCCCAGCCACTGTTTTGAGGATCCCCCAAAACCAGAGTCTGCTCTGCTCACAATGACAACCGTTTCTACAAAAGAAGGAGGAGCCTCAAAGCCGAGAGAGTGGGAGTTGGAGTGTTCCCTCCCTCCACACCCACCTGCCATCAGAGCTCAGGGTTGCAGTTCACCAGGCCTAGCTCCATTCACCTGCTGGTGGCCTCGGCCAGGGTTTGCCCTGACAGGGCCCATTTCCTTTTCTGCAAAGTGGAGCCAATAATGTGGTGCCTCCTCTTACGGGTGACAGGAGGATTAAATGAGGCGATGTAAATAAGGTGTTGAGCTCAAGGTTGCAGGGAATTACCACTCAGTAAAAGAGGGGCTGTTCTGGGCTTAGCTTCCAGTGAGTTTGCTGGGCACAGAGAATCAGAAAGATCTAAGACACCTTTATTTTTAAAGGGAGGCTGAGAAGTTGTCAGCAGCACATCCTGGTAGGACAGTGCCAAGCATCGGGGGAGCAGCAGGCACCTGGGTGAGGTGCCGAACTGAGAGGTGAGAGACCCCCACGCCCGTGCTCCTGCTCTCGTCACAGGCACACCCCTCTTCTGCTTTCTGGGCCTCAAGTATCTCGTCCTTAAAAGGGGCATATGAATTCTGGCCCTGCCTCCCTCATAGTGGACGGGGGCTCAAGCGAGACTGCTGGGTGCACACTGGGCCTTGCAAAGAACAGAGGCTACATCAGTGGGAGGGTTTCTCCAGATGTGTGAGACCCTTTGCACAATGCCTCCGGGGCTGGTACCGGCAGAGGGATGTGGACAGGGTCGGAGTCCACAGCACTTAGCAAGGGGCCTCCACATGCCACGGATTACATCAGGCTCCGCAGGGACAAGGCTGAGGGCAGCAAGGTCCCCGCTCTCAGACTCTCACAGTTGAGAATTTCCCACTTCGTGTGCCAGGCCCAGTTGTCATCCAACACGCGTTGTCCAAAGATCAAAGAGAAGGACCAGATCCCAGTCAGGGGTGCCAGTGCCAGGAAGGGAGGCGCCTGAAGGACAGTGTGCTCCCAAGCCCACCTGAAGGAGCTGGTGGGTGGCCCCTTATCAATGCTCTGCAGCCAGCCCACCCTGATTTTGTGAACCCGAATGCTGGTGACCAAGGACAGGTCAGGGCAGAAACCATCTGGCTTAGCCTCCAAGCTGGGCCACCCCGAGAACCTGAGGGTGTTTTGTTTTCCTCCCAGTCTGCGGTGCTCACAAAATTAAACCCACGGAAACCCCAAACGTACCAATCTCTGCTCCGTGTGTGTTTCGCATATGGCTACGGGAAACCCACAAAGGTAACATGATGTGCCCATACCACATACCACAGCCTCTAGAGATGTGTTTTTCTAGAACAATGCTGACACGCTTGTGATTAAATATTTTACTGTTCCATCTAGCTGACTCATTTGGTGGTGACACAAGTGCCTGACCCCTCCACACCCCTGGGAGGCACAAAACCCACCCTGCATTTTGCCCTAATGAGCAGAGAGTGACAAGTGCTGCTCCCCTGTTTTCTGGTGTGACAACCACTGGCGTCCTGGGCAGCATACCTGTGCCAGAGTTTAGAATGAGCAGGAAAGGCGCAAGGGCAAATAAAACATTTTGCAATATATTAAAGTACCTGTGCTAACAATTCTCTGCCTTTTAACAAAAAGGCAGTTCGCAAAGAGTGAAAGAACACCAGTCAGGAGGCGATGCATTGTCTGGTACTGGCTCTGCCTGCCTGGGTGTGCTGGGGGTAGGTGAAGGCACTGAGCCAGCCGTCTCTGCTAGACTGTGAGCAGTGAGCTCGGTGATGCTCACACCTGTCTGCCACTCGATCCCCAGGCATGACCTGGCCACACCCATGCAGGGTCCATGTTTGTCTCCGGCAGGCGGGGGTCACACCAGCTGCGGCTTTGCAAGGCCTGGTCCTTTGACCCTCTGCTCATCTATGATCGGGCTTGTGCTCAGCTCACAGCAGGCTTTCCCTGAATGCCCTGAGGTCTATGACAGCTCCTGAGAGCCGACCCCCACTGTGGTTGAGGGTGCTGACTCTCAGCCCCCGCCTGGCACAGCCTCCCCCTCCCCATTGCAGCCTTGCTGAAACGCAGCTGAGCTAATTCTGGGCTCCCTGCCACCCGCACAAGCCCACGCTGCACATGCTCTGACTCACGGCTGAGGCGTCCAGAAGCAGGGATGGGAAGGAAGGCTGCTGCCAGGCACCCACTTGGCATCAGTCAATGGCCAGGGGTCCGTCCTTGGGCCTGACGGTGGAATCCGGGGGTGGATCTGAGACCTCTATCCGCTTTCATCAAATCATACTGGCAGTAGCTAAGCCCACATTTTAAAGCCAGTGAATTTCTTGAGACATGCAGCCATATACTCATAGCACACAATCATGGAGTTAAAACCTGGAATTAAAAATTAAACCTGTTACTCTTTATCACTGAGACCTATTTCAGCATGTGGCAAATTCTTACACTACCGCCACATTTCCCAAACATAAAAACCATTTGATCAGAAAAGAAGGGAGATAATTTGCCTCCAGAAGTTCAATGCAATCTTATTTGAAAACCTTTTCCTGAAGACCTACTATGTGCTCTCCCTCTGAGTATGCCAGAACCTAAGGTGCCATCCCCACCCTTGAGAATCCTCAGTCTGTGCAGGAGGCAGACAGGCATGTCTGTAACCCACTTGTAAAGGAAGTGTGTGGAGTGCTGTCTAGAGGGAAGCCACATGAGAACGGTCACCTCTGTCGGGGGGTGGGAAGGGAAGAGAGCTGGCAAAGCTACTCAGGGTGGTCCGTGGGCAGTCAGCCAGCGGGGCAGGTCCCTGGGCAGAGAGGACACAGGTGTGAGGCCTGTGGTAGGGGAGTGCTTGGGGAACAGGGAGTACAAGACTGGAGCCTGTGGGGAGTGTGGGGAAGGGCTCAGACACAAGAAGCACTGTGGTCAGACTGGGAAGGACCCACGGGGCTGGCTGGGAGGAGATAGATTGGAGGGTGCAGGCAGAGGGCCAAGCCGATGGACTCACCCAGGAGTCCCTTAGTCACTCAGGACCACACCTCCCACCCAAAGGCAAGTCTGGGCATCTGAGGAGTCACGGAAAGCATGGTCTTCGGGAGCAGAAAGCCCTAGCAAATGTACATGGCTGTGCAAGTGACCTACACGCTCTGAGCCTCCCCAGTCGTTAGAATGAAGATTCAGGCAATCCTTTTCTTGCAGGGTTGTTTACAGGATGCAATCAGCTAAGCTATGTGAGAGCCCTGGCAAGGCACCTGGCCTGGGGCAGGTGATCCTGCAGCAACCCAGTAGGATGAGATGGGGAGAATATAAAGCCAGCTTCAGACCCAACTCCATGGTTTACGCTTTATGCGCAGCCCTAGGACCTGGGGAGGTCCTGAATGCATGGAAGCCTCGGCTGCCTCCCTCCCAGAATGGGCATTGTATGTGCCCTGTTGAAAGGCTAAGCAATCACCTCTGCAATGCAGGCTTTCAGCATCATCTGGCCAGTAAGAGGCTGGCTGCCTGCCCATGCCCCTCTCATGACTAGGAGCCAGGAAGCCGAGGCAGGAGCCAGGTAGGGGGAGGAGGCAGGAGCCCCAAGGACCCAGGTGACTGTGTTGGTGAAGCTCTTCACTTCAGAGGTAATTGTAATTGCAGACATGGGAAGGGGCCCTTGAGCAACTCGCAGGGTCCTGCTGGCCCAGCTCCCAGCCCCCCACAGCAAGGAGCACCACCTCCTCACAGGCCTGTTTCCTGGGCTGGACCCTACCCCCTCACTCCCTCCACCCTCCCCTCAAGGTTGGGGCCCAAGCCTGAGCCCACAGCATGAGGAGGAGCCCTGCAGTAGCTTCCAGCAGAGCCTGCAGCCCTCACCCAGACATCAGGTTACGGAAGTTGAGTCCTGTCCCCGCTGAGGTGGGGGGCTCTAAGATTACATGGCTGGATATGGGCCAGGACAGCTTACTGTTAGTTTCCATCCTCTTCAAGGGAGACTTTTTTAAAGACAGGAGCTTGCGCAGGGCACAGAGGAGCTCTGTCCCCTGCCCCCCACCAGCCTTCGCCTGCTTCTGGGGAGCCGGCTGGCGACCTCATGGAGCTTCACGCTGGCCCCACAACTGGGGCTCTCCTGCCAACAGACCCCTCCATCAGTGTCTCTGCTGAACGTGGGGACATGGACTGAGGCCTGAGGCTGGGCGGCTCCGGGCACAGGTCCACTAGCACTCCTCCAGAGGGAGTCCCTGGGCAGCCAGCCTCTCTTCCTCCTGTGCCCGGTTAGACAGCACCATCCCAGGACTCCAGGCCCCTGAGAGAGAAGAAGGGGAAGGCTGCTCCCAGAGCAGGGCCCAGCCCCAGGAGATGCTGTTTGCAGTTGGAGGGTGTCCAGTGGGCAAAGAGGTGCTGTCCAGAGTCCCCGGGTCTAGAAGACCCAGGGTCTTGGCACCAGCCTCTGTTCACAGTCACAGGTCCCTGCCAGTATGAGTGGTTTTGAGGGGGTTGGCAAAGGCTGCTCAAAGTAGAGAAATAATGAGGGGAGGAAGGTCGACCAGGACAGGACTGGGTCCAACTCATGCTTGGAGTGATAAGAGAAGGCAGAAAAGGACATCACGTGCCAGACCTGAGGAGACTCAGGCTCAGAGACAAGGGGGCACAGAGTGCTGGAGAGGTGCTGGCCACCTGCCCCTTTCTACACGGAACAGCACAGGCTAAGTCCTCCCTTTCAGCCCTGGAGGCAGTGCCAGGAGCTGACCGGAGCAGGTATCATAGCAGTTTCTTTTCTGAGTGTGTGGGAGGCACCTCCTGGAACCCTCAGAGATGAGTGGGGCAAGGCACAGGGCAGGGAGCAGGCCATGGGACCATAGGGACCAGGGATGCCCGGGGACTGGTGGAACATGACTTGCTGTGGAGCCCTGGAGGAGCTGCCTGGGTCTGTGCTAATCCAAGAGACAGGGAGACCTCATGAAAGTCACCTAGATCACAGAGGGACAGCCATCAGCTCTGCCAGGTGAAGGACGAGAGCCACAGAGTGATGGTAGGGGCTGCACTGGGCAGGCAAAGAGGGGACTGCTCTTCAGAGAGGGTGGGCTGCCTGCTGGGGGTGGGGGAAATAGCTGTGAGCCACACATAGGTGTAGGCAAGGGCATGAGTGACACGTGGAAGTTAGGCAACACCAACTTCGGACAAGACATCAAGCTTTCTCCAACTCTCCCACCGAGGCAAGGCACAAAGGCAATTACTAAGCACATCCGCTGACCACCACTAAACCTCCTGGCACCCAAATCAAAGCTCTGACCATGAGGACATGCTTTCTAGGCAGCTTGAGTGTTTCAAGGCATGGCCAAGCCTTGTGTTTGACGAATGACAGCCCAGGTGCCCACTGGGCTGGCCGGGCCATTGCCCTCAGGGTCACTGGGCCAGGCCTGAGGAACTGTCCCAAACTTACAGAGACAGACGGATGGCACAGATCCAAACTCCCAGGACCCTAGCCAATCTCTGGGCATGCTTACAAAAAGGGGAGACTTTCCTAATTATCAAGTGATTCATTGGATTAGAAAAACTGTACTATGCCCACACAATGTAATACTTCGTAGCAACAGAAAGGAAGAAACCACTGACACACACAACTACATGGATGAATCACAAAATAATCATGGGCTGGAAGAAGCCAAAAAGCGCACGATTCCATTTAAGCCAAATCCTAGGAAACAGTGTGAACTGAGTAATAGGGATAGAGAGTGGACCAGGGGTTGCCCTACAGGGGATCTGGGGAGGGATTATGGACGTGCATGAGGAATTTTGGGGAAGATGGGTACGTGCACTATCTTGATCATGGTGTTGGTTTCACAGGTATATACATATATCAAGATGTATGAAACTGTGCACTTTAAATGTGTGCAGATTATATGTCAATGATACCTCAATAAAGCTGTTTTTTTTAAAAAATGCTGATTATAAAAATATAGAAAGATATGAAATCTCCCATAATTCTATCACAGCTAACCAGAAATCTCATTTTTATATGTTTCCTTCCAGTCTTTTCCCTACTCCCACACATAAATATCATTTTTTTTAATGTAGGATACAACCTCTCTTTTTAAAAAGTTTTATTATCCTGAATTTTTTTTCTTCTTTTTAATTTTAAAAGTTCTATGCACCCTGGGAAGAGGAGGTGAAGACAGCAGCTCCCCAGAGAAGGGGTGAGAGGCCAGGAGAGGAGCGAGTCCCTGAGTGGGGGCATGGACACAGGGCAGAGCAGCTGCCTGTTGCCCTGAGCAAGAGCCTACCCGGGGTCAGCACCTGTCCTTCGGTATACTTCACCCAAACCATCTCCTTTGCTAAACTGAGCCTAAATGACAGTACTTTGCACCCAGTATCTGCTCAATCAGAATTTACTAAAGGGAATCTGAATGAAATGAAGCTGAGCCTGCCCTCCAACACATCCTGCACCTTCTGTCTCCTATCTTGGCACTGGCCCCTGCCTCTTCCCCATGGGCCTTCTTCTCCCTCCGGCTCGGCCCACTATCCTTCCTGCCTTCTTCATTTAGCCTTAGATCATGAAGTTCCCTCATTCCCTTGTGACTAAGCATCCTTTAGAAATGTTCCTAAGGGCCTCACTGCACTCCGGCAGACGAATGACTCATTCCCCATCATTGGATGTTCAAATTCCTTCCAAATCTGCACCTTTATATGTAACATTGTGATGAACATCCTTGCATAGGAATTTTGGACTGCAGATTTAATTGTTTCCTTGGGATAAATTCCTAGAAATGGAATCCCCAGGATAAAGGGAGGAATTCTTTTAAAGGGTTTGAGACATCCTGCCAAACTGCTTGGCAGAAAGCTTGCAGCTTCCTCTCCCAAGGCATATGAGAGTCCTTGCCAAACACTTTCACATGCATTGAGTACCATCGTTCACAAAAACAAACAAACAAAAGCAAAGCACACCACAAATTTGTCAATTTAATAGCAAAAAATAGTATCTTACTTTAATAGGCACCTACTTGATTAATGTAAGATTGACTTTCTCACACTTACTGACATTTATTTCTCCTTTTACGAGCAAATTCCTTTTTAAAAATGTGTATACATTTAAAGGGTACAAGCACAATTTTGTTACATGGATATATTGTGTAGTGAAGTCTGGGCTTTTAGTGTAACCATCACCCAAACATTGTACCCAGTAGGTAGTTGCTCATCTCTCACCCATTAATCCTTCCCAGTTGTCAATGTCTATCATTCCACGCTCTATGTCCATGTATACGCATTATTTCGCTCTCATTTATAAGTGAGAACATGGGGTATTTTGTCTTTCTAAGTTATTTCACTTAAGATAATGGCCTCCAGTTCCATTCATGTTGCTGGAAAAGATATGCTTTCATCCTTTTTATGGCTGAATAGTATTCCACTGTGTATATATATCACATTTTCTTTGTCCAATCATCCATTAATGGACACTTAGGTTGATTCCATATCTTTGCTATTGTGAACTGTGCTGTGATGAACATAAAAGTGCAGGTATCTTTTTAAAATAATGATTCCTTTTCCTTAGGGTAGATACCCAGCAGTAGGATTACTGAATTGGATGGTAGTTCTATTTTCAGTTCTTTGAGAAATCTCCACACTGTTTTCCATACAGCTTGTACTAATTTACTTTCCCACCAACAGTGTAGAAGTGGCTGGGTGCAGTGGCTCAGACCTGTAATCCTAGCACTTTGGGAGGCCAATGCGGGTGGATCGCTTGAGTTCAGGAGTTCGAGACCAGCCTGGCCAACATGACAAAACCCTGACTCTACTAAAAATACAAAAATTAGCCAGACATGGTGGTACATGTCTGTAATCCCGGCTTCTTGGGAGGCTGAGGCCCAGGCTGAGAATTGTTTGAACCTGGGAGGTGGATGTTGCAGTGAGACGAGATCACGCCATTGCACTCCAGCCTGGGCGACAGAGCAAGATGTTGTCTACCAAAAAAAAAAAAAAAAAAAAAAAAAAAGAGTTCCCTTTTCTCCTCATCCATGCCAACTGTTATTTTTTTGTCTTTTTATAATAGCCATCCTTTCTGCTATAAGATGATATCTCATTGTGCTTTTAATTTGCATTTCTCTAATGATTAGTGATGTTGAGCATTTTTTCATATGCTTGTTGATCATTCGTGTGTCTTCTTTTGAAAAAATGTCTATTCATGTCCTTTGCCCATGTTTTAATGGGATTTTGTGTGGGTTTGTTGAGTTGTTAAGTTCCTGGTAAATTCTGGATATTAGTCCCCTATTGGATACATAGTTTGTAAATATTTTCTTCCATTCTGCAGGTTGTCTGTTCTCTCTGTTGATTGCTTCTTTTGCTGTGCAGAAGCTTTTTCATTTAAGTCTCATTTGTCTATTTTTGTTTTTGTTGGATGTACTTTTGAGGTCTTAGACATGAATTCTTTGCCTAGATCAATGATCAGAAGAGTTTCCCCTAGGTTTTCTTCTAGTGTTTTTACAGTTTCAGGTCTTACATTTGAGTCTTTAATCCATTTTGAGTTGATTTTGTATATGGTGATAGATAGGGGTTCCAGTTTCATTCTTCTCCATATGGCAATCCAATTTTCTCAGCACCATTTATTGAAAGGGGTGTCCATTTTTATACCAGTGCCATGCTGTTTTGGTTACTTTAGCCTTTTAGTATAGTTTGAACTCAGGTAATGTGATGTCTCTGGCTTTGTTCTTTTTGCTTAAGACTGCCTTGGCTCTTCGGATTCTTTTTAGGTTCCTTATTAATTTCAGGACAATTTTTTCCTTTTGCAAACTAATTCATATCTCTCACCCACTATCTCATTAAGAAGTTCATTCACAATGAGTTGTTCATATTCATTATTAAAGTTGTTTATATAATACATTAGTCATTTATGTTGCAGACTTTTTTTCTGTCTCTGGTATCATGTGTAGAAAGATGTTTTTCATCCCTTAACTACTTACTTACCTAAATTATTTTTAGCACTTCAATGATTTCATTTTTATATTTAAATTTTAATCCACATGGAATATATTTGGGGGTTTGATATGAGCAAGGGGCTTGATGGTTTCCCAAGTGGTTAAATAGTAACCAGATATATTAACTTTTATATTCCAGTCTTTCTAGTCTGTTCCATGGGCATGTTGTCTATTTCCATCACAATACCAAACTGTTTAAATTATTATGAATTTACAAATTTTTCTGAAACAGGGTCTCACTCTGTTGCCCAGGCTGGAGTGCAGTGGTGTGATCACAGCTCACTGCAGCCTTGAAGTCCTGGCCTTAAGCAATCTTCCCACATCAGCCTTCTGAGTAGTTGGGACTGCAGGTATGCACCACCACATCTGGCTAATTTTTAAAAGGTTTTGTAGAGATGGGGTCTCTCTCTGTTGCTCAGGTTCGTCTTGAACTCCTGGCCTCAAGCGATCCTCCTGCCTCAGCCTCCCAAATTGTTGGGACTACAGGTGTGAGCCACTGTGCCTGGCCTACAATACGTTTTTTAATATGTTTTAATATCTGGTAAGTTATCCACCCAGATTCTGGCTAGGGGTTGCATTAAATCCATAAGTTAATTTGGAAACAACCGAAATATGTAAGATATTGATCCCCCACTGCTGGAACACGCTGAACATCTCTACCTGTACAATGGCTCTTTTGTGTCCCTGGTACAATTTCATTATCCGGATTGTACACACTTCCCATGAGTATGGTTCCTGGGTATTCCATCTTTGATTCTATCATGAGTAGAACTGCCCACCTGTCACATCTACTGACCTTCTTGCAGGCAGAGGACTACACTGTGCATACTTCGCATGTGTAGGCACTGTCTCTGCAGCTTTCACAAATGGGGCACAGCTGGTTCCAAAGCCTTCACTGAGCGGTCATCCCACAGGCACCCAGGGCTGTCACCACCAAGGGGTGCCAGCACTTTCCTGCGGGACACAGGACCTCCCCAGTCTGGCTGCAGCTTACTTTGAAACTCCTCTGTCCCCTCCAGCCCTCCAGCACCCGTCCAGTCCCATCAGACACAGCACACTTATGCACACCGGACCCCTCTCCCAGCTGGAAAAGCCTCCCCATACTTCCCTGCCTGTGGAAACGGGTCTCACTCCTCTAGATCCACTCCAACGCTACCTCCCCAACCCAAATTCATGAATCCCCACTGGAAGTCCATCTTGCACAGTAGCACTTATTTTAATCTACTTTGTGATAAGAATCACCCACGTGTCTGTGTCCCCTGTCAAGTGTGAAAGCACACCCCACCATAAGTCATCCTGCCTCATATCCAGTGCTGTGCCCACAGCTGCAGCAAATGCGTGTTGACAAACTGGATCAAAGAAACCTCAGGAGTGGAGAACCTGTTCCTCCCTGCTCACTCCCTGAGCCAAAAAGAAGTACTCCAGGAAGACATGAGGCTGAGGACAAAGAAGCATTTATGCTTCTGCAGAGTGGATGAGGGTGCATGCCAGCCCTGCTCAGCCTGCACTCCCAGAACCTTCTCAACAAGGTCCCAGAACCTTTCCAACAAGAGAGGAGCCGATCCTCTCTCCCTTGGGAAGGTGGGAGCCCCGTCTTGGAAATCAAGTCTGCCTGACTATGGCCCAGACGTGCTCAGGCAAAGGCTAAGTTCTCAGCCCCAGTCACAGAGCAGATTCACCTGCAAAGCTTGTTAAGCCCCAGAAGGTCCCACCCAGCCCTCCTGAGTCAGTCTGGCAGGGCGCGGCAGGGCAGCCACAAGTGGTGCCGATACTGGGCCAATCTGCGTCCCAGGTGAGCGCACCTCCATCTCCCTGGCCTTCCTTGAATAATACAATGCAGACAGGCAAAGGAGGAAACCAACACTGGGCAGTGCCCAGAGGCAGGCCTTGGGCTCGGAAGGCTCTTGACATGTATTATGGTGTTCCCTCAGTGAACGTGGGTGAATTCTTGCCCCCATTTACAGATAAAGATACACAGTCAAAAATGTAAGTCTCATCCCCGAGTGACCAGGCTGGGCCTAGGACCAACCCCACTCCCCTACATTTGAGAAATCCATCCTTTCCTAGCTTAGCTAAAACTCCAAAGTTCCTGAAATTCCCACATATCCATCTCTTGGTAATCCCTAAGGCTGAGGCCCCTGAGCACTTGATCCTGAGACGTGCTCAGAAGCCAGGGCTGCTTGACTCACAGAACAGCCTCTGTCTGAGGTGGGGTCTCTCTGTGCTCCTGCAGCTCCTCCTGCACCCGTGCACAGCTACGCCAAGCCACCGGCCAGCCCCTCCTGTAAGGAGTCATTCCTGCCTCTGTGACTCTGCCCCAGGTCATGGAGACCCTGAGTCCCACTCCCACCCAGGGCAACATTATTACTTTCTCGGACCCCATGCACACTCACCCTCCTATGCCCCTTGCTCCACTTAAAAAAACAATTACAAAAGCATATTTTCCGATTGTGTCAGTACAAAGGTGAATATATTAATAGTATATATTAAAACATTTTATTTGACCTAAAGTTCGTGTTTTTCTTCTTTTTTGATTTCTTTCTTTTCTTTTCTTTTTGAAGAAGGCATCACAGCTCAGTGTTTATCTTCCAACTAAAGAAATTAAAATAGCCGGGCACGGTGGCTCACGCCTGTGATCCCAGCACTTTGGGAGGCTGAGGCAGGTGGATCATGAGGTCAAGAGTTCGAGACCAGCCTGACCAACATGGTGAAGCCCCGTCTCTACTAAAATACAAAATACACCCATGCACCGGGCATGGTGGTGCACGCCTGTAGTCCCAGCTACTCAGGAGGCTGAGGCAGGGGAATCGCTTGAACCCAGGAGGCAGAGGTTGCAGTGATCCGAGATCCCGCTACTGCACCCCAACCTGGCAACAGAGCAAGACTCCGTCTCAAAAAAAAAAAAAAAAAGAAAAAGAAAAAAGAAAGAAAAGAAATTAAAACACTTTCACAAGCCTCTCAAACTACAATGGGCTCTTGGCACTGTGCCCCCTGTGCCCAGTGGGCCAGCTGGCCTGGACCTGCCATGAGCAGCGCAGGATGCCCAGAATACTCCCCAGGGAAGACCAGCTCAAGCACAAGCTGCCTATGATGCCATGCAGCTCCAATTAGCTTGACACCTAGCTCTCCCTCACAGGGGAGCCTAGGCCAAGGTCCCCTGCAAAACAGGGCCACGGAGGGAAGGACATGCCTGCAAGGGTCCGAGAGCTTCTTGTGAGGGGCCAGGGAGGATAGAGGGGCCTGGGATGTCTCATGATCCCTGAGCAGACAAAACAACTTGTATATTTCTAATGCTGAAAGCTCTACCAGGCTAGCCGATGCTTAGGGTTACTTTTAATGCCTGGAAGCTAAAAAGAAATGAAATATAGAATTCAATAAAACTGAGCAGCAATTCACTAAGAGAGTTTAGTTATCTGAGCCTACTACATCTTTTAAATTTATAGGCCAGGAGCGGTGGCTTATGCCTGTAATCCTAGCACTTTGGGAGGCCGAGGTGGGCAGATTGCCTGAGCTCAGCAGTTCGAGACCAGCCTGGGCAACACAGTGAAATCTCGTCTCTACTAAAATACAAAAAAATTAGCCAGGTGTGGCAGTGTGCGCCTGTAGTCCCAGCTACTTGGGAGGCTGAGGCAGGAGAATCACTTGAACCCAGGAGGCGAAAGTTGCAGTGAGCCGAGATCATGACACTGCACTCCAGCCTGGGTGACAGAGTGAGACACTGTCTCAAAAAAAAAAAAAAAAGAAAAAGAAAATTGTGATCATGTTTGGTTACCTCTTTTAGGCTATATTCTGCTAATTCATATTATTTTTAAAAATTCATGGGGAAAATGGTACTTTGTCTTGTAGCTGGAGTGAAAGCCTCATCAATTGCAGAAGCGCTGTGGTCCCAGGACACCCCCTAATGGAACCTACTCAAATTGCAAGCAAAGTACCCAGGAAGAAAAAGCAAATTGCAAAAGGAGAGCCTGTCATACCCACTTCTTTGAGAGGCTACAAATATTAATTATCCAAACACAGATCCTTATTTCTTTATATGTGAATCCCTGATGTACATGCACTATCTAGAAATGAAATCAATACTAGGTCACATATGTATACAGGCCATTATTTCTCAATATGTGTCAGATGTTGAGGTGATTAATAAAATATGACACCTAGACAAGTCTCAAAATTCACAGTGTCTGTCTTTTTGCTGATATGCATTTTTCCTACTGATGAATTGTGAAAACATAGTTACTGTCATATGAAAGGTTTCTCAAATTGTTCAATATTGCAAAGGGAACTTCATACTCAGAAAAACTGGGAACTCTGGCTTTAGGGCAGAATTTCCAGCCTTTACAAAAGCAAACACCATGGCAGGCCATCCTGGATATTGATCCTTGGAGGGAATTTGATGGGAATTCCACTTTAGTTGACAGTGAAGAGCTTAAGCCACAAGTTTGTACAAAAGACCATGTGTCCATCAGAAGAGCAAAGAACTGTTGTAGTATTAACATGCTATTACAACAGAAGTGTTTATTTAGGAATTGGGGAGAAACAAGAACAGATGATGTTTGGGAAGTCTCTGCTCCTTCAGTTAATTATGCTGGCACATGGCAAGCAGTTCACTCAGGTTCACCCCAGGAGCCAGAAGACTCAGATGCAGCCACTCTGGTACCACGTGACCACTGACCAAGTGCAAGTCAGGATCCTCCTGGCAGACCCTGGGCTGGAGCTGCCAGCTCGGGATCCCAGCCCACCCTGTCAGGGGCTTCAGCGACCACCTCCCTCTCTGCCCCACCTTGGTCTCCTGGGCTGGGGACAAGCAAGCCACTTTCACCTCCCTGAACTTCAGTTTCTTCACCTCAAAACAAAGATAATCATTTCTGCTTTTAATTAGTGGGGTAATACATGAGGCTATAATATATCCCTTAAGTACCTAACAGTGCATGGAATACAGCTCATGCTCAGCCAAACTCAGAGACATTCCCATCTCCCTCTGCTCAGCTTTTATTCTCACAGACAGGAGCCAGTTGACCTTTACTCCTTCAGAAGGTGAAGAAGGACTTAACAGCCAGGGCTAATTATGTGCTCACGCTGGGCCCAGCAAGGTATGCCCCACAAAACATGCCTCCCCTAAGGGGCCCCCCCAGGGCATGGCACCCCCAGGCATGGCCCACCTCCTTCCTCCTACTCCTCCACCTCCCATGACCTAGGGGCCCTGTCCAGCACCTCCACCCAGCAGGTCTTATTCCATTTTAACCAGGAATACCTTAGCCCCCCAAAAAGGGGGTGCTGAATGAGGTCTCATTATAATAAAAATGTTGTTTCCAACTTTCTTGGACATCAGTTACAACATATCTGCCATTTCCACACAAATGCTTGCCTTTCCTTCTCCCTACAGCCCTAGGAGGCAGGTGCCACAACCTCGCAGAGTGCAGAGGAGGAAGGTCACCCCAAGGCTGCACCTGAGGCCACCTAAATAGCACGGGGCCCCACCAGGGTGCGGTCCAGGACGACCCAGCTCTCAGCCTGTCCCTTTCCTTCCCCTTCTCTCCTGTGGAAGCTGCTGCCAGTAGGGGCTGGGGAGAGGCAAGAGGGAAGGAGGAGGGAAGGAAGGGGCTCTTGGCTGGACTCCAGCCAGGGTCCAGTCCTAGGTGGGACTTCAAGGAGGAGGAAGGAGCTGACCAGGGAATGAAGGGCCCCTCCCTTGCCTAGGCTCAGCCCCAGGCCCTGTGCACACTTGGGGGGAGGAACTTGCCCAAGAGTGTTCACCTGCATTAAGTGAAACCCTGGGTGGGTTACCAGGACACTTCCTGACACTGTTTCCAAGTTCTCGGCTTGAGACAGGTTAAAAACAAGGTGACAAGGAAAGGACCCTGGGTTCAAATCCCTGCATAACTTGTCTGTGCCTCAGTTTGCTCTTCTGTAAAGTGGGGATAAAAACAGTGAGAGGTGAAGCAATCATGGCAGCCCCTGTGTGTCAGCTGAATAGCCACAACAGTACTGAAACCGACAACCACACAGCACGCACAGGCAGAGGGGCAAAGGCATCAGGGTTCACCCAGAGGAACAAACGCTGCATACACGGGGAGTGCGCCTCGTGAGGGAAGCGGGATAAAGGTGGGCTCACAGCTCTCACTCACCAGCTATGCAATCCTGCCAAAGTGACTTCACTTTGCTAAGCCTGGGTCTTCTTACTTATAAAATACACAGGGTGACTACAAGGATTAAATAAGATGAAAAAGGTGAAGTTACCCAAAAGGTGGGGAGCAATGCTCGACAGGTGGAATACAGCATCAAATCTCTGAGCTGGAATGGACTTCTCTTCTAAACACACACATGCGCGCGCACACACATGCATACACACACACACACTTTATTAATTATTTTAAATCACAATATGGGGTGGGCAGGAGGGAGAGGTTATGCATTAGGCAGCCTGGATTATCCAGTATTTATATGCTACAAAAAATAACTGTATTTTTTTACAATTTTTAAGATCTCATTTTATATGATTAGAAGAATTGAAAGAAAAACCGCTGTAGCTGGTAAAATAATTATTACAATTTACTTCATAATGCACAATCAACACTTACCCCTCAAAATTGAAGAAAACCAGCTGTTACATATAAATCATATCCTATTTTTAATTCACAAAGGGAAGGTGCCATAGAAACCTAAGGTGACTCATTTGGTACATGTGAAATCAGTATGATTTTCTCTTTTTAAAGAAAATATGGGTTCCCCAGACAGGCCTAATTCCTGGATGGGCTAGAAGCATAAGCCACTGTACCCTCCCAGGATTAGAATGGGGAAGGCTGTCCACTCCACCTCAACTGAGAGGGGGCTGGGCGCCTTCTTTCTATCCCCTCCCACCATCCTCTTGGGAGCTTGCAGGGTGGGGAGCATCAGGCCATTTTGAACAGTCCATCTCTGAAGGGGTGACATTTACTGCTGGCTCCCAAGAGCGTGCACCATGAAGCAAGCAGCTGCCCCCATGGTCTCCAACCCTCACAGGCCCACAGCTGCACTTGGGGTTGCTAAAGACAATGTGTCTCCTGGAACCCTTCCTCAGCAATGTTCTCGCTGAACACCGAAAATACAATGATCCACTCAGAGGGGCAGCTTGGAACTCTACAGACACCTGAATTCACAGTAAGTATGCACAAAGGCCTGTTTGAAGAGGCAAAGAGAAATGTTGTTCATAAACCGAATGCGAATCAATTATGACTCATGAAAAAACATTGGCTATTAACTTAGCAGTGGGTTAATTCCTGCCTCCTTCCCACGCCTGCAGCGAAGGGTTGCTCGGTATTGACTCAACACGGCCAGGAAAGGGGCAGAGAGAGCGAAGATTCTCCAATGTCCAGATAGACTCACCAGACAGCCCCTCGCAACCCACCCACCCTCTCAGCTAGGGCGGGTCTCCAGGGATTCGTTTCTAAGTACTTGGCTTGTATGCAAGGTAAATCTGCAGGAACTATTTGTGTGTGGCTTCCCCTCATTTCTCCACCTGCTCTGAAAGTCAGGCTGGGAAGTGTCCAATCTGACTTCCAGGAGACAGCAGGGAGGGAGGCTTCAGGGCTCACGTCAAGAGGCCCCACTATGGACGTATCTGGTTTCCCCTGTGGACGGAGGTGGAGGTCACAGAGCTTCCTCCACGGCTCCACTAATGCAGAGCAGCAGGTGGGACCCTCCCTGGTGCGGGTGGACGGTGGGAGGTGTGTGGCCTGGAGCCACCAATGACTCCCTGGCCACGCTGGAGGCAGCAGTTACCGGCGGGCCAGCTCTGCAGCGTCACTCTGCGGTGGTTCCTGAGCATGCGGCCAAGGCCCAAGCTTGCAACAATTCTGTGGGTCCTGAATTCCCTGCACTAAATCCTCTTCTGCCTCAGCGAATGAGAGTGAATTCTGAGTAACACAGATGCTGCCAACCAAGATTCAGGAAATCTTGGTAAAGACTCATCTCTTGGGGAAAAAAAAAAAAAAAACTTGGTGTGAAAAAATTATTTCAGGCAGGACATATCAAAGAAGGAGTCTGGTATATACACAGGAAATCTACTTAGGAGACGGTACGCAAAGGCACTGATCAGACAAAAGCGCAAAAAATACAAAAACTCATGATGCACAAAACATCACAATTTTAAATGACAAATGGACAAGGATGTCTATTGTCATGTTAACTAACTGGCAAATGGTTGAAAATCACTTAATTAAACATCCATCCCAGAGAAGGCTCGTGGACTGGAACCTATCCCTACAATGGAATTTCTTGCAGCCCTGAAAATGGATGCAAACGAAGAATATCTAATAATCTAGTAGTGTGGAAAAGAGGCTCAACTTGTACCATTCATTTTGAAAAGGTAGCTCATGGCCAGGTGCAGTGGCTCATGCCTGTAATCCCAGCACTTTGAGAGGCTGAGGCAGGTGGATCACTTGAGGTCAGGAGTTCAAGACCAGCCTGGCCAACACGGTGAAACCCTGTCTCTGCTAAAAATACCAAAAAAAATTAGCCAGTCATGGTGGTGCGTGCCTGTAATCCCAGCTACTCGAGAGGCTGACACAGAAGAATCTCTTGAACCCAGGAGGTGGAGGTTGCAGTGATCAGAAATGGCGCCACTGCATTCCAGCCTGGGAGACAAAGCAAGACTCTCAAAAAAATAAATAAATAAATAAAAATAAAAAAAAATAAGACAGCTCACAAAACAATACAGACATTACCTCTTTGGGGTAAATATGTATGTTAGCGCATATACGTATGTATGTATAGTCAGTATAGCACAGACAGAAGTTCGGAAGGCTCTGCCCCAAATGTTGTAAGAGATCCGCTCCTGTTCCGCCCCCAGGCTTGATGGTACAGACAGTTACTGCAGCACCCAGCCTCAAGCCACGTAACACTGTGGCCAAAGAGCAGCCTGACTGAGGTGAGGGAAATCTCTAGTCTGTTCAGAGCCCCAGACAGCTGACCAGACTTCTTCGTGCTAATTGCTGGGCCCTCCCTGCTGGCTGGCCTGGCCATGTCTGGTCTATAGGGCTTCCTCCCCTACCGAGGGTCCAGCTACTCGAGAGGCTGACGCAGGCCCACAAAATTCATTCAGTCATTTCTGTTCTAGAATGTGGTACCAGAGAAGCCCCTCGCACCAGCACACCTCAACTCAAAGACCTGTTTTGGCTCACAAAGGCTGTGAAGAAAACAAGATAACACTGGCCAAGCCTCACAAAGCAAGTGACTCAAACCTTCAAAATGCTTGTATTTGTCTATAAAAATGCCATTTTCAACCAGAGAGCATACTGGAAGCACTAACACATGATAATTTCAGAATGTGATTTCCAATGGAGCTTGTAGCTGACACCCAGCAACCATCCAAAACTACATGGAATTCGGTTCCCGTAGAAATGATCACAGCTCAGAGACCGAATCACCCAGCCCCATGGAGAGGTGTGGCCATTTGACTCAGACCTTCAAGGGAGTGGGTCTGACCCCTGAAAACACCCCATTTCTTCTCCCTCCTCACCTCCACTGGCCAAGCTAGTGCTGCAGATTCAAAGTCACAAATCTTCCATGCAGAAAAGATCCACAAAAAAGTTCTTAATACCCCTCCTTAGGGAACAAAGGTCAATAATTAAGGTATTAAAGCAAGATCATAGAAACTCCGGAGCCAGGAGGGAGGTGTTAAACCCAGGTTAGAAAGCAGGCAAAGAGTGGAGATGGGGCTTCAGAGTGCTTGCGGTATTTCCCATGCCGCCTGCACAGAAGGGAGAGAACCCGAGAGCCACGGTCTGGGCCGATGCCCTTGGACCTGGTGTGGCCCCTGTGCCCACCGCACCTACTCCCTTACCTGTCTGGTGCAGACCTTGTGTGTAGTCGCAGAGTTGTAATCAGACCAAGAGCCCAGAGAGCAGCCCAGTATGCCTCAGACTCCAAGCAGCATCTACAGTGGGACGGGGGAGCCGCCTCTCTGGTCATGTCTCTGTCCTGAGGAGCCAGGGGAAGAAACCATCCCTGAGCACACAGTTCAGTGTCTGTGGACCTGAAGTGAGTGTAAGCAAAGCTTCGCGAACCTCTACAGACCCACACCTGGTCCCAGAATGCCCCAGGCACGGCAGGCTCCCCCATCTGGATGGGATGATGGCTTCACAAAACTATGCCCAATCTCAAAACCCATTCTCAGGGACGAGTTTAGTGTCTTCAATAAGGGGCATTTGTCAAATTGTTTGGGAACATTCAATTTTGAAGAAAAAAACAACAAACGCAATGGGTGAATCTCATAGGATATGTCAAGTAGAGATAAATAGGAAGTAGAGCAGGTGTATATCAAACAGAGGAGGAGATACGAGCTCTAAGACACCTAGTATTCATGAAGCACCACATGGACCCAAGGCAGCTGGGCAGCAAAGACTCACGATACATTCGACATGGAAAAGGTGCTCGATACCACGATACATTTGTATGCACGGGACCAGTTACCCAGAGGAACCTGATATTCCCTCAAAATTCGCTTCCCCACTGGTGACCCAATGCTGGTCCTCTGAATCCAAGGCTGTTCAACACACTCACTAGTGAGCCCAGACGTGGCAGGGCAGAACCATCCCTGTGTCTCTCCAACACGACGGGGCGTATGTCTTGGCCCAGGGCACCTCCCATCCGTGGCCCCCATGCAAGTGCTTCAAGTCAGGTCCTTCTCCTCACACATTAGTGGGGAAGGCGGATGCTGCAGAGCAAGACAGGACACACGGATGCTTTCCAGCTACCACATCTCCGTCCCCACCCTCTGTACCGTGTCCCCTACCCCATCCCCATCCCCACCCTCTGTACCGTGTCCCCTACCCCATCCCCGTCCCCACCCTCTGTACCGTGTCCCCTACCCCATCCCCGTCCCCACCCTCTGTACCGTGTCCCCTACCCCATCCCCGTCCCCACCCTCTGTACCGTGTCCCCTACCCCATCCCCGTCCCCACCCTCTGTCCTGTGTCCCCTACTCCATCCCCATCCCCACCCTCTGTCCTGTGTCCCCTACTGCATCTCTGACCCCACCCTATCCTACCTATATCACCTACCCCATCTCTGTCCCACCCCTGTCCTGTGTCACCTACCCCTCTTCCGTCCCCTCGCTTCTCCCTGTGTGTTCTAAATTGCGTCAAGGTTGTTCCCCACATGACAGCTTCCACCAGCAGCTGTGCTCAGGAGCACTGTGTATGGCAGTTATGCTCATTTTCCTTAAATGCCATCAGATCTCAGTTATGGAAGGACCCTTTATTGCTTTAGGGAACATTATTAGTAGGGGTCCTAACTGGTAGTTATAACAAATGCCCTTTAACCGTCTTACAAGAAAGACAATAAGAGAGTAATACCTATAAATAATTTATGGAGCATTTTCTATGTTTGTCATACAGCACCTCATGTAATGCTCATGTATGTGTGTGTGTGTGTGTGTGTGTCTACCACC
Source organism: Homo sapiens (assembly GCF_000001405.40). Taxonomy (NCBI): domain Eukaryota; kingdom Metazoa; phylum Chordata; class Mammalia; order Primates; family Hominidae; genus Homo; species Homo sapiens. The sequence continues at coordinate 98,930,974 of NC_000002.12, forward strand.
CCCCCACCCCATCTAAGGGGTGACTGAGGTTGCAGGACTTCTAAGTGGCACAGCAGAAACCAGAGCCTGGGCTGGGCATGGTGGCTTACGCCTGTAATCCCAGCACTTCGGGAGGCCATGGTGGGTGGATCACTTGAGGTCAGGAGATCGAGACCAGCCTGGCTAACATGGAGAAACCTCGTCTCTACTAAAAATACAAAAATTTGCCAGGTGTGGTGACAGGCACCTGTAATCCCAGCTACTCAGGAGGCTGAGGCAAGAGAATCCCTTGAACCCAGGAGGCAGAGGTTGCAGTGAGCAGAGATCGCGCCACTGCACTCCAGCCTGGGCGACAGAGCAAGACTCCATCTCAAAAAAAAAAAAAAAAAAAAAGACACTAGAGCCTGACTCCCCTGACCTTGACTGGACCAACTGCTTTAAAAAGAAGGCAACCTCTCTGACATTTTCTCCTCCCACATATGGGGCAGTGTTTCCGAGAGTAGTTTCTTGGAAACTGCACACCCCGCAGCTAATGGTTCTGGTGCTTCCCACAGACATGAGAATTTGAGGGCAGAAACCATGGAGAGACTGGTGTATGGACCTCAGAGGTTAAGGCAAATATTTCTGGAAGTTCTTCAGCTACACACAGTTAAAAACCAGCCCCACACACCACAGCCAGGAGAAGGCCTGAGCAAATAAATACCTTTCCATCTGCACTTTTCAAAACGAACTTCCATAATTTCCTTTCACAGATACCCAGATCATAAGAAAAATGTCTGAGAATCCTTCCTACCAGCAGTCTCCTCCAGAATGGTATCTGAGCCTGTGAAAAGCTGGTGGCTGACGCTGCTCAGGAGGTGCCCTGTTACATCACATGCCTGTCTTATCATTTCCCATCATTTCACTGCTAAATTCACTGGGCACCGACAGAAACAGCATCTCTAGTTCATTATCCACTTGGCTCAGGATTATGGGTTAGACCCCCTTAAAAGCAATACAAATATCTTCAAGGTAATTTGTCAAAATCATAAATGTGTCTTAAGGACTCTTAATCTGACCTAAAGTTTTGAAGTTATTTTCCAGACACAGAGATCTAGAAAGAGCATTATTTGATGAGAATTCTCCTGATTTCCGTTCAGTTTGGGGAAAACAGAAGGATTTTGAACGCTGGCTGTCTGTGTTGTCCTACCCACAGGTGACACCAGCAGTACCGGTGTTTGCAGGTATCTAGACAACAGAAGAGATCGGCGGGACACCAGCCAGCATCAAGCCACAGGTGGGCCTGTGAACACCAGGCCGGGCCGGCCTGTCTCCCTTTCAAAGGCAGTTCTCTTGCATCTCACATCCATGTGGCCAAGTTGTTACTTTAAGTTCCACCTCCTCCAAGAAGCTTCCCCTGATTACCTCCCCTTCCAAATCCAGTGTGAACTGAGTGTGAACTAAATCCAGGGCTCAGGCTTGCAGGTACAGGCTTGACAAGGGCTCATCTTATTCACCAGAAGCAGCAATTATGACTCGGACCTTTCCGGCTTGTAGTGAGTGCCAAGCACACAGGGGGTTGCTCTGATGATGAGGCAGCAACAGCATAAATAGGAACGGTGGTTTGGAAGACGCCCATCCCCATGACAGTGGGCCGGGCTGTGTACGCAGAAAGCCATTCAATCCCCGCAACGCCGCTGCCAGCTACTCCTTCCTTGCCTTCTCCCAGCCCTGACTGAAGTCTCCAGCAGCCCCGACGGCTCTCCCAGTCTTTTTCAGGTAATAAAAAGGCCTAGCACACTTTACCCAAGACAGTGGTGAATACAGAGATATTTTAAACTTCCTTTTATGTATCAAGGGCAAAGCCTGGAAGCTGGAGCCTAGAGCTCTCCCCAAAGCCATGATGTGCAGAGGACAGAAGACAGAACCTAAGAAACAGCCCTGCCCCACAGGTAGAAAAATGCCTTCTGGGTCTGGGACATGAACCCAGGCACTGAGCACCTACCGCTGTGCACCCCACCTGGAGGAGCAGGGGTGGGGCTGAGGGGGCGTTCTTGTCCTGCTTCCTGTGGGAACTCAGGGAAGGCCGAGCTCAGAACAGTAGAAATGGAGGCCTAGTACGGTTCCGCACAACCTGGGCGGGCTCCCAGGTGCCCAATAGGGGCCCAGAAGAGACCTCAGAGCATGGGGACCTCTGGGCCAATGGAAGAGCCAGGTCCCCGCTGTGGCTCACCCTGGGGACACCAGCTGGACAATGATGGAAATGTGAGCCGGAGGCTCCATGTGGAGGGGAAAGGGACTCACTGGGGCACCGCAAGAGGACCAGATGACCAGTCAGGGCCACTCCCCTCAAGCTCTGATGGGACTACAACCCTCTCCTGGTGCCCAGGGGTGACTTGTAGCGAAAAGGGGTCCCCGAGGAGTAACGTGGAAAGACTGAGAGACTGACTCCCACCAGGGACGAAGCTACCTTTAAGCTAAATAGTGACTGAAATAATACCATTGAATTAGGCTCTAGAAAAACAGAACCATGCACTGGGAACTGAGTATATGAAAAAGGGAACCAAGGGACTTCACTAGGGACAGCAAAATCAAGCTCACTTACACAAAATTTTGCACCTTTCCACAATAAACCCTGGGCAGGTTTCCACCCAGAGAGTCCACCTGCAACACAAGCAGTATTTATGTGCACAACAAGCAACTGCATGACAAGGCACGGAGCCAGCCTGCAGGGGAAGAGCCAGTGACTGCAAGGTAGCTAAGTCAAATCCAGGCCCACCAGGACATCACAGAAAACCCACCCTCCTGGAGGCCTGGTACCTTCACATCTATTCTCTCATTTAACCAAGAGCATCCCTGAGGGCTGGCCAGCTGAGTCCATTTCAGCTGCTATAACAAAATACCATAAACCGGGCAGCTCATAGACAACAGACATTTATTCCTTGCAGTTCCAGAGGCTGGAAGTCCAAGATCAAGGCACTGGCAGGTTGGGTGTCTGGTGGGGGCCCATTCCTCATAGAAGGCGCCTCCTCACAGTGTCCTCACATGGTGGAAGGGACGAGCGAGCTCCTTGCGCTTCTTTTATAAGGGCACCAAGCCCATTCATGACCTATCACTTCCCAAAGGCCTCATCTCTTAATACCATCACCTTGAGGATTAGGAATCCACATATGAATTTTTGGGGGGACACAAACATTCAAACCATAGCACTATCACTGCTCTCATTTCCCTGAATGGTGCACTGAGATTGGTCAAGATTCATCCTTTTTTTTTTTTTTTTTTTTTGAGACTGAGCCTCACTCTGCTGCCCAGGCTGGAGTGCAGTGGTGCCATCTCAGCTCACTGCAACCTCTACGTCCCTGGTTCAAGCAATTCCCCTGCCTCGGCCTCCCGAGTAGCTGGATTACAGGCGCCACACCTGGCTATTTTTGTTTTGTATTTTTAGTAGAGTCAGGGCTTCACCACGTTGGCCAGACTGGTCACGAACTCCTGACCTCAGGCAATCCACCTGCCTCGGCCTCCCAAAGTGCTGGGATTACAAGTGTGAGCCATCGCGCCCAGCCAAGATTCATCTTAACTAGCCTAAGAGGGCCAAGCAGAGCAGTGATCTCAGCAGGACAGCCACCCGTTAGTGAGCCCCACATGACGCATCCTATGCAGCAGCTGAGCTGCGCAGCATCCATGGATGGTACACTTTATTTTATAAGTGAGGAAACAGATGCTTAGAGAGTAAGAACTTGACTCGTGGAGGAGGTCCAGAATCAGACTCAGGCAAGCCAGGTACTCACTACAGGCACAAAATTTAAGGGGGTACCAAAAATGCAGTCAGATAAATGCCTTATTACAATATTTTAAAACATCAAAACAAATACAAAAATCCCTAATGTACAAAATCTCACATTTTTAAATAAAGACAGGATCAGTGTTCCTGATTTTTCCTGTTGCCTCAGACTCCAAGATGGCACAGCATAGGGGCAGAGCCCAGAAACCAGCCCAGCTCAACCTTCTCCACCAGCTCCACACGACACTGTCTCTAGATATCTTTCTCCTCACAATTTTATAACCTCAATAGGTTCTTAGGATGACCACAGTGCTCCATCATTCCAGGTGTGCGCCCGTGGGACCGAGCTCCAGGGAAAATACCAGGGGTCTACACAGATTCTAGTCTATGGTATATGCAAATGAAGGAAGCCTGCAGGCTCCAATAACCTAGTAGGATACCTTAAGACCAGTTTGGGAAGGTGTGAGCTGGCTCTAAAAGGGTAACACAGCTGCCTGTCTTCCACTTGGATTTCCTGGCTCAAAACTGTCAACAGGACCTGATGCCTGCAGGCGGTTTGCACCTACACGGAGTCAAATTCACACAGCCGCACTGCTTCTGACTTGCATTTCAAAAGCAAGTGACTATTATGCTCTGATCACATGTGAACTTCATACCGAATCTTTGCCTATGATGAAGCTTCTGTTCAACAAATATTTGTTGATTAAAAATGTGAACACTTCTTAGATCAACTCCAGAATCCCTCCCGGGTGGCGTGTAATCAAAGCCTAAAACCTGTTAAATAAACCATCACCTAAAGCATAAGGCAGTTCGTGAATGTGTCCACTCCTTTCCCCTGCAACTGCGTGTGGAGACAGTGGGCATAAAGACCTCGTATGCTAGCAATTTCAACCGAGCAGGACCTTCTCTCCCTCCTCTTTCATTTTCCTGGCGCGTAAACTGCTGGATTTGCCTCACAGTGGAAAGTTGGGTCCAGCAAAGTGAGCAAAGGGAAACTTTGGGCACTTGCACGAGCGCGTCCGGCTCCCCCTCGGCCGCAGGAGCTGCCCAGGGCTTCGGCGGCGGGGGTGGCGCCTCTCCGGGTCCGAGGGGCCCCTGGCTTCACGGCCTCTGCCCTCGACCCCCTAGCCCCGGCCCGCCCCACCTCCGCCCGGTGCCCCCGCGCCCACCCCGCCTTCGACCCACGCCTGCCTTGGGACACGCGATTTCAAACCCCTCGAGGTACCTGGGACAGGAGCGTGGCCCGGGCTCGGCGAGACGCGCAGAGAAGGGCACCTTCCGCGGGGTGCGGCGAGCCGGGGCTGCTCCCGCCGCGGTGCGCGTCTAGCCCCAGCCCAAAGCCGGGGCGACGCAGCAGGTGGCCGCGCGGCCTCCAGACAGCCCGGGTCTGCGGCCGAAGAGCTGGACGCGGGCGCTGACACTACCCTCCCGCGGCCGGCCCGGCCCTGCGCCCGGCGCGCTCCCAGCTCCCAGCTCCCAGCTGCAGGCGCGCCGGCTTCGCTCGGCTCCGCTCGGCTCGGCGGGGGCGGACGCCGCTCAGCTCCCCTCGCCGGCCGCCGCGCGCACCTCCCCCGCGGCGCACAGCTCCCAACGCCGCCTCCGCAGCTGGCCCGGCGGAGTGGGGCCGAGACCTCGGGGCGGGGGGCGCAGGCGCCGGCCTGGGCCTTGGACGCCCCGCGGGAGGCGGGAGGGCGATCGGGGTGCGGGGAGGGCAATCGGGGTGCGGGCCCGGCTGCCCAGCGCTCCCTCCCAAGCCCGCGCCGCTCCCGACCCGCCTCGGCCTGTCCGCGCAGCGGCGCTGTCGGGGCTCCGGGAGGGCCGGGGGGCACCGGAGACCCGGAGGTGGTGGCAAGTCAGTCCGGGACTGGCCCAGGGCACCCGCGCGCGTCGGTGAGAGGGACCCGGGACTCCAGGTGACCTCCGGATCCGCCCTCTAAGTCAGTGGCCTGCGGCGGGCGTGGGCGCCGAGGGAAGGAAGTGTGCATTTGAATAAAAGTAAAAGTTTGTTATTGTTGTTGTTTTATAACCCTGTGGGTCCTGAGCGTCTCCAGGCTAATTAGGGAAGCTGCCGCCCCGTCTGGAGGTGATTCATGGGTGTGACACCGGCGAGTGTGGGAAGAAAGGCAGCTGATGCCGTCTCAGCTGCGCTCGCCTTTCTTTATTTTCTTTCTTTCTTCTTTTTTTAAAATCCTTTTTCTTGTAAAGACAGGGCTGGTCCATTTAGGGAGACCGCGCACGGAGGGAGCTGCCTTGGGTGGTCGCCCAGCGAATCTCCTCCGGAGCCCGAGCCGCGGCTTTGGTCTGCGGATGGCACAGCCCGGCGACCCCGTCCCGGCCTCTTCCCCGGCGGTGCACGCCCAGGGCCAGGCAGGCGAGAGGCGCGGGAGTCGCGTCCCAGCAGGGAGCCCAGGCTGCGACGAGTCCTCAGGGGACGCCTTCAACCCAGGCTGGAAGAGATGATACTAACGTCAGACGGGGAGTCTCGGGTGTCACCGGACGCCAGAATGAGCGGCGAGGTCCGCATTGTTTGGAGGGGATCACGCGGAATCCGCGCTACTCCGCGGGACGCTGGGTCCGACGGCTAGCGCCGCGCACACTGGAGGCCTGGAAAAGCCGAGCTGCTCGGCTGTCGGAGGCCGAGAGGGCCTGGACCCCGGAAGGAGCTCTCTCCACCTGTGGCTTTCAAGGGGCTCAAAATCCCAGATAGAAGAATCGAGCGAAACGAGGCCCAAGACAGTTTCCCATTTACTTGGGCATATCAAACGAAGTTTCCTTTTTGAATTTTTAATGTTATCCCTTGGCCACAAGCTATTCACGTAAAAGCCTCTTTTGATGGTTAAGTGCTTTAAGTTCCCTGTATAAAAAGAACAAAAATAGTGATTCAGCCTTATAACCCCCCCCCAAATTAATAACCTGCATTCACAATGAATGGGTGACTCATGACAATCAGAGACAACGAGTTTGTTGGGTGTCTGTGTGTTTGTTTTTTTCAAAATCCTCAAACTAAACTGAACAACTGCAAAAACTATACTCCCCTCTCTCCTCTCCCACCTTGAGCCTCTGCTCCTTGCTCTTCAAAATCATGTTAGTTTTTGCCGCTGTAACTACTAAATATTTATGGACTCCATAAACTGCCTTTCTACCTAAGAATTTCGTTTCCAGAATATCTTAAACCTCTGGCTTTATTTGTATTCTGTGGGTGGCTTTTGAAGTTCCTGGAGGTTTTCAGAAGACAAAAACCGAGGTTCCTGGTGATTAGTTAAGGCCGAGAACATGGTGTCAACACTCAAAATAGAAACTGGTGGGGAATTTTGTGAATAGGTTGGGAAAATGGAAAATTATCTGGAGCCTGGTAGAGCAAGCACCTTCATGCTTTAAAAATGTGGAAAGAAACTGTGCCCCTCCCCTACCCCTGGGACTTTCATCTTCCTGTGAGAGCTCTGGTTCCCAGGGCCCTGCCAAGTGGCTGGCAGTCAAGGAGGCTCTTCCCCTCCTTAATGCCTTTTGGATCAAGCCTTGAAGCCAGGTTAAGAAAAGACTAAAATGTTCAAGTAAGGATTTGTCAAAAGTGCAAAAGAAACATAGACCCCACATAGTGTTTCTTGCAGTCTGCATGGACAACCAGAAAGCCAAGAGCATGGGGTTGGTTGTTTTTTGAGGCTCCAGAAAATCTCTCAGCTACCCCTGAACACATCCCTTTCAGAGAAGGAGAACCTCATTGACAAGCCAAAAGAAAGAAGACCATGCTACTTCTAAATATATTGCACCTCACTGGGAACATGCTTTTATCAAATAACCGGGCACGGATCTAAGCCATTTACAAATAGTCACTCATTTAAATTATCCACCTGCCAGCAGACCCTCTGAGCTAAGACCTGCCATTACCCTGATTTTGCAACCGAGATGCTGCTATTATCTCCATGTGGTAGACGAGGAGACTCAGCATGAGAAGGGCAAGTACCATGCCCAAGGGCATGCAGATAGTAAGTGGCAGAGCCAGGGTTTGAACCCCTAATCTGCACTTAAGGCTGGGCAAAGCTGCCTTTCTGAAAATGATGTCTACCTCTGCAAACTGAAAATATTTTTTAGTTTAGAAAAGAAAGGAATATCAACCCTTCCCACACTAAGAGGAAGGCATCTTTTGGGATCTCAGAAAGCAAGAGTATTTACACTTTTGATATTTACACTTTAAAATATTTACATTTGCTTCTTCACTCAGTTATTCCCAACACCATCATCATCATTGCTAATCATCAGTCCTGAATCTTCACTTAGTCAAACCAGAGGCTGGTAATTAATGGGGTGAAGACGGTGAAGTCAAAGGCAGTGTGCTTTCTAACCCAGGATGGTAGCGGGGACAATTTTCAGGACAGTGTTCATCCCAGGGTTCTGCTTTTGGGTCTTCACAGACACTCAATCTGCTTGTCTTCACTTAGGTTCAGAAAATACAGGCCCCATAGGCACAGACATCCCTACCTGGGGAGAGGATTGGAGTCAAGGGCCAGCCAGGAACCAATTAGGAAGAAACAATATCTCAACAGGCCCATTGCCCAGGTGAGCCATGGTGGCAGAGGTCGAATTGAGCTGCCTCACTGCCAGAGGCCACAGGGACCCTACTCCTGAGGGGCTCTCTGCAGGCGGCTGTCCAGCAATACCCAGATCTTAGCCACCATCCCTCTGATCCTTCTCCAGCAATAGGGATTGGACCCTGTCCTTTCCCTGTTTCAAAACCCTTCCCTGGCTTCCCTGCAGTTAGGGTGAAACCCAGACTCCTTAAGAGGACCACATCTCCTGGGCTTCCTTTCAGTACCACCCTCTGCTCCCTCCACTCCAGCCACACTGGCTTTCTTCCAGTTCTGTGAACAACCCAAGCTTCTTCCTGCCCTGAGGGCTTAGCCCCAGCTGCCCCCACCCTTCACCTGGCTGACTCCCACTAATTTTTCAGGACTTAGCTTCAGTGATACTTCCTTTGGTCTTTTTTTCCTGACCTGTATTTCCCTCCTACTCCTCTTCTTTAGAGAACATATTACACTTTGGAGTGATTTATTTTTTATTCCATACTGGAGTCCCTCACCAGAGCACAACCTCCAGGAGGGCAGGGTCTGTATCTGTGTCTAGCACCTAGCACGGTGCTGGTTTACAATAGCTGCTGGATCAATATTTATTAATCAATGAACTTTCACCATGGCCTATTATGACCCTGAAACTGCTGTATCTCAAATGCATGAGACTGCACCCACTCTCTCTTCCCAATTTTTTTCCACCCTAGTCTTGATCCCGTTGTTTCCTAAACTTCTGCTCCTCCCCCATCCAAGGACCTTCTGCTCCAACTGCTCATTTCTCACTAGTCATCTCTCTCCAGCCTCCACCCTGCCTAGCCCTGGGCCTCATGGTCATCCCTTGACTGCTCTCTTACCAGCACCCCCAGTGCCCTCATCCCTTGGTCCCCCCCCACCCCCGCCAACACCTTCCTGGTTGAAACCCCAACCATACACCAGCCTCCTCTCTTCCTACACAAGCCCTTTTGTGCTGCCAAGGAAATTCACAGAACCATGCAGACCTAAACCACAAAAATACAGTCTCCACCCACACTTGGGCCTTACTACTTTGAGCCCATTAATGCCTAGTGTTCCATTATTGGAATGCTAAGCTTGTGGGAGTTATTTACATCCTACTGCTGAAGGTCATGGCCAAGGTCTGATTTTTCACATAAGAAAATTGCAACCTCCAGCATAAATGGGTTAAACATTCTCTGAAAAACAAACAGGATGGTACATAAAATAAGAAAGAAGGAAAGATCACCAATAATTCCAACCGCAGAGGCAATCACTGTTGGCATTTTATTGTTTTTCTTCCAGTTTTTCTTTTTCCAAAAAAGGGATTCAAGCTGGCCTGCAAACTCAAATGGCTTGTACATAGTTGAGATTAAGGCAAATACACAAGATTGTATCCTGTTTTTTTCAGCTACATTATACACAAGTATCTTCCCTTGTGATAATGTAGTTTTTATAAATATAAGTTTTTAATAACTAATATTTCATTATGTGATACATCATGATTTATTATTTTAAACCATTTCTGTATTGTCTTGTTTTCAACTTGGGAGTGTTCTACAAAATTCTTTAACAAGATCTGTATGCGGCAGACTCAGTGGCTCACGCCTGTAATCCCAGCACTTTGGGAGGCTGAGGCAGGCGGATCACCTGAGGTCGGGAGCTTGAGACTAGCCTGGCCAACATAGTGAAACCCCGTCTCTACTAAAAATACAAAAATTAGCCGGGCATGGTGGCACGTGCCTGTAGTCCCAGCTACTTGGGAGGCTGAGGCAGGAGAATCGCTTGAACCCAGGAGGTGGAGGTTGCAGTGAGCCAAGATCGTGCCACTGCACTCCAGCCTGGGTGGCAGAGCGAGACTCCGTATCAAAAAAAAAAAAAAAAAAAGTATCTGTATGCATAATTTGTCTGCATTTATTTTGCCTATATTTAATTTATTTCCTTAGGAGATATTCAGAGAGGAATCCCTGAGCTGATGGCTATGAATGAGCTGAAGGCTCTGAGTCTCAGCGTGGGAAGGCGTCTAAGGTTCTAAGGCCTGAAAAACGCCACATTATTTCCTTTGTTCCTGCACAGCTCACTTTGCCATTGCCCACAGCAAAAGTAGCCCTAACTGCTCTCACATACTGTGTGTTCCCGGTCTGCACCATGTTCTCCTCTGAACAGATGGTTTTGCGTTCTTCTTCGGAGAACGTTAATGATGGGTATGAACTCTCAATGCCCCATATCCACCCCCAGACCAGTAACACTGATCTTTGATCCTAGACATGAGACAGTATCTCCCTGCCGCTTAGATCTTAGGGAAGATTAGCTTGCACCCACTTCCTCCAAGAGCACCACCCACAAAGATGGATCTTTCCAATCTGCAAATATGATCATGACACCCATTGTTCATTTAGTGCCTATAATATATAAGACATAGGGCCAGGCGCAGTGTCTCATGCCTGTAATCCCAGCACTTTGGGAGGCCGAGGCAGGTGGATCACCTGAGGTCAGGAGTTCAAGACCAGCCTGGTCAACATGGTGAAACCCCGTCTCTACTAAACATACAAAAATTAGCCAAGTGTGGTGGTGGGCACCTGTAATCCCAGCTACTCACGAGGCTGAGGCAGGAGAATCACTTGCACCTGGGAGGCAGAGGTTGCAGTGAGCCGAGATAGCGCCATTGCACTCCAGCCTGGGCAATAAGAGTGAAACTTCTTCTCAAAAAAAAAAAATAATAATAAGATATTACATTATTTGCTTTCACAGATTCCCATTTGAACTTCTGTGAGGGAATTTTATGAAGGTCAGAACTTTTGTGGAATGTGCCCAAAGGTCACAGTGAGACTAAATGTCCAACTCCATACATGACTCCAAAGCTCTTGACTTCTGCGTGGCATTTCTAGGCATTTCCTGTGTTTTAGGCTTCACTGTTCCAGATTTGTCTGGGAACGGGGGTACATCATAGTCCCATTTTTCACACAAGTTTGCAAATATGGTCTGAGGATTACAGATTCTTATGCACATCATTTAGTGCTGGTGCTTTGTTCTAATTCTATGAAATTCTCTTAACATTTAGACAGGCATTGAGGGCCTGTTTGCTCTCTTTTAGTTTTCCTACTTTCTTGCCTGTCATTTATGTGTATCATCTGTCACCACAACATCCAGGTGGGTACATTTTTTGTGTACACAATCAAGCAGCAGTGTGCATTTTGTCTCTAACCAGCAATTAACTGTCTTCAGGACAATTCCAACAGCCATGAGTTTCTGCATTTATTATCACGCCTTTATTTCAGTGGTTCTGAATGTTTTCTCACAAATTGTTACAGCTTTTTTTTTTTTTTTTTTTTTTTTTTTTAAATACAGAGTCTCACTCTGTTGCCCAGGCTGGAGTGCAGTGGCATGATCTTAGCTCACTGCAACCTCCACCTCCCTGGTTCAAGCGATTCTCCTGCCTCAACCTTCTGAGTAGCTGAGATTACAGGGGTGCGCCACCACACCCAGCTAATTTTTGTATTTTTAATACAGATGGGGTTTCACCATGTTGGCCAGGCTGGTCTCAAACTCCTGACCTCAGGTGATCCACCCGCCTCGGCCTCCCAAATTGCTGGGATTACAGGCGTAAGCCACTGTGCCCGGCCCGTTACAGAATTCTTTGTAAAATAGATGGCAGACTAAAAAAACAAGTGGGGCCGGGCATGGTGGCTCATGCCTGTAATCTTGGCTCTTTGGGAGGCCAAGGTGGGCGGATCACCTGAGGTCAGGAATTCAAGAACAGCCTGGCCAACATGGCAAAACCCCATCTCTACTAAAGATACAAAAATTAGCCAGGCGTGGTGGTGCAAGCCTGTAGTCCCAGCTACTAGGGAGGCTGAGGCAGGAGAATTCCTTGAACCCAGGAGACGGAGATTGCAATGAGCCAAGATCATGCCACTGCACTCCAGCCTGGGTGACAGAGTGAGACTGTGTCTCAAAAATAAATAAATAAATAAATAAATAAATAAATCAAAATCAAGCAGATTTAGGTCAGAACAAGTTCAAGGCCTTCTATATTTTCCCTTTTGGAATGTTTCTCCTAATTTAAATACTATACATCTGATCCGGCCAGTTTACTGATCTGTAGGAAGGTATCTGAGGTTTAGTGAACATTAAATAGCTCTGGCTTAGTGTTGGCCGAGGCTGGGAGGTTATATTTCTATTAGAAATTTATCATGGCTGATAAATTTCATAAAATTGCATTGTTTTACAGTTGGGTAAATCTTGTTTGTGTGCAGGGAAGGATTGGTTTGGTTTCTGTTTTCTGAGTCTGTCTGACCTAAAGGACACACATCTTAAGTGTGTAGCTTGAACTTTTACATATGATTATTCCCCTACCACCATCATCCACATCATGATCTAGATCATTTCCAGCACCCAGGAAGCCTTCTTGTGTGCTTCTTCAATTCGTGGCAACCCCAGGTTAACCACTATTCCAACCTCTATTATCATAGACTAATTTTGCCTGTTGTTAAACCTCATAGACAGGCATAAGTAGACTGACACAGTGTGTCTTCTTTGGTATCTGACTTCTGTTATTCAATATTATGTCTGTGAGATTCAACCATGTTTTGAATTTTGGCTCATTCCTTTTTATCACTGTGTAGTATTCCCTTGTATGGATATACCAATTTACCTTGGGCACCATCTTGGGCATTTGAGTTGATTCCAGGTTTGTGCTATTATGATAAATCTGCTATGAACATTCTTAAAGATGTTTTTGGTAGGCACAAGCACTCAATTTTCCGGAATATTATCCAGGTGTGGAATTCTAAGTCAGGGCATATATATGCTTAGCTTTGGTAAGTATTGCCAAACATTTTTCTGGGGTGATTGAACTAGTTTACATTACTACCATTTATGTAGAAGTTTCATATGCTCCACATCCTTGCATATGTGATATTGTCATTCTTTTTAATTTTAGTCATTTCAGTAGGTGCTGTAGTGATGTCTTATTGTGGTTTTAATCTTCATTTCTCTGATAACTAATAAAGAGTATCTTTCCATTGGCTACTTTGATATCCTCTTTTGTGAAGTACCTATTTGTCTTTTGCTTTTTATTGGGCTATTTTTTCTTTAGATAGATAGATGATAGAGATAGATGACAGAAAGAAAGAAAGAAAGATAGATAGATAGATAGATAGATAGATAGATAGATAGATAGATAGGATTTTTTTTTTTGATGGAGTTTTGCTCTTTGCCCAGGCTGGAGTGAAGTGGCATGATCTTGGCTCACTATAACCTCCACCCCCCAGGTTCAAGTGATTCTCCTGCCTCAGCCTCCCAAATAGCTGGGATTATAGGTGCCCACACCACGCCCGGCTAATTTTTCGTATTTTTAGTAGAGACGGGGTTTCGCCATTTGGCCAGGCTGGTCTCGAACTCCTGACCTCAGGTTATCCACCCACCTCAGCTTCCCAAAGTGATAGGTGATAGGATTACAGGTGTGAGCCACCACACCCAGCCAGATAGGACCCTTTATATATTCCAGATTTCATTCCTTTATTGGAAATGTATCTATATTTGTATATATTTATGTATTTAAGTCTGTGTGTACATATGTGTGTGCATGTGTAGATACATACATACATAGAGAGAGGGAGGGAGGGACACAGAGAGAATGCGCAAATACCTTCTCCCAGTCTGTGGCCTGCCTCTCCGGCATCAGCCTCCTTTGTTCCTACACAGGCCCTTCTGTGCTGCCAAGGAAATTCACAGAGCCATGCAGACCAAAACCACAAAAATGTACAGTCTCCAGCCTCACTTGGGCCTTACAACATCTAATCATTCTCTAAAAAAACAAATGGGATAGTACATAAAATAAGGAAAAAAGGAAAGATCAATAATTCCAACCACAGAAGAATCACTATTGCCATTTTATTGTTTTTCCTTCCAGTTTTTCTTTTATAGAAAAGGCATTTGAGGTGACCTGCAAACTCAAATGTTTTCTACATAGTTGAGATTAAGACAAATACATAATTTTGTATCCTGATTTTTTCAAGCACATTGTAACACAAGTATTTTCCCATGTGATAAAGTTTTTATAAATATAAATTTTTAATAACTGGCTAATACTCCATTATGTGGGTACATCATAATTTATGTTTTATCATTTCTCTATTGCCTTCTTTTTAGTTTGAGGGTATTATACAAAATTATTTGACAAATATCTGTGTATGTAGTTTGTCTGCATTTATTTTGCCTATATTTATTTCCTTAGGAGACAGAGAGGAATTCCTGAGTAGATGCTATGAATGGGCTGAAGCATCTGACTGAGTCCCAGGTGGGAGGCTTCTAAGGCCCGAATGACACCACATTCTTTCCTGTGTCCCTGCACAGCTCACTTTGCCATTCCCCACAGCAAAACTAGCCCTAACTGCCCTCAGTCATTGTGTGTTCCTGGTCCCCACCGTGTCCTCCTCTGGATGGTTGTGATTCCTTCTACAGGAAACATTCAAGTTACCAGGTACAAGTTCACTAATAAGCTGACCTCAAAATGGGGAGAGTTTCCTGGATCATCTAAGTGGGCCCAAGGTAATCATTAGGGTGTTTCAGAGTGGAAGAGGGAGGCAGATGAGGACCAGAGAGACGATTGTGTGCAAAGGGCTCAGCTCAGCACTGCCGGCTCTGAGGGTGCAGGAGCCACAGGCCGAGGAATGCGGACAGCTTCTAAAAGCTCAACAAGGCAAGAGAATGGATTCTTCCCTTGCACCTCTAGAAGGAAAATGTGACCCTGCAGACACCTTTATTTTACCCCAGTGAGACCCCTATCAGGCTTCTGGCCTCTACAACTGTGAGGTAATTAATTTGTGTTGTCATAAGCCACTACATTTGTGGTAATTCGTTATCAAAGCAGTAAGAAACTAATGCTGAATCTATTTTCAATTTCCCTAGTTGTATTGCTGGTAACCCCATTTTCCAATTCCAACTCACTGGCACAGTCTATAGCAGAGGTGTCTAGTGGCAGACACACCTTGGCTGAAACCTGGCCAAATATAATAATATTTTAAATGGGGGTTGTCATTCACACTGTTCTAATGGGAGTTAGGCTGACTCTAAGCTAAGGCTCTTCTAGGCACCACTTTTTTTTTTTTTGACACATGCTAAACACTGACAGTCTGAGATTTTGGAGTCCTGGGCAGCCATTTAAATGCCTGTGGGCAGTGTCCATCACAATATCTTCTGGTAACTCAAAAACATTTTCAGTTTTAACTTGTTCAAATTTTAGAGGATTTATTATTAATTCTTCCCTCTTAAAAAAAAGGTGTGTCCTTTTTGCTACGCTATCTAAAAGTCATAGTTTTGTTGGTTTCTAACATTAACAATGTTACTTTCCATGAAACTGCACTTTCCTGCTTAACGCTTACTCTTTCTGACACTACTTTCTTATTCAGAGGCCCTGTCAGCTTCCTGGACTACAGGCGAATCTGAAAGATTATTTTGAAACAGTGCACATAAATGATGCTCATTTTATGTTTATATGAAATAATATTTTAAACAAGAGAAAGATGAACCTCGATTATGGTTATACATAAAAAGTCCAGACCGTTGCTTTTCTTTTGGGCAAAGAGATAAAACAAGCATGTGTCTGATTTGCGTGCTGGCCCACATAGCTCCCTTTGCAAATGTGGCTTTAAACCAGCTAATCTTTTAAAAAGTCTTTACAGACTAATTTAGAAGCAAGGAGAACAAATGTGGGAGTATAAATGTGAGGCACTGAATAAGAGTGACAGTCTCTGCCAATGAACGCACTGCTGTGTTTCTGCGTACCCAATGGCGTTCACGATTTTCACTTAGATGAAGCTACCTGGGGCTTGTTTTGCCTCCCCAGCACGATGTGCTACGTGACTGGAATTCAGATTTGGAAGGTTCGATCAGCCCTGGAGCCTACAGATCATGCTCTTCAGTTTCACTGTCTGAAGGACGAGAGAGTGACTGGCCCAAGGTTACCCACAAATGGCCAAGCTTGCCTCACGCCTGCACCCAAGAGGCAGTGTATATAGCTCCTGCCACCTCCTCTCCCAATAGTCCATCTCTGTCTGATTCTGCCGCTTCTCGAGTCTCTGCTATTTTGCTAGTTGCCAGCAAAATTTTGATAGACAATTTTATCTTCTTAGTAGAACAAATTAGCAACATTCTTATTAATTTGATAGGAAAGCAACATCCTATTTGTCTGACGCATTGTACATAAAAAAGGGAATGTAGAGCTTTTTAAATTACAAAGATGTTACAATAGGTCAATATGTGGGGAGTTCCTTAACTGTGGCTGAGTTATGAACAAAAATATGTTCAGAAGCAGTTGTTTGGTACCCAAAACACATCCTCTCGTGAAAACTGCTTCGGCAGCTCTTCCTTATCTCTGTCAGGGAAATGCTCTGACATTAAAGCGAAAGAACTAAGCGAATGTTTCTATAGCAAATGGTAACACTAAAAATAGTGTTTGGAGTGAAAGTAAGACGTGGAATAATTTCTTCACTGTTTCCATGGAAAAATAGGGAAGTGGGAATAGATGTAGCCACTGTCTGGCTGTGTCTGTGAGGCCTTAGGCAGATTGGGAGACTTGCTGAAAAGAAGTGGGATGGCATGCGCTGACATCACTTTCTAAACAACTGTTAATCGTGTTACCACCGTCTCCATTACCCCCTCCCATTCTGAATGTCTAGGACTCTGTGGTTTACTTCGTCTATGTATATATGAAAGTTTTCTTTGACTGTGTTTTTGTATCTAGTTGCCTATTGCCAGATCATTGTTAATTCTATACAAAACCATCCAGGGAGTGGTGACCCTATATGAAATTGTGATATAGGTGAGGCTTGTTTGTGGTGCACTTGGAGTTCTCTTGCAGCTCAAAGACCTATCCTGCAAATGCCTGGATCCGCCTTCTGCAGGCAAAGCCCTATTTGATTGCCCATCGCCAGACTTCTTTCAAATGTACCCATCATATAAACGTCAGCTAGTAAACCAACATGTTGGTAAACCAATTGCATAGCAGGCTTTGTTGGCCAACACATGCTCCTGCTTAATACTCATAAAAGTCCTGTGAGATAAATGCTATCTCCATTCCAAGAAACAGGAAACTCACAGGGAACTTGCCCAAAGTTTGAGTAACTAGTGAGTGGGGAAGCCAGAATTCAGAACCAACTGGGTTTGACCCCAAAGCACTTAGTATGAGGCCTCAGGCATATGCACTCAGACGTTGCCTCTCTTCCTCTCTATTGTGAAGAATTTGGAGAAATTCTGATAAATGGATTAAGATAATTTGGTGGTTCTGAACTCAAATGCTTGGTAGAAACTTAAATGTATTTTCCTTCTAGCCTATGGGGCATAACCATAAAACCAGCGAGCTGTGAGAGCTGCATACGGCGAAGCTGACTCCCATGCTTTTCTGGTATTGCCCGCAGCTTAGGGATGCCACCCTCTTGCCACCCGTGGTTTATCTCCCTTCTGTGGCCTGAGAACAGATTTAGCTAAACTAACATATTCCTGCTTCCTCATATACAAACGGGTGCTGGCTGGGAGAGGACTTGTGATTAATGTCATTGCCAGCCTTTGTGAGCCTCTGGGAAGATGGCCCTGCAGTTCTTTTAGCTAAGCCATGATGTGCAAATAGCACATCCCAGTATTCAATGCTCTGCAGACAATTAAAGTTGTGGATTTTACACAAGTGACTTTATAGCTCAGTTTTTAAAACAAGAGATTTTTAAAAGTTCATTCTGAACTTCTGACCTTGAGTACAATGATGTACGAAGAACTAGTTTTAACAACTAGAAAACTGGGGGGAAAAAATGAAACAGTTATGTTCATTTAACTGCCAGCAGCACAGGACTGTGAGCCCTGAGAGGGAAACAAATTAAGTTGAGTCCTAAGATGGCCTTGGCTTCCTGCCCGAAGGTGATTTCTGGACTGCGTGGGCAAACAGAAAGAACTCAGTGTCTGGCAGCCTCACTGAGTTAAGAAAATTGAGATCAGAATTGAGGGAGGTTGAAGAAGCTGGAATTTGCAGGGCAGAGTTCTGGAAAGGAAAAAGCCAAAGGGATAAGAACTCCAGAAGTCTAGTCTCTGCTGACAATGAGGCTGCAATGCACAGAATGAAACTCCACAAGGCCGGGCAAAGGATGAACAGGGAGCTGTAGGTTGAATAATTCCCAGTGCTAACTACAGATAGGGGTATATTCAAACATTGACTAGCTTGTGAGCCCCAAGAGGGAGTCCTTGGGGATCACACAGCTCAATTGGTGAAGACAAACCTTAGTAGTGGGATTTTCCCTATATGAATCATCCTCTAGACCTATCTGAGCAAAGTGTGAGAGCTTAAATTGTGTCTCCTCAAAACTCCTATGTTGAAGACCTAACCTCCAGTACCTCAGAATGTGCCCTAATTTGGAAGAGGGTCATTATAGATGTTATTAGTTAAGATGAGGCCATACTGTTTTGGGCGGGGCCCCTAATCCAATGAGACTGATGTCCTTATAAAAAGGGGAAATTTGGCTGGGCGCAGTGGCTCATGCCTGTAATCCTAGCACTTTGGGAGGCTGAGACGGGCAGATCATCTGAGGTCAAGAGTTAGAGACCAGCCTGGCCAATATGGTGAAACCCTGTCTCTATTAAAAATACAAAAATTAGCCGGGCGTGGCGTTGGGTGCCTGTAATCCCAGCTACTTGGGAGGCTGGGGCAGGAAAATCGCTTGAACCAGGGAGGTGGAGGTTGCAGTGAGCCGAGACCATGCCACTGCACTCCAGTCTGGGCAACAAGAGCAAACCTCTGTTTCCGAAAAAAAAAAAAAAAAAAAAAAGAGGTGTGGGGAAATTTGGACACAGACACACACAGGAACACAGGAAGAAAGCCATGTGAGCATGAAGGCAGACAGCAGGGTGATGTGTCTACAAGTCAAGAAACACCAAAGACTGCCCCGAAGCCCCCAGACGCCAAAGGACAGGCCTGGAACAGATTCTTCCTCACAGCCCTCAGAAGAAACCCGCCCTGCAATCACCTTGACCTAGGACTTCCAGCACTGTGAGAAATACATTTCTGTTGTTCAAGCCACTCAGTTTGTGGTACTTTGTTATGGGAGCCCTACCAAATTAATGTACAAAACTCAAAAGCAGGTGGCGGGGCATGGGCAGTGGGGGAATGCTGGGGACGCCACACTCTACGAGATCCTGTGTCCTTGGCCAGACCAGTTTGCACCCACATTGCCACAACCAGATTCTAAACGTCAAAAAGCTGAAGGTCCACTTGATGACTCGGTGTTCAATAGAAACTTCAGGGCCGGGCACAGTAGCTCACGCCTGTAATCCCAGCACCTTGGGAGGCCGAGACGGCTGGATCATTTGAGGTCAGGAGTTCAAGACCAGCCTACCCAACATGGTGAAACCCCGTCTCTACTAAAAATACAACAAAAATAGCCAGGCATGGTGGTGGGTGCCTGTAATCCCAACTACTCGGGAGGCTGAGGCAGGAGAATCGCTTGAACTCAGGAGTAGGAGGTTGCAGTGAGCCGAAATTGTGCCATTGTACTCCAGCATGGGTGACAAGAGTGAGACTCCGTCTCAAAAAAAAAAAAAATCAACAGAAATTTCAGGAGATCAAGTCTCTCTAGATAAGACCCCTGTGAAAGACTGGCAGAGGAGATGTTGGACTTTTTCACAGAGTTCTTTAAAGATCTTGTAGACAGACTTTACGTGTTTGGAGACATTATGTCTTCTTTGGGAGTGGTGTTATAACCAGATCTTCACCCAGTGGTTAAACTGGTGAACTGGGAACCTATAGGACTAACTGGCAGACTCCAAACAGGCAAACCAGTTGTATTTTCCATCCATTGGGCTCAAATGTTAAATTTGGACTGGAAAAATCTGGGCATTCTCAGGAGGCTGAGGCAGGAGAATGGTGTGAACCCGGGAGGCGGAGCTTGCAGTGAGCCGAAATCACGCCACTGCACTCCAGCCTGGGTGACAGAGTAAGACTCCGTCTCAAAAAAAAAAAAAAAATCTGGGCATTCTCAAACAACAGTGTATCTCCCCGTGAACTGCTGGACAGAGAGCAGTTTAAAGCATTAAAACCCAAACTAGACGTGTCATTCTTAGCCTATTCAGGAAAAGGTATTCAATGATCAGCCCATTTTTAAAGGTTTTAAAAGCTGCAAATCCAAGACTACAGTTTCATTCTGCAGTTAAATTGGTGTGTGATCTTTTTCATTCTATTTTTTGCAGACAGTTGCACTGTACGTAACAGCTGTGTCAAAAGAACTTATTCTCTCCCATCCTATCTCCAAGTTTTAATTTTTAATTAATGAGTTGTTTCTAACTTTTTGGCTAATTTCCTTCCTCACATGATCTGTCTTATCTTTTATAGTATCTAAATCTGCATACCTTAAGAGAACCTTACAAAAAAGAAAAGTAATCGGAAGGAAAAAGTCTGGGAGGTGAAATGAATTGGTTTTACCCTTCATACTCTGAAAACCTCACTGCAAAACCTTACAAGAAGAATAGCTCGCCCAGTCTTGCCATTCTTTCTCAGAATGAGGCTCATTAAAAAGAGTAGACCACTAACAACTCCATGCCCCTTGAAAGATTAAAATCACTGCCTGAGTCATTTAGTGCTGAAGTGACAAGCAGCATGAGAATTCTCAGACAGACTGTTCCTTTTGTGACTACCAAGGTATGACTTCCAGTGGGACAAGGCAGGGAAATATACCATGGTTTTCTTCCTATAATTTTTTTTTTGACTTAAGGTTGCTGCAGAAACACGGGTGGGTTTGGAGAGACAAGTATTCAAAAATCTTCCACAATTCTTCCCCAAAGAAAAGTAGGGGCAGATGCCTACTCCCATAGGGTCTCCACAGGATGAGCAGGGGAGTGTCATAAACAAAGCCAGGGAGTGGAAGGGGGCACTGCCTAAACTGGGAAGGGTGCCATAAACATCGATGGTGTTAGTATTGGTGAAAAGAATCCTGGTTCTGGACTTGATTCAGCCCTGAGGTGATTGTCTACCTGTGACAATTTTCAGAAACTTCCTTAACTTCAATTTGCCTATCAGTAAAATGAAAAGATTAACCTGTTTAGAATATATCTGATTTCAAATTCCAACATTCAGTAGTTCTGGCAGAAGATTAACAGGCTAGATTTCATTCTTTCTTGGTAGATGAGAAATTGACAATGAACAATTTTTTGAAAGTTATACATTACATATAGTGTTATTTGGCATTGCCATTGAATTTACAGCTGTATTTGTGTTAAAATAACAGCCACCTTTTACTGTGCATTTACACTGTGCCATATACAATACCAAGCATGTTATAACCATATTGTCTCATTTTACTCCTTATTCACTGGCACTGACATCTGAAGAAACAAAGCTTAACAAAGGCACCTTAAAGTATAACAGCCAGGAAGCACATTTAGGTCTTACTGGTTGCAAAGCAATGCTTTCGACCACCAGCCTCCTCCACATGACTCAGTTGTTTCTGTTTTAAATCAAAGGGGGTTCATTTTCATAATAAACTCAACTTCTGTTGATTTCTTCCTGAAATTAGATATATTACTTTTAAGTCTGTGTGAATGCACAGCACAGAGTTTCCAGCAGGTGAACAGAAGTACATACATTCTATTATAGGAAAAAATAATGGAATAATATCCATTCTATTATAGGAAATAGCAATGGAATAATATCCATAAATGGGAAAAGAATTTAAAATGTTTCTCTTTTTCAGAAATAAGATTTTTTTAAATCAAGTGGAAGGAAAAATTTTAAGTGATAGGTCAGTGCATGTGAAAAAATAAATAAAATCACATCTTCCTTCCCCCTTCCCTCCCCCGCCCTCCTTCTCCTCTTCTTTTTTTGAGAAAGGATCTCACTGTGTCACCCAGGCTGGAATGCAGTGGTGCAATCATGGCTCACTGCAGCCTCAACCGTGGTGAGTAATTGGAAATTAAAAGAAATACAAGGCATTCATACTCGAAAGGAAGAGTAAAACTATATTTTCAGACGACTTGATGCTGTAGATAGAAAATCCTAAGGAATTCTCCAAAACTATTAGAACTAATAGACAAATTCATAAGGGTTGAATGGCAAAAGATCAATACACAAAAATCAATTACATTTCCATGCACTAGCAATAAACAATCTGAAATTAAATTAAGAAAACAATTCAATTTAGAATAGCATCAAAATAATAAAATACACACAAGAGAAGTCAAATTCATAAATTTGACAATAGAAGCACAAGACTCACATACTAAAACTGCCAAACGTTGAAATAAATTAAAGAAAACCTGAGTAAATGAATAGTTATTCCATAATCATGGATAAGAAACTTAATATTGTTGGCTGGGTTCTGTGGTTCACACCTGTAATCCCAGCACTTTGGGAGGCTGAGGTGGGAGAATCAGTTGAGCCCAGGAGTTCAAGACCAGCCTGGGTAATATAGTGAGACCACATCTTTACGAGAAAATTCAAAAAGTTAGCTGAGCATGGTGGCATGTGCCTGTAGTCTCAGCTACTCAAAAGTCTAAGATGGGAGGATTGTTTGAGCCCAGGAGGTTGACGCTGCGGTGAGCCATGATTGCTCCACTGCACTCCAGCTTGGGTGACAAAGCAAGACTCCATCTATAAAAAATAAAAATAAAACTTAATGTTGTTAAGAGCATAATACATTCCAAGTTGATTTACAGATTTAATATAATGCCTATCAAAAACCCAGCTCACTTTTTTTTTGCAGCAATTCATAAGCTCTTCCTAAAATTCATAAGGAAATACAAGAAACCCAGAGTAGCCAAAACAACAATCTTGAAAAATAACAAAGATAGCGGACTTATACTTTCCAGTTCCAAAGTTATTGTAAAGCTACAGAAACCAAGACGATTTGGTACTGGTACAGGATAGACATATATATCAAGGGAACAGAATTGCTAATATGTAAATAAACCCTTACATTTATGGTTAATTAATGTTTGACAACAACGTCAAGATAATTCAATAGGGGAAGGAATAGTCTTTTCAATAAACGTTCCTGGAACAACTGGAAATCTGCATGCCAAAGAAGGAATGAGGATCCTTTCCTCACATCACACACACACACAAAATAATCTACAGTGGATTGTAGACATATATGTGAGAGATAAAACTATAAAACTCTTAGACAAAAGCATAGGAATAAATAGTTTTGACTTCGGTTAGGCATTGATTTTTTATGTTTGATGCCAAAGGTGCAAGTGATAGAAGTCAACATTTGTAAACATCATAAATTTTGTGTTTCAAAGTACACCATCAAAAAAGTTTTAAAAAACCCAAAATATTTGTAAATTTTATATTTTATAAGGAACTTGTATCCAGAATATGTAAAGAACTCTTGCAATTCTATAATAAAAAGACAACTGGGACGGGTATGGTGGCTCACGCCTGTAATCCCAGCACTTTGGGATCACGAGGTCAGGAGATCGAGACCATCCTGGCTAACATGGTGAAACCCTGTCGCCATTAAAAATACAAAAAAAATTAGCCGGGCGTGGTGGCACGCACCTGTAGTCCCAGCTGCTGGGGAGGCTGAGGCAGGAGAATTGCTTGAACCTGGGAGGCAGAGGTTGCAGTGAGCCAAGATCACGCCACTGCACTCCAGTCTGGGTGACAGAGTGAGACTCTGTCTCAAAAAAAAAAGATAAATAAAACAATAAAAAGACAACCATATTAAAAGTGGGCAAAAGAGTCCAACATGCATATCTCCAAAGACATATGAATGGCTAATAAATATGTTAAAGGATGCTCCACATCATTAGTTATTAGGAAATGCAAATCAAAGCCACTTCCCACCCACAAAAAGGGCACAATAAAATTGTCAGCAAGAATTAAGATACACAGATTTAAAGATACATATTTATAAAAGCTTTCAAAAATTGAAGTATTTAGTAACATATTTAAAAGTTTATGGAATAATACCTCTACACAGAAAACTATGAAATATTACTGAGAAAAATAAAATAAATAGAGGACTGTATGTTCAGGGACTGGAAGATTCCATATCATGGAGATGTTCATTCCCCTCAAATGGATCTGTAGATTTGATATGGTACCATAAAAATCTTAATAAGTTTCACAAGGAATTTTGCTAAGTGATTTTCAAATCATATGGAAATGCAAAAGCAAAAATGGCCAAGATACTTTTGAACAATAACATAATATGAAAAGACTTGTGCTAAAGGATATCAAGACTTTATTGTAAAGATATACTAATTAAAGCAATGAGGTATTTGTCAGACAGACAAACAGACCAATAGAATAGTATAGAATGCCCAGAAACAAACCCACACATAATTCATCCTTGATAGGACAAGATAGTAAAGCACAGCAGCAGGGTAAGAGGGTCTTTTCAATAAATGATGCTGAGTTAACTCAAAATCTATGTAGAATATTTAAAATTTCCACATCTGTCACAAACCATATATAAAAATCAATTCCAGATGAACTGTAGCTCTAAAATTCACAAGCAAAACAATAAAGTTTATAAAAGACAATATGAGATATAGTTATGACCTTAAGGTAGGGAAAGATTTCTTTTTTTCTTTTTCTTTTTTTTTTTGAGAGGGCATCTCACCCTGTCGCCCAGGCTGGAGTGCAACGGTGCGATCTCGGCTCACTGCAACCTCCGCCTCCCGGGTTCAAATGATTCTCCTGCCTCAGCCTCCTGAGTAGCTGGGATTAGAGGCGTGCGCCACCACGCCTGGCTAATTTTTGTATTTTTAGTGGAGACGGGGTTTCACCATATTGGGCAGGCTGGTCTCGAACTCCTGACCTCATGATCCATCTGCCTTGGCCTCCCAAAGTGCTAGGATTACAGAGGTGAGCCACTGCACCTGGCCAAGGTTTCTTAGAAGGACAGAAAAAATCCACATCCTTAAAGGAAATTATTAATAAATTGGACATTATTAAAATTAAAAACTTCTGTTTATTAAAAGACAACATTAAATGAGTGAAAAAGCAAGCCACAATGGAAGATTATTTGCAACACATGCTACCAACAACAAGCTTGTATCCATAATACTACCTAAAAAACTATAATTTAAGTAAAAGAGAAAACCCAGTAGAAAACTAGGTAAAAAACATGAATAGGAACTTCACAAATACATATACCGATTGGGAAATAAGCACCTAAAAAGGTGCTCAGCTCCATTAGTTATTAGTGTAATGCAAATTATAACTGAATGAGACACCATTTTACACCTACCAGCAAGGCAAAAATTAAAATGATTGACAATGCCAAGCTGGTGGAGCAACATATTGCTGGGGGGTGTGTAAATTAGTGCAATTACTTTGGAAAACAATATGGATTATCTACTAAGGGGAACATATGCATACTCTTTAATCCAGTAATTCCACTTCTACATGTTTACCCCCCAAAAATGTGTGCACATGTGCACCAAGAGACATACATATGAATGTTCATAGCAGCATCATTTGTAAGAGTCCAAACCAGGAAACAACCCAAACGTCCATTACCAGCAGAATGAATAAATTGTGTTACATTTGTACAATCGAATAATACACAACAATGAAAATGAACATACTGAAACTATAGTTACATTCATCAACATAGGTAAATCTCATAAACATCACCTGAAAAGAAGGAAAAATAGTACTCTGTGATTCCAGAGACAATCCTTGTCTCTGAACAATCCACCTTCACAAATAACTGGGGTTTGCAGAAAAGCAGAAGGATTTGATAGACGTGACGAAGGCTACAATTTTCAAATGTAGATCAGTTATAGCAATAGCCATAGTTCATGCAAGGCACAAAACTATTTTGTCAAATAGATAAAACTAAATTATAAGTCTTAGAAATCAGGACATTGGTTTTTTCGAGGAGACAGGAATAGCGATTGAGTCTGTGTACAAAGGAAACCACTGAGATTTGATTTATTCATATTTTTACTCAGGTGATGATTTTATGGGTATTTATTTATCCCACGATAACTTATTGAGCTCATAAAAATTTGTATTGTATACTTTTCTGTATGGTTATAATACTTTACAATACAAATGCATGCTATGAAGTATTGCTAAAACTTTATTATCTTATTAGATTTTTCTAATAATAAAATACAGAAAATTAGGATCAAATACTTTCCCCCTCATCCTTACAGGTGACTTTTTCTAGGCTTTCTCAATTTATTTGGCATATCTGATGTCAGATCTATAATCCTATGTGATCATGGTCACAAAGATATTATTTTTCGGAAAAAGCAAACAAGCAAAAAACTCTTCCTCCCCATTGTAGAATCCGGAGATGTCTTTGTTGTTTTACCCCAGAGAGCTCTTAAACATTATGAGCAATAGTACACAAACAGAATAGATAGCACAGAGAAGTGGCCAAAGAGACAACAGTCTGCTCTGTCTGGCTTTGATGATCTGTGAAAACTCTTCAAATAGACAACTCCTAGTCACTGTTTCTCATTAAGAATTAATATCTATAAACCTGCCATTCATTGCTATAAAAGGAGATACTATTCTATTGCTTCATGAATGAATTACCCACTTGCCCCAGTGAAGGTATTTCTTTCTTTCCTTTTTTTCTTTTTCTTTTTCTTTTTTTTTTTTTTTTTTTTTTTTGAGATGGAGTCTCACACTGTCGCCTGGGCTGGAGTGCAGTGGCGTGATCTCAGCTCACTGCAACCTCCGCCTCCCAGGTTCAAGTGATTCTCCTGCCTCAGCCTCCCGAGTAGCTGGGATTACAGGTTCCCGCCACCACACCTGGCTAATTTTTTTGTATTTTTAGTAGAGATGGGGTTTCACTATGTTGGCCCAGCTGGTCTCGAACTCCTGACCTCGTGATCTGCCTGCCTCAGCCTCCCAAAGTGCTGGGATTACAGGCATGAGCCACAGCGCCCAGCCAAAGGTATTTATTTCAAAACCTCTGAAGGCTAACCTATTGCCAGACAGGGGCTTAATGAAAACCTGAAGTCATTTATCTTTGATCCACTGGCTGAAAATCCTTGTCTCTGAACAATCCACTTTCACAAATAACTGAGGTTTGTAGAAAAGCAGAAGGATTTGATAGATGTTATGAGGGCTGCGATATTCAAATGTAGATCAGTTATAGCAATAGCCATACTTCATGCAAGGTGCAGAACTGGACAGAAAAAAATCTTTTCTTCCTGCCCTAGAGGAAGTGTGAAGTTCTGATCACAAATACATTTTAGAATTTCTAAAACACGTGAAAACTTTTTGTAACAGGCAATTGAAATTCTAGGTTTCTATGGACATATAGTATATATGTATTCTATATAAATATTTATGTGGATCTATATACACGCACAACTATTTATCTCTGTGTGTGTATATATATACACATACACATATATATGGGGATATATTTATATATACATATAAATATATGTGTGTATATATATATAAACCCAGACCTTTCAATTATCTACTGTAAAAAGTTTTCACCAGTCTATGTAATTGTTAAGGGTGTACATATATACATGTATATTTATATATACATATTACATATTATATACACATATTACATGTATATATAAATATACATCTGTGTGTGTATATATATATGTATATATAAACCCAGACCTCTCAATTACCTACTGTAAAAAGTTGTCACCAGTCTATGTAATTAAGGGTGTATATATACATGTATATTTATATATACATATTACATATTATAATACATATTACATGTATATATAAATATATGTGTGTGTGTGTGTGTGTGTGTGTGTGTGTGTGTGTATATACCCAGACCTTTCAATTACCTACTGTAAAAAGTTTTCACCAGTCTATGTAATTGTTATTAAGGGTGTTTTCAAAAAGGCACTAGATATGGCTTTCCTCCAATAGATGTAATTGATAGATTTATTAATGCTTACAAAACCCAGGATTAACTGCCTTCTTCCAAATAGAAGGCCTGAAATGGTCTAAGACACTTGTATCATCCTGGTTAACTTGACTATTGAATTTTCTGACTCTAGGCTGCTAAGGAAGTTCTTGAACTGTTTTCTGCCCATGACCATTTTCTTCAGATCTGCCTTTAACTCCCTTCTGCAGACTCACTGCCTGCTTTTGTCTGAGTAAATGCTTACATAAATCATTATATAGACTTACTAAAGTATGTTTTGTTTAGTAAGAAAGTTTTGGAAGGTAGAGAGAAGTGGACCATGTTCCAAAAATGTAAGTGTAATTGAAAAAGGAATCCCTCAGCAGCACCCAGTTTACATTGCCAATAGACAGGCATGGAGTTCACCAGCCATTTGGCAGAGAATGAGACACATGCTAAGACTGGCTGTGCGAGAGTGCAATTTCAGTGAGTTCTTAGGGTTACATAAAAGTGTCGAGGCAAACCTTTCACCCAGATGAATGTAAAAAAATTGGTTTCACACATGTTCATTCAATAAATATTTATTGAATATCTTCTATATGAAAGATATTGGCACTTGAGGATGAATTAGTGAAAAATGGTGCAACAGTCCACTGAAAGAAAAATAGGAAGATCTACATACTAAATAAAAGTAAATGTCAGTTTAAGTTTATAGTTAAATACAGATGAAAACATTTTTCTTTGATAATAAAGTCAAGAACTAGATGATCGTGAGACATGTTCCTGATTCCATGGCTCTATTTGTCTAAAGGCTGTTATCGTGAATCACAGACATGCACAGATGGAGTTAATTAGCTGCCCTTCAGCTAGGCTTACCTCCAATTGCCCAGACATTGATGGAAACATCATTAAAGAAACCGACCTTTAATTGCAATCACTGAGATTCCACAGCCTGTTAAGAAAACTGAGGAAGCAGAGGGATTTCCGTCACATCAAAGAGTCTGAAATCTTCTATTTCAGAATAGTGCAAGATGGCATCTCTGTTACATCAGTTTAAGAGACAATGCAGATGCGTTAATAATTACTATAATGTCTGTTTTATTCTCAGATAAAACTGTTTAAATTGAGCTCAACTAAGCACATATAAGTAGGTGGCAAACAGAACGTAGAGTTTTTCTTAAATCTTAAAAACATGACATCATATTTGTCTTGCCTAAGTAGATACCAGCTCCGTATTACCATACATGTAATTACTATTACTCCAAAAGTAAAATAAACATAAAATAATTCTTTGTTTCCTGAGAGACAAGAGTGGGGTACTTATATATTTTATCTTTTCTTGTTTGTTAAAACTTCATTTGGCCTTCATTTTACTAAATGTGTGGGTGTAAGATACAAAATTTCCTATAAGTACAGCAAGAACTTTAAAACATAAAGGGAAGTGGCTTTTTCCCCAACACTAGTCATAAACTCTTAGTCGACACTAAGAAAAGGAAAGGGGCTCAGAAAGCATAACAAGAGCT
This sequence comes from Homo sapiens, assembly GCF_000001405.40. Classification (NCBI taxonomy): domain Eukaryota; kingdom Metazoa; phylum Chordata; class Mammalia; order Primates; family Hominidae; genus Homo; species Homo sapiens. The sequence goes on from NC_000002.12 coordinate 98,960,630, forward strand.
TGTTTCCCAACTGAAGACCTGGCCTTTCTCCTCGGGAGAGCTTCTCCCAACTCCCCTCCCTACATCAGCTGCCTCTGGAATTGCCCTTGGCCCTTGAACAACATGGGTCTGAACTGTGCAGATCCACTTATACATGGATTTTTTTTCAATAAAAGTTAACATGGACTGTGCCTGCCTTTCCTGTGACCTCTCCTACCTCTGACACCCCTGAGACAGTAAGACCAACTCCTACTCTTCCTTCTCCTCCTCAGCCTGCTCAATGTGAAGATGATGAGATAAAGATCTTTATGATGATCCACTTCTACCTAATAGTAAATATATTTTCTGTTATGATTTTCTTAGTAACATTGTCTTTTCTCTAGCTTACTTATTGTAAGAATACAGTATATGATACACACAGCATACAAAATGTGCTAATTGATTATTTATGCTCTTGGTAAGGCCTCTGGTCAACAATAATTAATAGATAAATTTGGGGTGAGTCAAAAGTTATTGAAGAGTTATCCACAGATTTTTGGCTGAGTTGGGGAGGGAGAGTGTCAGTGCCCCTAACACCTGCATTGTTCAAGGGTCAACTGTACCCTCTGCAGCTTCACTGGCCCCTTGTTTGACTCCACATGCCACACCTCTCTGACCACTTCCACTGAAAGCAATAAACATGAGCCCCTCAACCACAGACCAGCCAAGTTCATGGAACTCCTAGTGTCCATGAACTTGCATCTTTTCTTTTTGTGACCATCAAGTACATGAATTTTTGTGAGACCTAATCCTTTTTTATTTTTTAAAAAGCTTTTATTTTAGGTTCAGGAATACATGTGCAGGTTTTTTATATAGGTAAACTTGTGTCATGAGGGTTTGATGTACAGATTATTTTGACACCCAGGTACTAAGCCTATTACCCAATAGTTATTTTTTCTGGTTCTCTCCCTCCTCCCACTCTCCAGTAGGCCTCAGTGTCTGCTGTTCCCCTCTATGTGTCCATGTGTTCTCATCATTTAGCTCCCACTTATAAGTGAGAACATGCGGTATTTGGTTTTCTGTTCCTGCTTTAGTTTGCTGAGAATAATGGTCTCCAGCTCCCTCCATGTTCCTGCAAAGGACACAATGTCATTCTTTTTTATGGCTGCATAGTATTCCATGGTGTATATGTTCCAGATTTTCTTTATCCAGTCTTCCATTTATGGGCAATCAGGTTGATTCCATGTCTTTGCTATTGTGAATATAGTGCTGCAATGAACATTCGCGTGCATGTGTCTTTATGATGGAATAATTTATATTCCTTTGGGTATGTATGAGTAATAGGATGGCTAGGTTGACTGGTAGCTCTGTTTTTAGCTCTTTGAGGAATTATCGCTCTGCTTTCCACCCTGGTTGAATGAGTTTACACTCCCACCAAAAGTGTATAAGTGTTCCCTTTTCTCTGCAACCTCACCAGCAACTTTTAACTTTTTAGTAATAGCCATTCTGACTGTTGGGAGATGGCGTCTCATTGTGGTTTTGATTTGCATTTCTTTTCATATTCTTATTGGCTGCATGTATGTCTTCTTTTGAAAAGTGTTTGTTCATGTCCTTTGCCCACTTTTTAATGGGGATGGGTTTGTCTATTGCAAATTTGTTTAAGTTCCTTATGAATGCTGGATATTAGACCTTTATCAGATGCATAGTTTGCAAATACTTTTGCCCATTTTGTAGGTTGTCTGTTTACTCTGTTGATGGTTTCTTTTGGTGTGCAGAAGCTCTTTAGATCCCATTTGTCAATTTTTGCTTTTGTTGCAATTGCTTTTGCCATCTTAATCATGAAATCTTTGCCCATTCCTATGTTCAGAATGGCATTGCCTAGGTTGTCTTTCAGGGGTTTCATGGTTTTGGGTTTTACATTTAAGTCTTTAATCCATCTTGAGCTGATTTTTGCATATGGTGTAAGGAACGGGTGCAGTTTCAATTTTCTGCATATGGCTACCCAGTTATCCCAGCACCATTTATTGAATAGACAGTCCTTTCCCCATAGCTTGTTTTTGTCAGCTGTGTCAAAGATCAGATGGTTGTAGGTGTGCAGCCTTACTTCTGGGCTCTCTATTCTGTTCCATTGGTCTATGCATCTGTTTTTGAACCACTCCTATGCTGTTTTGGTTACTGTAGCCCTGTAGTATAGTTTGAAGTCTGGTAGTGTGCTATCTCCTGCTTTTTTTCATTTTGCTTAGGATTGCCTTGACTATTTGGGCCTTTTTTAAGTTCCATATAATTTTTTTTTTTTGAGACAGAGTCTTGTGCTGTTGCCCAGGCTGGAATGCAGTGGCATGATCTCAGCTCACTGCAACCTCCGCCTCCCAGGTTCAAGCAATTCTCCTGTCTCAGCCTCCCAAATAGTTGGGACTGCAGGTGCCTGCCATCACGCCTGGCTAATTTTTTTGTATTTTTAGTAGAGACGGGGTTTCACCATATTGGTCAGGCTGGTCTCAAACTCCTGACCTCAGGTGATCCACCCACCTTGGCCTCCCAAAGTGCTGGGATTACAGGTGTGAGCCACCATGCCCGGCCGGTTCCATATAAATTTAAAAATAGTTTTTCTAGTTCTGTGAACAATGTCGTTGGTAGTTTGACAGGAACAGCATTGAATCTGTAAATTGCTTTGGGCAGTATGGCAGTTTTAATGATATTGATTCTTCCTATCCATGAGCATGGAATGATTTTCAATATGTTTGTGTCTTCTCTTCTTTGAGCAGTGTTTTGTAGTTCTCATTGTAGAGACATTTCACCTCCCTGATTATTCTCCCTGTATTCCTAGGTATTTTATTCCTTTTGTAGTAACTGTGAATGGAAGTCCATTCCTGATTTGGCCTTCAGTTTGTCTCTTTTCGGTGTATAGCATTGCTAGTAATTTTTGTACATTGATTTTGTATCCTGAAACCTTGCTGAAAATTGTTTATCAGCCTAAGGAGATTTGGGGCTGTGAATATGGGGTTTTCTAGATACAGGATCATGTCATCTGCAAACAGGGATAATTTGACTTCCTCTCTTCCTATTTGGATGCCCTTTATTTCTTTTTCTTGCCTGACTGCTCTGGCCAGCACTTCTAATACTATGTTGAATAGGAGTGGTGAGAGAGGGCATCCTTGTCTTGCGCTGGTTTTCAAGGGGAATGCTTCCAGCTTTGGCCCATTCAGTATAGTATGATATTGGCTGTGGGTTTATCATAGATGGCTCTTATTATTTTCAGCTATGTTCCTTCAATACCTAGTTTGCTGAGAGTTTTTAACATGAAAGGATGTTGAATTTTATCAAAAGTCTTTTCTGCATCTATTGAGATGATAATGTGGTTTTGTCTTTAGTTCTGTTTATGTGATGAATCATGTTTATTGATTTGCATAACCAACCTTGCATCCCAGGGATAAAGTCTACTTGATTGTGGTGAATTAGCTTTTTGATATGGTGCTGGATTAAGTTTGCTAGTATTTTGTTGAGGATTTTTGCATCAATGTTCATCAAGGATATTGGCCTCTTTCATTGTTGTGTCTTTGTCAGGTTTGAGTATCAGGATGATGCTAGCCTCATAGAATGAGTTGGGGAGGAATTCCTCCTCCCCAATTTTTGGAATAGTTTCAGTAGGAATGGTACTAGCTCTTCTTTGTACATTTGGCAAATTCAGCTGTGAATCCATCTGGTCCAAGGCTTTTTTTGGTTGGTAGACTATTACTGTTTCATTTCAAAGCTCGTTATTAGTCTGTTCAGGAATTCAGTTTCTTCCTGGCTCAGTTTTGGGAGAGTGTATGTTTACAGGAATATGTCCATTTCTTCAAAATTTTCTAGTTTGTGTGCATAGAGGTGTTCATAATATTCTCTGATGGTTATTCCTATTTTTGTGGGGTCAGTGGTAATATCCCCTTTGTCATTTCTGATTGTTTATTTGGATCTTCTCTCTTTTCTTCTTTATTAATATAGTTAGTGGTCTAGCTATCTTATTAATTTTTTCAAAAAGTCAGCTCCTGGCTTCACTGTTTTGAATGGCTTTTCATGTCTTAATCTCCTTCACTTCAGCTCTGATTTTTGTTATTTCTTGCCTTCTGTTAGCTTTGGGGTTGGCTTGCTCTTGCTTCTCTAGTTCTTTTTGATATGATATTAGGTTGTTAATTTGAGATCTTTCTAACTTTTTGATGTGGGCATTTAGTGCTATAAATTTCCTTCTTAATGCTGCATAAGCTGTGTCCCAGAGATTCTGGTTTGTTGTATTTTTGTTCTCACTACTTTCAAGGAACTTCTTGATTTCTGCCTTAATTTCATTATTTACCCAAAAGTCATTCAGGAGTGGGTTAATTTCCATATAATTTTATGGTTTTGGGCAATTTTCTTAGTCTTGAATTCTATTTTTATTGTGCTGTGGTCCAGGAGAGTGGTTAGTATGATTTCTGTTCTTCTGCATTTGCTGAGGATTGGTTTATGTCCAATTGTGTGGTTGATTTTAGAGTATGTGCCATGTGCACATCAGAAGAATGTATATTCTGTTGCTTCTGGGTGGAGAGTTCTGTAGATATCTACCAGATCCATTTGGTCCAGTGTTGAGTTAGGTCCTGAATATCTTTGTTAATTTTCTGCCTTGATGATCTAGTACTGTCTATGGGGTGTTGAAGTCTCCTACTATTATTGTGTGGGAGTCTAAGTCTCTTTGAAGGTCTCTAAGAATTTGCTTTATGAATCTCAGTGCCCCTCTGTTGGGTGCATATATATTTAGGATAGTTAGGTCTTCTTGCTGAATTGAACCCTTTACCATTATGTAATGCCCTTGTCTTTTTTTTAATCTTTGTTGGTTTAAAGTCTGTTTTGTCTGAAATTAGGATTGCAACCCCTGCTTTTTTGTTTTCCATTTGTTTGGTAGCTTTTTCTCCATTCCTTTATTTTGAGCCCATGAGTGTCACTGCATGTGAGATGGGTCTCTTGAAGATAGCATACCATTGGGTCTTGCTTCTGTACCCAGCTTGCCACTCTGTGCCTTTTAATTGGGGTATTTAGCCCATTTACATTCACAGTTAGTATTGATATGTGTGTATTTGATCCAGTCATCATGTTGTTAGCTGTTCATTATGCTGACTTGTTTGTGTGATTGCTTTATAGTGTCATTGGTCTGTATACTTAAGTGTGTTTTTGTAGTGGCTGGTAACAGTCTTTCCTTTCCATATTTAGTGATTCTTTCAGGAGCTCTTGTAAGGCAGGCCTAGTGGTAACAAATTCCCTCAACATTTGCTTGTCTGAAAAGGATTTCATTTCCCCTTTGCCTATGAAGCTTAGTTTGGCTGGATATGAAATTCTTGGTTGAAATTTCTTTTCTTTAAGAATGTTGAACATAGGCCCCCAGTCGCTTCTGGCTGGTAGGGTTTCTGCTGAGAGGTCCACTGTTAGTCTGATGGGCTTCCCTTTGTAGGTGACTTGTCCTTTCTCTCTAGCTGCCTTTAACTTTTTTTTCATTTTGACCTTGGAGAATCTGAAGATTATGTGTCTTGGGGATTATCTTCTTGTGAAGTATTTTGCAGGGGTTCTCTGCATTTCCTGAATTTGAATGTTGGCCTGTCTACCTAGATTGGGGAAGTTTTCATGGATGATATCCTGAAATATGTTTTCCAAGTTGCTTCCATTTTCTCCATGTCTTTCAGAGATGCCAATCAATCATAGATTTAGTCTCTATATAATCCCATATTTCTCAGGGGTTTTGTTTGTTCCTTTTCATTCTTTTTTCTTTGTTCTTCACTGACTGTCTTATTTCAGAAAGCCAGTCTTAAAGCTCTGAGATTCTTTCCTCAGCTTGGTCTATTCTTCTGTTAATACTTGTGATTGCATTACAAAATTCTTGAGGAGTGTTTTTTAGCTCTATCAGGTCAGTTACATTCTTTTCTATATTGGCTATTTTGTCTGTCAGCTCCTGTATCATCTTATTATGATTCTTAGCTTCCTTAGATTATGTTTCAATGTTCTTCTGAATCTTGATGATCTTCATTCCTACCCATATTCTGAATTCTATGTGTCATTTCAGCCATCTTAGCTCAGTTAAGAATCCTTGCTGGAGAACTAGTGCAGTTATTTGAAGGAAAGAAGAAACTCTGGCTTTTTGAGTTATCAGAGTTCTTGAGCTGGTTCTTTCTCATCTTTGAGGGCTGACGTTCCTTCAGTCTTTGAAATTGCTGTTGTTTGGATGGGTTGTTTTTTTTTTAAATCTTATTTGATGACCTTCGGGGTTTGATCATCATATAAGGTGAGTTCAGTCTACTGGCTTTGTTATTAGAAGACTTTAGGGGACCAAGGCTTAGCTAAGGACTTCTGGACTGTGTGCTCTAACTCTGGGGGACTGGTATTAGGCCTTGGCTCTGATTTCTGGCTCCTTGAGGTTAGGAACGTGCTGTGCTGGAGAGGCAGAGGTGCTCCCAGATGGCTGGTCACAACACTACAATGGCTGGTGCCAGCCAAAGTACTTCACAGGGCAGTGGCAGCAGGATGTGCCCTCATGTGCATGTGCCAGCAGCAGTGGCAGCAGCAGCACACTGGGTGCATGCTCATCAGCTGCAGCAGGGTGCTAGTGGGTGCTGGGGTGCTGGCCTCTGTGCAGGCATTTGCAGCAGTGATAGTGCTAGTATGGCTCAGGAGGATGGGAGCCCCCGCCAGCAATTGTGTGCACATTTGCACTGATCGTGGTGTTAGCATGGGGACTGAGTGCTGGTGGGCACAGGACTATGTATGCCTTCCGTGCGTGTTCACTCTGGTGGCAGTGGCTGCTCAGAGCAGGGATCAGGTCTGCTGTTTTCTGTGCCTAGTTTTGTGCCAGCCTCCCTGGTGCAGGGCTGGGGTGCTGGTGGGCTGGGACTGGTGGATTCCATGCCCACCAACGCTTCCATAACAATGACGATGTGGTGGGGTGCACTCACACCAGCAGCAGTGGCATGGCATGGTGCACGCACACAGGTGCACTGGCAGGTAAGGGAAGGCTAGGTCCATCTGTGCACACATGCACCAGCAAAGCAATATGGTGGGTGGCTGTGTGTGAGTACCTAAAGGCAAAGGTGGCAATGGCAAGGCTGCAGGGGAGGGAGGGTACAGGCAGGTTGCCTGATCATTTTGACTCCTCATCAGCAGCCTGTTCTCACCATTATTAGATTTATCTCTTTTTTTTGTTGGTGATGATTATATGGGATATTTCTTTTTGGTATCTGACATTTTTTATTGATATATAATAATTGTACATATTTATGGGGGTACATGTGATACTTTGATACATGCACATAACGTGCAATGATCAAATTAAGGGAAATTAGTATATCCAACATGTCAAACATTTATCATTTCATGATGTTGGGAACATTCCAAATCTTCTTCTCTAGCTATTTTGAGATATACCAGAAATTATTGTTAATTATAATCACTCTGCTACGCTATTAAACACTATAACTTGTTCCTTCTATTTAATTGTGTTTTTGTACTCACTAACCAACCTCTCTTCATTCCCTCTTGCCCTGTACCATTCCCAGCCTCTGGTAACTGCCATTCTACTCTCTACTTTGATGAGATCAACTTTTTTAGTTTCTACATAAGTGAGAATATGTGATATTTGTCTTTTGGTGTCTGGCTTGTTTCACTTAACATGTCTTCTAGTTCCATCCATGCTGCTACTGCAAATGACAGAATTTCATCACTTTTTATGCCTGAATGATATTTCACTGTGTATAAGTACTGCACTTTCTTTATCCATTCATCTGCTGATGGACACTTAATGTTGATTCCATATCTTGGCTACTGTGAATAATGCTGCAATAAACAAGGGATATCTCTTCCACAGACATCTCTTCCACATAGTGATTTCTTTTCTTTTGAATATATACCCAATAGTGGGATTGCTGGATCATATGGTAGAGCTATTTTTTTTTCTTCATTTTTTTGAGGAGCCTCCATATTGTTTTCCATAGTGGCCATACTAATTTATATTCCTACTAACAGTATGTTAAAGCAAACTAAATATGGCCTGAGAAGGACTATGTACTTCTATATTTGAGTCCTTGTGGATGAACTGTAATGTAATTTAGTAGGTAGACAAGATTGAAAACCCAACTTAGGAGTATGTGCCTGTAACTTGTAGCTGAGTCCTGGCCAATCCTAGCAGCCATACTTCAACCACTCATATACTGCTCAGTGTTCAAACTGTGTTCAAATAAGACAAACACCAACTGGTAACCAATCCAGCTGTTTCTGTACTTCACTTCTAACTTCTGTACATCATGTTCCTTTTATTGTCTATAAATTTGTTCTGACCATGAGGCATCCCTGGAGTGCCTCTGAATCTGCTGTGATTCTGGGGGCTGCCTGATTTGTAAATCATTTTTTTCTTGCTCAATTAAACTCTGTTAAATTTGAAGTTTTTTATTTTTTATCAAGTGTATAAGAGTTTCCCTTTCTCCATATCCTCACCGGCATATTTTTTGTCTTTTTGATAATAGCCAGTTTAACTGAAGTGAGATGATATCTCATTGTGGTTTCAGTTTGCATTTGCCTGATGATTAGAGATGAACATTTTTCCCTATCACTGTTGGTCATTTGTAGGTCTTCTTGGTGAAGGTCTTCTTGTATTCAGATCATTTGCTCATTTTTTAATCAATTTTTTTTTGCTAATGAGTTGAGTTCCCTATATATTCTGGTTATTAATTCCTTATCAGATGAATAGTTTGCAAATATTTTCTCCCATTTTGTAGGTTGTCTCTTCACTCTGCTGATTGTTTCCTTTGCTGTGTAAAAGCTTTGTAACTTGATGTGATGCCATTTGTCTATTTGTACTTTCGCACTTTTGTGTTATATTTTATAAGACCTTTTGAAGTCTTAATAAAATATTTGCCCAGACCAATGACCTGAAGTGTTTCTCCAGTGTTTTCTCCTAGTAGTTTCCGGTCTTACATTTAAGTCTTTAATTCACTTTAATTCATTTTCGTATACAGTGAGAGACAGAGGTCTAGTTTCATTCTTCTGCATATGAATATCCAGTTTTCCCAGCACCATTTATTGAAGAGATTGTCTTTTCCCCAGTGTATGTTTTTGGTGTCTTTGTTGAAAATAAGTTGGCTGTAAATGCACAGATTTATTTCTGGGTTCTCTATTCCGTTCCATTGTTCTATGTGTCTGTTTTTATGCCAATACCATGCTGTTTTGGTTATTATAGCTTTGTAGTATATCTTGAAGTACAGTATTTTGATGCCCCCAGCTTTGTTATTTTTGCTCGGGATTGTTTTGGCTATTTGGGGTCTTTTGTGGTTCCATACTAATTTTAGAATTGCTTTTTCTAGTTCTGTGAAGAATGTCATTGGTATTTTGATAGAGGTTGCGCTGAATCTGTAGATCACTATGGGTAGCACAGACATTTTAACAATATTAATTTTTCCAATTGATGACCATGAAATATTTTTCCATTTTTTGTGTCCTCTTTAATTTCTTTCATCAGTGTTTTATAGTTTTCATTGTATAAATTTTTCACTTCTTTGGTTAAGTATATTTCTATTTTTTTTTTTTTCCCTTTACAAGCTATTATAAATGGGATTGCTTTCTTCATTTCTACTTCAGGTTATTTGCTGTTGGTGTAAAGAAATGCTACTAATTTTTGTGTGTTGATTTTGTATCCTGAAACTTTACTGAATTTATCAGATCTAACAGTTTTTTATGGAGTCTTTAGTTTTTTCTAAATATATGATCATGTCATCTGTGAACAAGGATAATGTGACTTCTTATTTTCCAATTTGGATGCCTTTATTTCTATCTCTTGCATAATTGTTCTAGCTAGAACTTCCAAAAATGTGTCAAATAAAGTGGTGAAAGTGGGCATCCTTGTGTTGTTCCAGATCTTACAGGAAAGGCTTTCAATTTCTCCCAATTCAGTATGATGTTAGCTGTGAGTTTGTCATATATGACCTCTATTGTTCTGACGTATGTACCTTCTATAGTCAGTTTGTTGCAGAATTTTTTTTATCATAAAGGGATGTTGAATTTTATCAAATGGTTTTTCAGCATCTATTGAAATGGTCATTTGTTTTTGTTCTTGATTCTGTTAATATGACGTATCATGTTTATTGATTTGTGTATTTGGAACCATCCTTGCATCCCTGGGATGAATCCCACTTGATCACAATGAATGACCTTTTTAATGTGTTGTTGAATTTGACTTGCTAGTATTTTGTTGGGGATTTTTGCATCTATGTTTATCATGGATATAAGCCTGTAGTTTTCTTTGTGTGTGTGTGTCCTTGTCTGGTTTTGATACCATAGTAATGCTGGTCTTGTAGAATGAGTTTGGAAGTATTCTCTCCTCTTCAATTTTTTGGGATATTTTGAGTAGAATTGATATTAGTTCTTTAAATGTTTTGGGGAATTCAGCAGTGAAGCTGTCAGATCCTGGGCTTTTCTTTGGTAGGATACATTTTATTACTGTTTCAGTCTTGTTACTTATTATTGGTCTGTTCTGGTTTTCTATTTCTTCATGGTTCAATCTTGGTAGGTTGTATGTGTACAGGAATTTATCTGTTTATTCTAGGCTTACCAATTTGTTGGCAGGTAATTGTTCAGAATAGTCTCTAGTGATCCTTTGTGTTATCTGTGGTATCAGTTTTAATGTCTCCTTTTTCATCTCTCATTTTATTTATTTGGGCCTTCTCTTTTTTTTTCTTAGTCTTGCTAAAGTTTTGTCAATTTTATTTTTCAAAAAATAACTTTCTTTTCATTGATCTTTTGTATTGTTTTTAGTTTTATTTCTGCTGTAGTTTTTATTATTTCTTTCCTTCTACTACTTTTGGGTTGGCTTTGTTCTTGTTTCTCTAGTTCCTTGAGGTGTATCACTAAGTTGTTTATTTGAGATCTTCCTACTTTTTTGATACAGGCATTTATTTTTATAAAATTCCCTCTTAGAGCTACTTTTGCTGTATCCCGTAGGTTTTGGTATATTGTGTTTCCGTTTTCATTTGTTTCAAGGAATTTTTAAATTTCCTTTTAATTTCTCCATTGACCCATTTGTTGTTCAGCAGTATGTTAAGATACCCGATATGATTTCAATTTTTAAAAATTTATTAAGACTTGTTTCATGACATAACATATGGTCTATCCTGGAGACTGTTTTATGTGCTGATGAGAAGAATGTGTATTCTGCAGCTGTTGAATGGAATGTTCTGTAAGCATCTGTTAGGTTCATTTGATCTATGGTGCAGTTTAATGTCTCTTCATCGATTTTTTGTTTGGATGATCTGTTCATTGTTGAAGGTGGGATGTCAAAGACCCCTTCTATTACTGTATTCCAGACAATATCTCCCTTTAGGTCTATTAATATTTGTTTTATATATTTGGGTGCTCTGGTGTTGAGTGCATATATATTTACAATTGTTATATCCTTTTTCTGTATTGACCTCTTTATCATTATACACTTGCCTTCTTTGTCTTTTCAAAACTGTTCTTGACTTAAAGTCCATTTTATGTGATATATGTATAGCTACTCCTGATCTTTTTTGGTTTCTATTTGCATGGGGTATCCTTGTTACATATTTCTGTATTGCCTATCTCTTAACCAATTATATTAGTTACTGTTTTTAATAGTTTTAAGTCCACATACTTAATATATAAATTGTTTACTTACAGTATTAGAGTATTCTGAATTTGCCTATTTTCTTTCTTTTACCAGTGAGTTTAATACCTTCAGATGTGTTCTTGTTACATGTTAGCATTCTTTTTTTCCAGATTGATTGAAGAAATCCTTTTAGCATTTCCTTTAATACAGGGCTGGTGTTGATGAATTCTCAGAAGCAGAGTCTATTGCTCCTTCATGTTTAAATGATTGCTTTGCTGAGTACAGTAATCTTGGCTAGCAGTCCTTTTTTCCTTCAGCACTTTTAATATAGCATCCCATTTTCTCCTGGCCTGCAGGGTTTCCACTGAGAAATCTGTTGAAAGCTGTATTAGGGCTCCATTAAATGTGATATGTTTCTCTTCTCTTGCTGGTTTGAGTATTATTTGTCTTTTTTTTGTGAATTTGATTATAATATGTCTTGGAGATTTCCTCTTTGGGTTGAATTTTGTTGGTGATCTCTGAGCTTCCTATACCTAAATGGTGTCATTTTTCTCCAGATTTAGGAAATTTTCAGTCTTCATTTCCTTAAATATGCTTCCTAGGCATTTTTCTCTCTCACTGCCTTCAGAAATTCCTATTAGGTGGACATTAGTTTGCTTGGTAGTGCATCATAATTCTTGTAGGCCTTGTTTACTCTTTTTTATTTTTATTTTTGCTCCTCTGATTGGGTAATAAAGCTCACTAATTCTTTCCTCTGTTTGATCAAGTCTGCTGTTGAAGCTTTCTACTGAGTTTTTCAGTTTAGTTATTGCATTCTTTATTTCTAGGATTTCTATTTGGCTTTTAAATTGTTTCCGTTTTGTTGTCAAATTTCTCATTTTGTTCCTGGATTGTTTTGCAAATTTCATTTAGTTTTCTTCTCATATTTGTTTGTGATTCCCTTAACTTCTTTAGGGGGATTATTCTGAATTCTCTGACATTTCATAGATCTTCAAATCTTCTGGGTCCATTGGTGGAGCTTTGTTGGTTTCTTTTGGTCATATTTCCCTGAGTTTTCAAAATCTTTCTGTCTTGATGCCTTCAAAATCTTTCTTGATGCCTGCACATTTGAGAAGACATCCACCTCTTCCAGCTTTTGCAGGTGTTCTTTGGTAGTGTCAGACCTTTCCTAATCAGTATCAGAACTTAAATACCAGCCTGTTGTTTCTTCATATTCTGGGGAGGACTTATAATGAGCCCCAGAACTAAAACACTGCCCTAGAACTAACCCATTGCCCTGCCATTGTTTCCTGGTCTGAGGAAGACTTACAGTGAGTGCCAGAAGTTAAACATTATCCGGGAACTATATTGCTGCCTTGCCATTGTTTCAGTCTGGGGGCAGACGTAAGTGGGCATGAGAAGTTAATCCTCACATTTTAGTTGTTTCCAGGTCAGTGAGAAACTCTACATGAGCACCTGAGCTTTCTGGAAAAATCTGGCCAGCTATTCAAGACTTCCCACAGATTGTACCCCTTGCAGCTCTATGACATCAGCCTATCTCTTCAATGTGGCATCCCTGCTGATCAAAGCACATAGTAGCTGCCAAGATCAATGCCCCAGCCACTGTAGTCAGTGCCCCACTCTGTGTTCCTAATTCACCCCAGGTGGCTCAGCCCTTCTGACACTTCCAATGGTTCCTTTGGAATGAGACCAGAATGGGTTTCCTTTGAAGATTCCCAGACTGATGGGCATAGTGAATGTTCACCTTCAATTCTCTCCTCTTATCTCAGAAACTGTGAGTCTAGGGCAATTATCTGTGAGTGGCACTGTGCCTGTTTGGGGGAGGAGGTGGCACAGTCTGAAATGACTATTTCTCTTGCTGATCATGGTTTATCTAGATTTTGTAGGCCTAGGGGGTTTCTCTACTTCTCCCCTAAGTTTTGGTGAATTCACAGTGTCATTCTTATCTTTGAATAGTTTCTAATTGTACTTATGTAAGGGTAATGATGCCAGGAATCTTCTATTCTGCCATCTTGCTACCATTAAAAAAAAACTGCAACAAACGAACAACCCCCCCCCCACACACACACTTCCATCAGTAGTTGTAGCAAAAAAAAAAAAAAAATACAATCCTTTTCTTAAAAAAGAGGAAAATCTACTTTGATGTATTCTGGGAGTTTATTAAATCCAAGTCCTAAAAAGTGGTGACTTTTAAAAACCAATTAAAAAAATAATTGGGGCAGGACTTCCAGAATGAAGTGTGAGGAGCTTGACCATTTCATGGGGGTAGGGGAGAGCAGGAAATAAGACAGCTTTTTAGGGTTCCTAGATGTTGGACTTAGAAAACAAAGACTTCAAAGCAGCTATTGAAAATATGTTCAAAGAAGTAAATGAAATCATGTTTAAAGAATTTACATAAGGTATGATGATGTCTCATAAAATAAAGAATATCAACAATATGTAGAAGTCGTATTTTTTAAAAAAGAACTAATTGAAAATTCCGGTGTTGAAAAGTACAATAACCACAATGAAAAACTGCTAGAGGGACTCAATGGTAGATTTGAGCTGGCAGAAGAAAGAATCAGCAAACATAAAGAGATCAATAGAGTATGCAATCTGAAGAGTAGGGTGAATAAAGAATGAAGAAAAGAGAGCAGAACCTGAGAGAAATGTGGGACACCATTAATCTCAAAAACATATGTGTAAGGGGACTGTCAAGAAAGGAGAGAAAGAAGAAGCAGAAAATATATCTGAAGAAATAATAGCTGAAAAGTAAAAACTTTGATGGAAAACATTAATCTATATATATCCAATAATGTCAACCAACTACAAGATAAACACAAAGAGATACATACCCAGACACAACATAGAATATTCAAGCTAAATACAAAAAGAAAAACTTGAAAGAAGCAAAAGAAAAATTACTCATTACATACTCTGATAAGATTAACAGTTGACTCCTAGGCCATTATAGGAAGCCCCAAAAGACTAATGGCTTATTTCTCATCAGAAGTAATGGAGGCCAGAAGGCAGTGAGACGAAAAATTCAAAATGCTGAAAAAAAATCCTGACAAATGAGATTCCCATATCCAGGAAAACTATCTCTCAAAAATGAAAGAGAAATAAATACATTTTAGCTACCCCAAAATGAAGAGAATTTGTTGGTGGCAAACCAGCTTTAAAAGAGCTACTATAGGACGTTCTTTACCCTGAAAAATTGTGATGCCAGACAGTAATTTAAATCCACACAGAATAACAAAGAGTTCCAGTAAAAGTAATTATGTAAGTAATTAATTACAAAAGATGGTATAACTGTAGAGTTCTTCTCCTTCCTTCTCTGAACTGATTTATAAAGCAATTATATAGAACAATATGTATATAATTACATTATTCGGTTTATAACATACAGAAATAAAATATATTTGGAAAAACAGCAGTCCCTCCATATCAGGAGGGAGGGGATACATTCCAAGACTACCAGTGGATGCCTGAAATCAGACACAGTACCAAACCATATATACCACGTTTTTTTTGATGTGATAACCAAGATGCCTACTAAGTGACTAATGGGTGGGTTGCCTATATAGCATGGATATGCTAGACAAAGGGATGATGTGAGTTTTCATTACACTATTCAGAATGGCATGCAACTTAAAGCTTATGAATTATTTCTGGAATTTTCCATTTAATATTTTCAGATCGTGTTGGACCATGGGTAACCATGGGTAACTGAAACCACAGAAAGCAAAACTGCAGATATCAAGAGAGTACTGTAATATCACAAAGGAGGTGTGTGAGAACAGAACTTTATTGGAATAAGGAAATAACACTAGTTGGTAATTTGAAGTCAAAAGAAGAAATAAGGAGAACCGAAAATAAAAAATAAGAAGGTTAATTTTTAAAAACCCTCTATAAGACTTGTGCTTTTCTTTTTTCCTTGAGCTTATTTAAAAGACATAAAATTATAAGAAGTAAGCATTATAACTGTGTATTACTGGGTTTGTAATATATAAATACTACATATACACATATATACACAGATGGAAGGGCAAAGAGTTATATGGGGTAACACTTCTATAAGTCATTAGAATTAAGTTAGTAAAAACATGAAGTAGATTCTAATAAGTTAAAATGTATACTGTAAGTCATAGGGCAATCACTAAGGAAATAACTTTTAAAATATCACGTAAAAATTAGGTCAATTAACATGTTAACTAGAAAGTATTCACTTAATGCAAAAAAATACTAAAGGAACAACACAGGGAAAACAAAACATGAGATATATAGAAAACAAAATATTAAATAGCAGAGGTAAATCTAACAATATCAATAATAATATTAAGTGTGAATATAAATAAAAAAATTCAATCAAAAGACAGATAGACTGAATGTGAAAAAGTGATCCAACTATATGCTATCTACTGAATACACTTTAGATTAAAAAAGATAATAGATTAGGCCAAGGCAGGTGGCTTACCTGAGGCCAGGAGTTCAAAACCAGCCTGGTCAACATGGCGAAATCCCATCTCTACTAAAAATACAAAAAATTAGCTGGGTGTGGTGGCAGACACCTGTAATCTCAGCTACTCAGGAGGTTGAGGCAGGAGAATTGCTTGAACCCAGGAGGTGGAGGCTGCAGTGAGCTGAGATTGTGACACTGCACTCCAGCCTGGGCAACAAGAGCAAAACTCCATCTCAAAACAAAACAAAACAAAACAAAATATATATATATAATATATATATATTCAATCTTATATATATAATATATATATTCAATCTTATATATATAATATATATATTCAATCTAACATATATATATTAAATTGAAGGCAAAAAGACTGAAAAAATATATTATGTAAACAGCAACCATAAGAGAACTTGAATGGCTATAAAGTATCAGACAACATATAAATTAAAACAAAAAATGCTATCAGAGGCAAAGAGAGAAATTTTATAATTATGAAAGAATCAATACATCAGGAAGACATAACAATTATAAACATATATGCACCACCTAAAAACGGAGCCCTAAAATACATAAGGCAAAAACTGATGGAGTTGGAGTGAGAAATACACAATTCAATAATAATAGTTGAAGACCAATATTCCACTTTCAATAATGGATAGAACAGTTGGCAGTAGACAAGGAAACACAAAAATATGAATAACACTATAAATCAAGACATAACTGACATCTACAGAACACTCCACACAAAAACAGTTTAGTACACAGTGTTCTCAAGTGCACATGGAAGATTATTCAGGACAGACAAAATGTTGGGCCATGACACAAACCTCAATAGATTTTTAAAAGATTTAAATTGTATAAAGTATATTCTTTAGCCACAGTGAAAATAAATTAGAAATTGGTAACAGAAGGAAATTTAGGAAATTCAAAACTATGTGAAAATTAAATAAGATTATTTATTGATTACTCCTGAATAATCAACAGGGCAAAGAAGAAATCACAAAGGAAATTAGAAAATGTTTTGAGATAAAGGTAAGAGAAAAACACAACATATTAAAATTTGTGGTATGCAGCTAAAGCAATAAAGGGAATTTTAAAAATTTATTTAGTAGAGGAAAATTTATAGCTACAGGTATTTAAGTAAAAAAAAATCTTAAATAACATAACATTTCATTTTAAGAAACTGTAAAAAGAAAGAGAAAATAAAATCCAAACAGGAATAGCTCCAGTCTACAGCTCCCAGCATGAGCAATGCAGAAGATGGGTGATTTCTGCATTTCCAACTGAGGTACCGGGTTCATCTCACTGGGGAGTGGCAGACAGTGAGTGCAGGACAGCGGGTGCAGTGCACCGAGTGTGAGCCAAAGCAGGTCGAGGCATCGCCTCACCCGGGAAGTGCAAGGGGTCAGGGAATTCCCTTTCCTAGTCAAAGAAAGGGGTGACAGATGGCACCTGGAAAATCGGGTCACTCCCACCCTAACACTGTGCTTTTCCAAGGGTCTGCACACCAGGAGATTATATCCTGTGCCTGGCTGGGAGGGTCCTACGCCCACGGAGCCTCGCTCATTGCTAGCACAGCAGTCTGAGATCAAACTGCAAGGTGGCAGCAAGGCTGGGGGAGGGGTGCCCACCATTGCCGAGGCTTGAGTAGGTAAACAAAGTGGCCAGGAAGCTCGAACTGGTTGGAGCCCACCACAGCTCAAGGAGGCCTGCCTGCCTCTGTAGACTCCACCTCTGGGGGCAGGGCATAGCCAAACAAAAGGCAGCAGAAATCTCTGCAGACTTAAATGTCCCTGTCTGACAGCTTTGAAGAGAGTAGTGGTTCTCCCAGCACGCAGCTTGAGATCTGAGAACGGACAGACTGCCTCCTCAAGTGGGTCCCTGACCCCCGAGTAGCCTAACTGGGAGGCACCCCCAAGTAGGGGCAGATTGACACCTCCCACAGCCAGGTACTCCTCTGAGACAAAACTTCCAGAAGAATGATCAGGCAGCAACATTTGCTGTTCACCAATATCCGCTGTTCTGCAACCTCTGCTGCTGATACCCAGGCAAACAGGGTCTGGAGTGGACCTCCAGCAAACTCCAACAGACCTGCAGCTGAGGGTCCTGACTGGTAGAAGGAAAACTAACAAACAGAAAGGACATCCACACCAAAACCCCATTTGTACGTCACCATCATCGAAGACCAAAGGTAGATACAACCACAAAGATGGGGAAAAAACAGAGCAGAAAAACTGGAAACTCTAAAAATCAGAGCACCTCTCCTCCTCCAAAGGAACGCAGCTCCTCACAAGCAATGGAACAAAGCTGGAAGGGGAATGACGTTGATGAGTTGAGAGAAAAAGGCTTCAGACGATCAAACTACTCCGAGATTAAGGAGGAAGTTCGAACCCATGGCAAAGAAGTTAAAACCTTGGAAAAAATTAGACGAATGGCGAACTAGAATAACCAATGCAGAGAAGTCCTTAAAGGACCTGATGGAGCTGAAAACCATGGCACGAAAACTACGTGACGAATGCACAAGCCTCAGTAGCCAATTTGATCAACTGGAAGAAAGGGTATCAGTGATGGAAGATCAAATGAATGAAATGAAGTGAGAAGAGAAGTTTAGAGAAAAAAGAATAAAAAGAAACGAACAAAGCCTCCAAGAAATATGGGACTATGTGAAAAGACCATATCTACGTCTGATTGGTGTACCTGAAAGTGACGGGGAAAATGGAACCAAGTTGGAAAACACTCTGAGGGATATTATCCAGCAGAACTTCCCCAATCTAGCAAGGCAGGCCAACATTCAAATTTAGGAAATACAGAGAATGCTACAAAGATACTCCTCGAGAAGAGCAACTCCAAGACACATAATTGTCAGATTCACCAAAGTTGAAATGAAGGGAAAATGTTAAGGGCAGCCAGAGAGAAAGGTCGGGTTACCCACAAGGGGAAGCCCATCAGACTAACAGCTGATCTCTCGGCAGAAACTCTACAAGCCAGAAGACAGTGGGGGCCAATATTCAACATTCTTAAAGAAAAGAATTTTTAACCCAGAATTTCATATCCAGCCAAACTAAGCTTCGTAAGTGAAGGAGAAATAAAATACTTTACAGACAAACAAATGCTGAGAGATGTTGTCACCACCAGGCCTGCCCTAAAAGAGCTCCTGAAGGAAGCACTAAACATGGAAAGGAACAACTGGTACCAGCCACTGCAAAAACATGCCAAATTGTAAAGACCGTTGAGGCTAGGAAGAAACTGCATCAACTAACGAGCAAAATAACCAGCTAACATCATAATGACAGGATCAAATTCACACATAACAATATTAACCTTAAATGTAAATGGGCTAAATGCTCCTCACACATAACAATATTAACCTTAAATGTAAATGGGCTAAATGCTCCAATTAAAAGACACAGATTGGCAAATTTGATAAAGAGTCAAGACCCATCAGTGTGCTGTATTCAGGAAACCCATCTCACATGCAGAGACACACATAGGCTCAAAATAAAGGGATAGAGAAAGATCTACCAAGCAAATGGAAAACAAAAAAAGGCAGGGGTTGTAATCCTAGTCTCTGATAAAACAGACTTTAACCAACAAAGATCAAAAGAGACAAAGAAGGCCATTATATAACGGTAAAGGGATCAATTCAACAAGAAGAGCTAACTATCCTAAATATATATATGCACCCAATACAGGAGCACCCAGATTCATAAAGCAAGTCCTTAGAGACCTACAAAGAGACTTAGACTCCCACAAAATAATATTAGGAGACTTTAACACCCCACTGTCAACATTAGACAGATCAACGAGACAGAAAGTTAACAAGGATATCCAGGAATTGAACTCAGCTCTGCACCAAGCGGACCTAATTAGACATCTACAGAACTCTTCACTCCAAATCAAGAGAATATACATTCTTTTCAGCACCACACCACACCTATTCCAAAATTGACCACATAGTTGGAAGTAAAGCACTCCTCAGCAAATGTAAAAGAACAGAAATTATAACAAACTGTCTCTCAGACCACAGTGCAATCAAACTAGAACTCAGGATTAAGAAACTCACTCAAAACTGCTCAACTACAGGGAAACTGAACAACCTGCTCCTGAATGACTACTGGGTACATAATGAAATGAAGGCAGAAATAAAGATGTTCTTTGAAACCAATGAGAACAAAGACACAACATACCAGAATCTCTGGGACACATTCAAAGCAGTGTGTAGAGGGAAATTCATAGCACTAAATGCCCACAAGAGAAAGCAGGAAAGATCTAAAATTGACACCCTAACATCACAATTAAAAGAACTAGAAAAGCAAGAGCAAACACATTCAAAAGCTAGCAGAAGGCAAGAAATAACTAAGATTAGAGCGGAACTGAAGGAAATAGAGACACAAAAAACCCTTCAAAAAATCAATGAATCCAGGAGCTGGTTTTTTGAAACGACCAACAAAATTGATAGACTGCTAGCAAGACTAATAAAGAAGAAAACAGAGAAGAATCAAATAGATGCAATAAGAAATGATAAAGGGGATATCACCACCGATCCCACAGAAATACAAACTATCATCAGAGAATACTATAAACACCTCTATGCAAATAAAGTAGAAAATCTAGAAGAAATGGATAAATTCCTTGACACATACACCCTCCTAAGACTAAACCAGGAAGAAGCTGAATCTCTGAATAGACCAATAACAGGCTCTGAAATTGAGGCAATAATCAATAGCTTACCAACCAAAAGAAGTCCAGGACCAGAGGGATTCACAGCCAAATTCTACCACAGGTACAAGGAGGAGCTGGTACCAGTCCTTCTGAAACTATTCCAATCAATAGAAAAAGAGGGAATCCTCCCTAACTCATTTTATGAGGCCAGTATCATCCTGATACCAAAGGCTGGCAGAGACACAACAAAAAAAGAGAATTTTAGACCAATATCCCTGATGAACATCGATGCAAAAGTCCTCAATAAAATACTGGCAAACCGAATCCAGCAGCACATCGAAAAGCTTATCCACCATCATCAAGTGGGCTTCATCCCTGGTATGCAAGACTGGTTCAACATATGCAAATCAATAAAACGTAATCCAGCATATAAACAGAAGCAACAACAAAAACCACATGATTATCTCAATAGATGCAGAAAAGGCCTTTGACAAAATTCAACAACGCTTCATGCTAAAAATTCTCAATAAATTAGGTATTGATGGGACGTATCTCAAAATAATAAGAGCTATCTATGACAAACCCACAGCCAATATCATACTGAATGGGCAAAAACTGGAAGCATTCCCTTTGAAAACTGGCACAAGACAGGGATGCCCTCTCTCACCACTCCTATTCAAAATAGTGTTGGAAGTTCTGGCCAGGGCAATCAGGCAGGAGAAGTAAATAAAGGGTATTCAATTAGGAAAAGAGGAAGTCAAATTGTCCCTGTTTGCAGATGACATGATTGCATATCTAGAAAACACCATCGTCTCAGTCCAAAATCTCCTTAAGCTGATAGGCAACTTCAGCAAAGTCTCAGGATACAAAATCAATGTGCAAAAATCACAAGCATTCTTATGCACCAATAACAGACAGACAGAGAGCCAAATCATGAGTGAACTCCCATTCACAACTGCTTCAAAGAGAATAAAATACCTAGGAATCCAACTTACAAGGGATGTGAAGGACCTCTTCAAGGACAACTACAAACCACTGCTCAATGAAATAAAAGAGGATACAAACAAATGAAAGAACATTCCATGCTCATGGGTAGGAAGAATCAATATCGTGAAAATGGCCATACTGCCCAAGGTAATTTATAGATTCAATGCCATCCCCATCAAGCTACCAATGACTTTCTTCACAGGATTGGAAAAAACTACTTTAAAGTTCATATGGAATGAAAAAAGAGCCCACATTGCCAAGGCAATCCTAAGCCAAAAGAACAAAGCTGGAGGCATCACACTACCTGACTTCAAACTATACTACAAGGCTACAGTAACCAAAACAGCATGGTACTGGTACCAAAACAGAGATATAGACCAATGGAACAGAAGAGAGCCCTCAGAAATAATGCCACATATCTACAACTATCTGATCTTTGACAAACCTGAGAAAAACAAGAAATGGGGAAAGGATTCCCTATTTAATAAATGGTGCTGCAAAAACTGGCTAGCCATATGTAGAAAGGTGAAACTGGATCCCTTCCTTACACTTTATACAAAAATTAATTCAAGATGGGTTAAAGACTTACATGTTTGACCTAAAACCATAAAAACCTTAGAAGAAAACCTAGGCAATACCGTTCAGGACATAGGCATGGGCAAAGACTTCATGTCTAAAACACCAAAAGCAATGGCAACAAAAGCCAAAATTGACAAATGGGATCTAATTAAACTAAAGAGCTTCTGCACAGCAAAAGAAACTACCATCAGAGTGAACAGGCAACCAACAGAATGGGAGAATATTTTTGCAATCTACTCATCTGACAAAGGGCTAATATCCAGAATCTACAATGAACTCAAACGAATTTACAAGAAAAAAACAAACAACCCCATCAAAAAGTGGGCGAAGGATATGAACAGACACTTCTCAAAAGAAGAGATTTATGCAGCCAAAAGACACATGAAAAAATGCTCACCATCACTGGCCATCAGAGAAATGCAAATCAAAACTACAATGAGATACCATCTCACACCAGTTATAATGGCGATCATTAAAGAGTCAGGAAACAACAGGTGCTGGAGAGGATGTGGAGAAATAGGAACACTTTTACACTGTTGGTGGGACTGTAAACTAGTTCAACCACTGTGGAAGTCAGCGTGGCGATTCCTCAGGGATCTAGAACTAGAAATACCATTTGATCCAGCCATCCCATTACTGGGTATATACCCAAAGGATTATAAATCATGCTGCTATAAAGACACATGCACACGTATGTTTATTGTGGCACTATTCACAATAGCAAAGGCTTGGAACCAACCCAAATGTCCATCAATGATAGACTGGATTAAGAAAATGTGGCACACATACACCATGGAATACTATGCAGCCATAAAAAATGATGAGTTCATGTCCTTTGTAGGGACATGGATGAAGCTGGAAACCATCATTCTCAGCAAACTATCGCAAGGACAAAAAACCAAACACCGCATGTTCTCACTCACAGATGGGAATTGAACAATGAGAACACACGGACACAGGAAGGGGAACATCACACCAGGGCCTGTTGTGGGGTGGGGGGAGGGGGGAGGGATAGCATTAGGAGATACACCTAATGTTAAATGACGAGTTAATGGGTGCAGCACACCAACATGGCACATGTATACATATGCAACAAACCTGCACGTTGTGCACATGTACCCTAAAACTTAAAGTATAATAAAAAAATTAAAATAAAAAAAAGTAATGTCAAAACCGCAAAAAAAAAAAGTTACTTGAACTTGTTTTGCACTGTTATTTTATGAGGCCCTGTAAACTTTCTTCTCTTTTGATATGTTTATTCCTGTGTGAGATAGCATTGCTTTAAATTTTCACTACCTGCTAACTAAAACAGCCTCAAAATGAAGCTGAAGATGTGATGTACATAGACTCACCCTAGTTTTCTTCTCAAGAATAGTTAAACTGACTTGAACATTTTTTATTCCAGTAGAATCATGAGTGGTTTGAAAGTTGTCCCTTGCCAAGAATCCTTAAAACTAGTATATTAAAAAGCTCAGGATCCTAAACCACCAGAGAATTATGAGTGACTGTCATTCACCAAAAATACCTCACATATGATATTAATAACACAGTCCAGGTCTTCTGAATATTTTTTCCAGGTGAAGATAATAGTTTAAGATGTAATATTTACAAATCTTCATGTACACCCAAGTCAGTTCGAAATATATTTGCTTAATTTGCTTCATGTATGTATCAGTCTGTGGCTGCTTTTAACTTTTGTGTTTAATGTCAAATATTTAAATTTCTTGAAATGAGTTTGCAGCTTCTAAATCCAAGTGCTTAGAATGGTGCTAAGCACATAGTAAGTTTTCAATATATGCTAACATCCTTATGGTATCATTCCCTTACTTATCCCATAGAGAAATTGAAAAGGACACAAAGAAGACCCATGCCCCTTTTCATTAGTACTTTCTGATATTAAGACTACTTAAGGCCGGGCGTAGTGGCTCATGCCTATAATCCCAGCACTTTGGGAGGCTGAGGCAGGTGGATCACTTGAGGTCAGGAGTTTGAGACCAGCCTGGCCAACATGGTGAAACCCCATCTCTACTAAAAAAACAAAAAATTAGCCGAGCATAGTGGCAGGCACCGGTAATCCCAGCTACTCGAAAGGCTGAGGCAGGAGAATCACTTGAACCCGTGAGGCGGAGGTTGCAGTGAGCTGAGATGGCACCACTGCACTCCAGACTGGGCAATAGAGCAAGAATCAATCTCAAAAAAAAGACTATTTAAAATTCTTAAAATAATTAATTTACCAAGCACAGCAGGGCTGCAAATTCACTACTGTTAAGAATTCTAATATGTCTTAAATGGTATATTTTAAATAAGTTTAAATGTTTATGTGTGCTAAAATATAAATGCCTTCTCTTTATTTTCAGTGGACAGTTGAACACCAGATTTTATTTTATTTTTTTCAACTTAACTTTAGGGGTACATGTGCAGGATGTGTAGGTTGGTTACATAGGTAAACATGTGCCATGGTGATTTACTACACAGGTCATCCCATCACCCAAGTATTAAGCCCAGTGTCCATTGGCTATTCTTCCTGATGCTCTCCCTCCACCCCCAACAGGTGCCCAGTGTGTACTATTCCTCCCCATGTGTCCAAGTATTCTCATCAATCAACTCCCACTTATAAGTGAGAAAATGCAGCGTTTGGTTTTCTGTTCCTGCGTTAGTTTGCTGAAGATAGTGGCTTCCAACTCCATCCATGTCCCTGCAAAGGACAGGATCTCATTTCTTGTTATGGCTGCATAGTATTCTATGGTGTATATGTACCATATTTTCTTTATCCAATCTATCATTGACAGACATTTAGGTTGATTCCTTTAGGTTGATGACTTTGCTATTGTCAATAGTGCTACAATGAACTTATGCATGCCTGTATCTTTATAACAGACGGATTTATATTCCTTTAAATATATACCCAGTATTGGGATTGCTGGGCCAAATGGTATTTCTGCCTCTAGGTCTCTGAGGAATCACCACACTGTCTTTCACAATGGTTGAACTCATTTACACTCCCACCAGCAGTGTAAAAGTTGAACATCATATTTTTTAAAACCCTCAAATCTCTCACAGTAGAAAAGGCAATGATTTTGAGCAAAATTCTTATATATTAGTATTATCTCTTTACTGTGCTTGTCCATATTTCTTGGCTCAGTACCAAAGCATTTGTTAAGTGAGGGAGGTTTAGCCAGATTGATACTTGTAAGCACAACATGTGAAATATTATTTCCTGAAATGATATCATCATGAATGACATAATGCTGAAACTCAGACATTCTGAGAGGTAAGTCAGACTGTAGTGTGCTGTTTTAATATGGATTGACATTTTCTTCATGGCCCTACTTTTTTAATAGTCTACTCATCATTTCCTTCAATGCATTTTCTTATGGTGGAATGGTTTGGTCTATTATTACTGAATCTGCACTTATTCTTCTGTATAAATTAAATAACTAAATAAATTACACCATGAAATGAACGTGTCCCTCTCAAAATCAGTACCATGCTCTCTCCAGATTGGAAGCATTTTGTTTAACATTTTCAGATACAATCCAGGAGCTTTGAGGTCAACTGAGAAGAAAAGGGGAACTGTGCCCCAGTTGAAGCCCAGAATCCTTTGCATTTGCACCTTGTGAACGCAGAGAGTATAAGAGGCTGGTTAGAGGAACCTGAAGAGAGGTTCCCCATGCATATGAGATAAGGAGCTTTTGGAAGACAAAGATGACTAATAATTATAGCTAACAGCAGAAATACATATATAATTATATTCACACACAATGTGTATTTGTATGTACATATATACACACATCTATAAATATACATAAATATTCATTTTTGCTTTAAAGATACAGTATTTAAACTTATTTTTGTTTAGATATTTGCTCATCCTCAAATAATTAACAGAGGTTAACATTCAAAGGGAAAAATGACCTAGACATTCCAATAGATGACAAGTTAATAAAAGCCAATACAAATGTGACTCCTTAAAAATTAATGCCAAAAAAGTTAATGCTATGGCTTATTAAAGTAGAAGTAAAATGCTCAGTTCAAGAGTGGTTATAACTATGCTGTGATCAGTTAATTTCTCTGAAGACAATGGGCTCAAGCTACAATTTTGCCAATTTTGTTGATATTTTGTAAGAACCGACTTTTGATTTTGTTGCTTTTCTCTACTGTTGTTCTGTTCTCTATTTCATTTATTTCCACTGTGATCTATATTAGTTCCTTCATTCTGCTTGCTTTGGATTTAATTTTCTTTTATTATACTTTAAATTTTAGGGTACATGTGCACAGCGTGCAGGTTTGTTGCTTATGTATACATGTGCCATGTTGGTGTGCTGCACCCATTAACTCATCATTTAGCATTAGGTATATCTCCTAATGCTATCCATCCCCCTGCCCCCCACCCCACAACAGGCCCCAGGGTGTGATGTTCCCCTTCCTGTGTCCATGTGTTCTCGTTGTTCAATTCCCACCTATGAGTGAGAACATGCGGTGTTTGGTTTTTTGTCCTTGCGATAGTTTGCTGAGAATGATGGTTTCCAGCTTCATCCATGTCCCTACAAAGGACATGAACTCATCATTTTTTATGGCTGCATAGTATTCCATGGTGTATATGTGCCACATTTTCTTAATCCAGCCTATTGTTGTTGGACATTTGGGTTGGTTCCAAGTCTTTGCTATTGTGAATAGTGCTGCAATAAACATACGTGTGCATGTGTCTTTATAGCAGCATGTTTTATAATCCTTTGGGTATATACCCAGTAATGGGATGGCTGGGTCAAATGGTATTTCTAGTTCTAGATCCCTGAGGAATCACCACACTGACTTCCACAGTGGTTGAACTAGTTTACAGTCCCACCAACAGTGTAAAAGTGTTCCTATTTCTCCACATTCTCTCCAGCACCTGTTGTCTCCTGACTTTTTAATGATCGCCATTGTAACTGGTGTGAGATGGTATCTCATTGTGGTTTTGATTTGCATTTCTCTGATGGCCAGTGATGATGAGCATTTTTTCATGTGTCTTTTGGCTGCAAAAATCTCTTCTTTTGAGAAGTGTCTGTTCATATCCTTCGCCCACTTTTTGATGGAGTTGTTTGTTTTTTTCTTGTAAATTCGTTTGAGTTCATTGTAGATCCTGGATATTAGCCCTTTGTCAGATGAGTAGATTGCAAAAATGTTCTCCAATTCTGTTGGTTGCCTGTTCACTCTGATGGTAGTTTCTTTTGCTGTGCAGAAGCTCTTTAGTTTAATTAGATCCCATTTGTCAATTTTGGCTTTTGTTGCCATTGCTTTTGGTGTTTTATTTATTTTTTTTTTTGTAAGAATTTATTTATTTATTTTTTTAATTGATCATTCTTGGGTGTTTCTCGCAGAGGGGGATTTGGCAGGGTCATAGGACAATAGTGGAGGGAAGGTCAGCAGATAAACAAGTGAACAAAGGACTCTGGTTTTCCTAGGCAGAGGACCCTGCGGCCTTCCGCAGTGTTTGTGTCCCTGGGTACTTGAGATTAGGGAGTGGTGATGACTCTTAAGGAGTCTGCTGCCTTCAAGCATCTGTTTAACAAAGCACATCTTGCACCGCCCTTAATCCATTAAACCCTGAATGGACACAGCACATGTTTCAGAGAGCACAGGGTTGGGGGTAAGGTCATAGATCAACAGCATCCCAAGGCAGAAGAATTTTTCTTAGTACAGAACAAAATGAAGTCCCCCATGTCTACTTCTTTCTACACAGACACAGCAACAATCTGATTTCTCTATCTTTTCCCCACCTTTCCCCCTTTTCTATTCCACAAAACCGCCATCGTCATCATGGACCGTTCTCAATGAGCTGTTGGGTACACTTCCCAGACGGGGTGGTGGCCAGGCAGAGGGGCTCCTCACTTCCCAGAAGGGGCGGCCAGGCAGAGGCACCCCCCACCTTCTGGACGGGGCGGCAGCCGGGCGGGGGCTGACCCCCACCTCCCTCCCGGACGGGGCGGCTGGCCGGGCGGGGGCTGACCCCCCACCTCCCTCCCAGAAGGGGCGGCTGGCCGGGCGGGGGCTGACCCCCCACCTCCCTCCTGGACAGGGCGGCTGGCTGGGCGGGGGCTGACCCCCCACCTCCCTCCCGGACGGGGCGGCTGCCGGGCGGAGATGCTCATCACTTCCCAGACGGGGTGGCTGCCGGGCGGAGGGGCTCCTCACTTCTCAGATGGGGCGGCTGCCGGGCGGAGGGGCTCCTCACTTCTCAGACGGGGCGGCCGGGCAGAGACACTCCTCACCTCCCAGACGGGGTCGCGGCCGGGCAGAGACGCTCCTCACCTCCCAGACGGGATGACGGCCGGGAAGAGGCGCTCCTCACTTCCCAGACTGGGCAGCGGGGCAGAGGGGCTCCTCACATCCCAGACGATGAGCGGCCAAGCAGAGACGCTCCCCACTTCCCAGACGGGGTGGCAGCTGGGCAGAGGCTGCAATCTCGGCACTTTGGGAGGCCAAGGCAGGCGGCTGGGAGGTGGAGGTTGTAGCTAGCCGAGATCACGCCACTGCACTCCAGCCTGGGCAACATTGAGCACTGAGTGAACAAGACTCCGTCTGCAATCCCGGCACCTCGAGAGGCCGAGGCTGGCGGATCACTTGTGGTTAGGAGCTGGAGACCAGCCCGGCCAACACAGCGAAACCCCGTCTCCACCAAAAAAATACGAAAACCAGTCAGGCGTGGCGGTGCACGCCTGCAATCGCAGGCACTCAGCAGGCTGAGGCAGGAGAATCAGGCAGGGAGGTTGCAGTGAGCCGGGATGGCAGCAGTACAGTCCAGCTTTGGCTTGGCATCAGAGGGAGACCGTGGAAAGAGAGGGAGAGGGAGACCGTGGAGAGGGGAGAGAGGAGAGGGGAGAGGGGAGAGGGGTGTCAGGCTGGTCTTGAACTCCCAATCTCGCTTTTGGTGTTTTAGACATGAAGTCCTTGCCCATGCCTATGTCCTGAATGGTATTGCCTAGGTTTTCATCTAAGGTTTTTATGGTTTTAGGTCAAACATGTAAGTCTTTAACCCATCTTGAATTAATTTTTGTATAAGGTGTAAGGAAGTGATCCAGTTTCAGCTTTCTACATATGGCTAGCCAGTTTTCCCAGCACCATTTATTAAATAGGGAATCCTTTCCCCATTGCTTGTTTTTCTCAGGTTTGTCAAAGATCAGATAATTGTAGAAATGTGGCATTATTTCTGAGGGCTCTGTTCTGTTCCATTGGTCTACATCTCTGTTTTGGTACCAGTACCATGCTTCTTTGGTTACTGTAGCCTTGTAGTATAGTTTGAAGTCAGGTAGCATGATGCCTCCAGCTTTGTTCTTTTGGCTTAAGATTGACTTGGCAATGCGGGCTCTTTTTTGGTTCCATATGAACTTTAAAGTAGTTTTTTCCAATTCTGTGAAGAAAGTCATTGGTAGCTTGATGGGGATGGCATTGAATCTATAAATTACCTTGGGCAGTATGGCCATTTTCACAATATTGATTCTTCCTACCCATGAGCATGGAATGTTCTTCCATTTGTTTGTATCCTCTTTTATTTCATTGAGCAGTGGTTTGTAGTTGTCCTTGAAGAGGTCCTTCACAGCCCTCGTAAGTTGGATTCCTAGGTATTTTATTCTCTTTGAAGCAGTTGTGAATGGGAGTTCACTCATGATTTGGCTCTCTGTCTGTTATTGGTGTATAAGAATGCTTGTGATTTTTGCACATTGATTTTGTATCCTGAGACTTGGCTGAAGTTGCCTATCAGCTTAAGGAGATTTGGGGCTGAGACGATGGGGTTTTCTAGATATGCAATCATGTCATCTGCAAACAAGGACAATTTGACTTCCTCTTTTCCTAGTTGAATACCCTTTATTTCCTTCTCCTGCCTGATTACACATAATTGTCAGATCCACCAAAGTTGAAATGAAGGAAAAAATGTTAAGGGCAGCCAGAGAGAAAGGTCGGGTTACCCACAAAGGGAAGCCCATCAGACTAACAGCTGATCTCTCGGCAGAAACTCTACAAGCCAGAAGACAGAAACTCTACAAGCCAATATTCAACATTCTTAAAGAAAAGAATTTTTAACCCAGAATTTCATATCCAGCCAAACTAAGCTTCGTAAGTGAAGGAGAAATAAAATACTTTACAGACAAACAAATGCTGAGGATTTTGTCACCACCAGGCCTGCCCTAAAAGAGCTCCTGAAGGAAGCACTAAACATGGAAAGGAACAACTGGTACCAGCCACTGCAAAAACATGCCAAATTGTAAAGACCATCGAGGCTAGGAAGAAACTGCATCAACTAACTAGCAAAATAACCAGCTAACATCATAATGACAGGATCAAATTCACACATAACAATATTAACCTTAAATGTAAATGGGCTAAATGCTCCAATTAAAAGACACAGATTGGCAAATTGGATAAAGAGTCAAGACCCATCAGTGTGCTGTATTCAGGAGACCCACCTCACATGCAGAGACACACATAGGCTCAAAATAAAGGGATGGAGGAAGGTCTACCAAGCAAATGGAAAACAAAAATAGGCAGGAGTTGCAATTCTAGTCTCTGATAAAACAGACTTTAAACCAACAAAGATCAAAAGAGACAAAGAAGGCCATTACGTAAAGGGATCAATTCAACAAGAAGAGCTAACTATCCTAAATATATATATGCACCCAATACAGGAGCACCCAGATTCATAAAGCAAGTCCTTAGAGACCTACAAAGAGACTTAGACTCCTACACAATAATAATGGGAGACTTTAACACCCCACTGTCAACATTAGACAGATCAACAAGACAGAAAGTTAACAAGGATATCCAGGAACTGAACTCAGCCCTGCACCAAGCGGACCTAATAGACATTTACAGAACTCCCCACCCCAAATCAACAGAATATACATTCTTTTCAGCACCACACCACACCTATTCCAAAATTGACCACATAGTTGGAAGTAAAGCACTCCTCAGCAAATGTAAAAGAACAGAAATTATAACAAACTGTCTCTCAGACCACAGTGCAATCAAACTAGAACTCAGGATTAAGAAACTCACTCAAAACCGCTCAACTACATGGAAACTCAACAACCTGCTCCTGAATGACTACTGGGTACGTAACAAAATGAAGGCAGAAATAAAGATGTTCTTTGAAACCAACGAGAACAAAGACACAACATACCAGAATCTCTGGGACACATTCAAAACAGTGTGTAGAGGGAAATTCATAGCACTAAATGCTCACAAGAGAAAGCAGGAAAGATCTAAAACTGACACCCTAACATCACAATTGAAAGAACTAGAGAAGCAAGAGCAAACGCATTCAAAAGCTAGCAGAAGGCAAGAAATAACTAAGATCAGAGCAGAACTGAAGGAAATAGAGACCAAAAAAAACCCTTCAAAAAATCAATGAATCCAGGAGCTTTTTTTTTTGAAAAGATCAACAAAATTGATAGACTGCTAGCAAGACTAATAAAAAAGAAAACAGAGAAGAATCAAATAGATGCAATAAGAAAGATAAAGGGGATATCACCACCAATCCCACAGAAATACAAACTATCATCAGAGAATACTATAAACACCTCTACACAAATAAACTAGAAAATCTAGAAGAAATGCATAAACTCCTCGATACATACACCCTCCTAAGACTAAACCAGGAAGAAGTTGAATCTCTGAACAGACCAATAACAGGCTCTGAAATTGAGGCAATAATTAATAGCTTACCAACCAAAAGAAGTCCAGGACCAGACGGATTCACAGCCAAATTCTACCAGAGGTACAAGGAGGAGCTGGTACCAGTCCTTCTGAAACTATTCCAATCAATAGAAAAAGAGGGAATCCTCCCTAACTCATTTTATGAGGCCAGTATCATCCTGATATCAAAGGCTGGCAGAGACACAACAAAAAAAGAGAATTTTAGACCAATATCCCTGATGAACATCGATGCAAAAGTCCTCAATAAAATACTGGCAAACCGAATCCAGCAGCACATCGAAAAGCTTATCCACCATGATCAAGTGGGCTTCACCCCTGGGATGCAAGGCTGGTTCAACATATGCAAATCAATAAAACGTAATCCAGCATATAAACAGAACCAACGACAAAAACCACATGATTATCTCAATAGAGGCAGAAAAGGCCTTTGACAAAATTCAACAGCCTTCATGCTAAAAACTCTCAATAAATTAGGTATTGATGGGACGTATCTCAAAATAATAAGAGCTACTTATGACAAACCCACAGCCAATATCATACTGAATGGGCAAAAACTGGAAGCATTCCCTTTGAAAACTGGTAGAAGACAGGGATGCCCTCTCTCTCACCACTCCTATTCAACACAGTGTTGGAAGTTCAAGTAACTTTTCAAGTAATCTGGATACCTTTCACTCCCAATCAAAATATCAAGCAAACAATGGAGAATTAAAAAAAAAATCTATACTGTTAGAAAATACAAAATTAACATCTTCTTTTTTTTTTTTTTTTTTTGAGATGGAGTCTTGTTCTGTCGCCCAGGCTGGAGTGCAGTGGCACGATCTCAGCTCACTGCAACCTTCACCTCTTGGGTTCAAGTGATTCTCCTGCCTCAGCCTCCCAGGTAGCTGGGATTACAGGCACCCGCCACCATGCCTGGCTGATTTTTGTATTTTTAGTAGAGATGGGGTTTCACCATGTTGACCAGGCTGGTCTTGAACTCCTGACCTCAAATCCGCCTGCCTGGGGCTCCCGAAGTGCTGGGATTACAGGTGTGAACCACTGCGTCCAGCCCACAAAATTACCACCTTATATCCTTAAAGGGTTGAATTTTATTTTGTAAGAACTAGACCCTATCAATAATGGATTATGATACTACATGGTCAGATTAAACACTAACCTCTAAGACCTAATTCAGAAAATAGCTTGAGTACATGAGGACTGAGCATCTCATGCTCCAATGTTTTTGTCACATGAAGTACTTTATTACTATGGGATCACACCACTCTCAGTGATTTACTATTTCAGCTAACCTATGATGGTAATATATATTGCCTTATTCAAAAATTTTCACACTTTTTTAGTTAAATTAAAAGAGGAACAACTAAAATTGCATGAATTAAAGTGGTTAGAGCAACAATCACATACAAGGTACTTCATGTTTAGTTGTTATTCAAAATTTTAAGTGCATTAGTGTAGTAAAAAGACTAGGCAACATTGTTTTCTGGAATGCCATGGTTTATAAGACAAAAAATGTGACCTTTTAATTGAAAACAGCTTCATAAATAACAGATATATCGTGTAAACCTTCTGAGTATCTGTTACTCTGAAGAATTACACCCATACTTGAATAAAATCTTGGTAAATCCAAGAAGCAACAAAGAAGCCTCAAAGTGAAAGTTCTTCAGAAAGCACAAAGAGATGATGAAGATTCATTGCTTATTGGCAAATACTCCAGTTAGTGAAAACACTATGATTGGCAGGCAATGATCATAAAAATCACAGCCAAAGATAAATGAGGCAGAAGAGCAAGGTGGTTAACAGCATGGTCATTGGCATAAGACAGACACATGTGTTCAAAGACCATGACTCAGATACTTATTTGCTTTGTGATTATATACAGGACAATCATATAACTTCTTTGAGATTCCATTCTCCTCTCTTTATACCCATAATATGGAAAAAATCATATCTATGTCACTGGCTGTTTGGGGAACTAATTACTTTCGTTCTCCAAAACTTAGTGATGAACTAAGAATAACTATATTTATTATTAAAGAAGAAAAGTTAAAATAAGAAAGAAGATGGCAGAGTAAAAACAGTGTGATGAAAGGTCATCAGTTTACAACAAAAACAGATCGGCAGTGATATAGCTGATGGGGTGGACCCTGCAGGGACATGATAAACAACATGCAAACAGCCCAATAACCTCACAGATGCCCCTAAACTATGCAAAGGTATAACAATCAAAAGAATGCTCAAGTAGGCTGCATGCCTTATGAAAGAGCAAACCAAGATTCACTCACTTAAGTTGTTTCTGAAGTTACCACCATAGGTAGCACACAAAGGTACATAATTCACTTCAGTAACTGACTAGAAAAGACCATTTATAGTAACGTGTAAAACATAAGGAATGTTACAAAACCAGAAAATAGATGAGTGTATTTGAGGAGCCATCCTATGATCCTAGAGAATCAAAGCAAGCAACATAATAAAAATGCACAAACTCTACGGGAGTGGGGGCGGGGAACAGCTGGTTGCCATGGCTCACACCTGTAATCCCAGCACTTTGGGAGGCTGAGGTGGGAGGATTGCTTGAACCCAGGAGCTCGTGACCAGCCTGGGTGACATAGTAAGACCCCATCCGTACAAAAAGTTTTTAAAAATTACCTGAGCATGATGGCATGCAACTATGGTCCTCACTACTGACCTGAGGCTGAGGAGGGAAGACAGCTTTATAGCCCCAAAGGGTTGGATTTTATTTTGTATGAACTAGACCCTATCAATAATGGATTATGATACTATATGGTCAGATTAAACACTAACCTCTAAGATCTAATTCAGAAAATAGCTTGAGTACATGAGGACTGAGCATCTCAGCTCGAATGCCATGATCGCACCACTGCACTCCAGCCTGGGCGACACAGCAAGACCCTGCCTCAAAAACATAAAATAAAAATAAATAAAAAATAATTAGAAAGAACATTTAAATGCATTTGAAAGAGACAAGTATAAAATAATTTGATTGAGTAGTATAATAATCATATATTTAAGTTAGGTCCACAAAACTCAGAAAGATGATTGGTTAGTCTTCAGAATTGGGTCACAAACTAATACTTATTACACAAGAAATGCAACTTTGAGCATAGCCTTTGGGAAGCTAAGGCGACTCTATTAAAGATGACAGCAAGGATTTATGAGAAAATGAGTAGGAAGACAGAAAAGAGAAAAGTAGCAGATTCTTATGATAGTGTTATTTTAAAATATTAATATATTTCAAGTATCTGAATTCATAATTTTAAATAATTTTTGAAGCAATAACTATTTAGGAATCATAATTGACTTCAAATCCAGTGGCTTCCACTCATAGTCTTTTTTTCTTCTTTTATTGCTCCAGGGTGAATGACTTATAATCATTGTGGCCAATATTTGTACAGAGTGTCAGCTAGAAATTTTCTTTACATCATTTACACTTTTAGTTGATTCAAATCTAAGCTTTTAGTAGCTGATATCATTATCAGAACATGTTTAATTAATTCATTATGCCCACTGGTTGCTAAACTGTAATAAGGGAGATGAACTCTAATAGTAATAATATACTAAAGATCAAAAAGATAACACCTGCTCCTTTTGAAACTATAGCTTATGAACTTCAGAATGGAGCCTCGTGTGAATGCCTTGCTCCTACTTCCAACAGAAAGTTGCATGATGTCTCAGATAAACCAAAGAAAAGACAGAGTTCCGGTGGTGCCTGGAATTTCAAAATAGGGTTTATATACAACAAATTTTAGATTTAAATTACTCAGAGGGTTAACAATTCTTTTTTCACAAACACCCTTACTTTAGCAGGAGTAGGTGTTTCATATTGAACATGATATTTGAAAGCTGAGAACTCTTTTTCAGGAGACTTCCTTGTCATCCAAGGAAGAATATGTTTGGTATAGTTTCATATATTGTATTTACATTAGGCAGTTTCTATCATAGCAACAGGCTATTAAATATTTATATCAAGCAATTAGAATCTCATTTAAAATAACAAATGTTCTTGAATATTACCAAAACAAAAATCTTTTCTTTGAAATTTTAACATACAATGCAGATGAATTTTCTCCTTCCTTTAGATAATGATGGTCCCTTTATACTTACTATATAATTGTCCCATATAAATGTTCTGTAATTAATGGCACAAGGCAAGTAAAGCATACTTTCAAACATGGAAATATTTTCTTACATACTTCATTCCTGCTTCCCTCATGCTCCCTTCTCACATACTGCCCTCCATACATAACATGTATTAAGTGCATATGACAGTAACATTCAGCTCTTTATCAGCTCTTCTAGGTGGATAGATTAAAGTTAATGTGATGATCTAGTGCTAAGGTCATTGAGTCACCCAATAAAGGTGAATTTTTCATGTTTATCAACATATTATTTAATAATAGCAAGGACAACTTTTTGCATATTATTTTTAAAAATGCTTATAAGAGGGCATTTTACTTTAAATTATTAATTCTTTAACCAATCTGTAATTAATGTCTTAAACCAGATGACTGAACCCAAAGGTTTTAAAAAAGCAAACCACAGTGAATATGTAGCATGAAATTATAGTAAAATATCAGCATGCTAGTGATTAAACGAAACCTAAATCAGAGCACTTTCCTACATCACTATAGTCATATTGAATAGTAACTATATAAAATGAGAAATTGTCTACATCATATGAATACTATTAATGACAAGCCTTTTTTTATTAAAATGGCAAGAATACAAATAGTTTATATCAGTAAAATACAGTAGCATTCAGGCTCTAATATGAACATTACATCAAAGCCTATGGATAGATAAGGTAAGAGATTTAGGAAATTGGGGGAGGAAGGAAACATCACTTATCTTATTACTCCAGATTACAGACAGCTGCCACAGACAATAAAATAAAATCGCAATTAAGTTGATTGCAGTACTTGAAAGAAAACTTATTAAAAATAAAGATTTTTAATAAAATCTTACATTCTTGACAGATATACCATCACCTACCTTTCTAAAAGCAGTAGTAGTAAACACAATTGTAGAATATGTATGTTACTTAGTCTTTGAGTGGTACAATACTATAGGTTTTAAAACCCTGACAACACTCCTACTTTCTGCTGCTTCAATATCAGATTATGGCATGGAATTCATGTAAGGTTGGTTCCAAAATGGAATATCAGATCCCAGACCAGTATCAGTAAGTTGTACCCATTTTGGCACAGATTTTCCAGCCATGAAAACACAAATCACAAAGAAAAAAAATTAACCAACCAATTATTTGAGATACCAAGAAAGGAAAGGAAAGCAGTTTTGTAAAAACACTTTTCCCTGTTTTAATAAGCTTCTTTATTTACTCCAGATAGTGAACAGAATAGTGTTCAATAGTGAAGTAAGCAGATTTTACACTCACTATCACTGCATGGATAGAAAGAGCCATATACATTTTTGTTTTTATAAGTCATCTCAGATCACTGCAACATGGCACATTAGAACAGAGATTCAGAGACACAAAGTTAATAAATACATTTAACATTGCCAAGCATTTAAAAGATAAATGCACTCATGTAGCAAAAAAAAAAAAATCAGTTTGTAACTTTGACCTTTCTCAGGGATGTGAAGAATCATTTCAGGTGTCAGAAATCTCTGTAGCAAAGATTCCTATAAGAGAAAAAATCATGCTGATTAATATTTTTAATTCAACTTTTTCAACATGTGTAACAAATTTATTCTAGTAAGTGTATCACTTCAGCAAAACGTAAGATTTTTCTTCATTTCTATGAAGGAAAACAAAAAACAATATATTTTTTCACTCAGTTTTCACAAACTGGTACATTCATACCATGGAATACTATTCAACAATAAATAGGAATGAACTATTGATACTTACAGCAGCTTGGATGGATCTCACGGGCATTATGCTGAATGAGAAAAGTTAATCTGAAAAGGTTATCTCAAAACGACAGAATTATAGAGATGGCGAAGAAAGTAGTGTTTCCCAGGAGACAGGGAGATGAAGAAGGTCAGGGCTACAACTATAAATAGGCATAATGAGGGAGTGAATTCTTTGGTGCTGATGGAACAACTTCACATCTTGATCATAGTTGTGCTGTGTGTGGATTGTAAAAAATATATATATACACATACAAACAAATGAGTGCATCTAAAAACTAGTGAAATCTGAATAAGGCCTTTAGACTAGTTAATCACACTGTGCTAATGTCAATATCCCAGTTTGTAAGATACTCCATTATAGAAGCTGGGGTAAGGATATGTGGGACTGTCTGTGGTATTTTTGCAACTACTTGTGAGACTATAATCATTCTATTTTTATTTTTTAATTACTATTTTTTGGAGACAGAGTCTCACTCTGTCACCCAGGCTGAAGTGCAGTGACATGATCTCAGCTTACTGCAACCTCTGCCCCCAGGTTCAAGCAAATCTCATGCCTCAGCCGCCTGAGTAGCTGGGATTACAGACATGCGCCACCACGCCCAGCTAATGTTTGTATTTTTAGTAGAGATGGGGTTTTGCCACGTTGGCCAGGCTGGTCTCAAACTCCTGGCCTCAAATGATCCTCCCACCTCAGCCTCCTAAAGTTCTGGGATTATAGTCAGGAGCCACTGTGTATGGCCAAGACTATAATCATTAAAAAAAAGTACCTGTGGTACATCTATACTATGGAATACTACTCAGCAGTTAAAAGGAATATGTGACAACTACTAATACATGCAACAACCTGGATAAATCTGAAATATATTATGCTGGGTGAAAGTCAACCACTAGAGGCTGCATACTGTATGATTCCATTTACATGACAACCTGGGAAAGGCAAAACTAGAGAGGCAGGAAACAGAGCAGTGGTTAGAGGAAAGTAAATTCAATGTGATGTCTGTTGTCTAGATAATAGGTGTCAGTCAAAGGACACCATTTGAAACTGAGAGTAAAAGATTAAGTGAGAAAAAAGGTGATTAAGGGCATTGTTAATCATATTAATAGAAAGGTAACAACTAAAATAAAATAAACTTTCATAAAAGCCAAAAGAAATTTGTTAAAAAGCAAAGAAGACTGATCAAATGAAGAAATACAACAAATATCACATAGTACAGAAAGTAATTATAACTATTGATGTGACATAACAGTCATATCAATAATGTAAAAGATTTTAACTCATCTATTTTATTTATACTGTTCTATTCTATTTTTGAGACAGGGTCTCATTCTGTTGCCCAGGCTAGAATGCAGTGGCATGATTATGGCTTACTGAAGCCATGACCTTCCAGGCTCAGTTGATCCTCTCACCTCAGCCTACCAAGTAGCTAGAAATACAGGCACGTGCCACCATATCTGGCTAATTTTTTTTGTGTGTGTATTTTTTGTAGAGATGGGGTTTCACCATTGCCCAGGCTGGTCTGTAACTCCTAGGCTCAAGCGATCTGTCTGCCTCAGTCTCCCAAAGTGCTAGGATTACACGTGTGAGCAACCACGCCCAGTGTAATTCACCTATTTTTTAAAAAGATTTTCAAAATGGCAGGGTGTGGTGGCTCATGCCTGTAATCCTAGCACTTTGGGAGGCTGAGGCGAGTGGATTACCTGAGGTCAGGAGTTTGAGACCAGCCTGGTCAACATGGTGAAACCCTGTCTCTACTAAAAATACAAAAACTAGGCCAGGTGTGGTGGCTCATGCCTGTAATCCCAGCACCTTGGGAGGCCAAGGCAGGTGGATCACCTGAGGTCAGGAGTTCGAGACCACCCTGCCCAACATGGCAAACCCCGTCTCTACTGAAAAAAAAAAAAAATGAGCTGGATGTAGTGATGGACACCTGTAATCTCACCTACTCAGGGAGGCTGAGGCAGGAGAATCACTTGAACCTGGGAGGTGGAGGTTGCAGGGAGCTGAGATCCTGCCATTGCACTCCAGTCTGGGGGACAAGAGTGAAACTCTGACTTAAAAAAAAAAAAAAAAAAGGGGATCGTTCCAAGATGGTCGAATAGGAAGAGCTGCAGTCCACAGCTCCCAGCGTAAGCGACACAGAAGATGGGTGATTTCTGCATTTCCAAGTGAGGTACCAGGTTCATCTCACTGGGACTTGTTGGACAGTGGGTGCAGCCCACAGAGTGTGAGCCAAAGCAGGGCAGGGCATCGCCTCACCTGGGAAGCGCAAGGGGTCGGGGAATTCCCTTTCCTAGTGCTCGGGACACTCCCACTCTACTACTGTGCTTTTCCAGTGGTCTTTGCAAACAGCACACCAGGAGATTATATCCCATGCATGGCTCGGTGGGTCCCACACCCATGGACCCTGCTTACTGCTAGCACAGCAGTCCGAGATCGAACTGCGAGGTGGCAGCAAGGCTGGGAGAGGGGCATCCACCATTGCTGAGGCTTGATTTGGTAAACAAGGCAGCCTGGAAGCTCGAACCGGGTGGAGCCCACCACAGCTCAATGAGGTCTGCCTATCTCTGTAGACTTCACCTCTGGGGACAGGGCATAGCTGAACAAAAGGCAGCAGAAACTTCTGCAGACTTAAACGTCCCTGTCTGACAGCTTTGAAGAGAGCAGTGGTTCTCCCAGCATGGAGTTTGAGATCTGAGAACGGACAGACTGCCTCCTCAAGTGAGTCCCTGACCCCCTAGTAGCCTAACTCAGGGACACCTCCCAGTAGGGGCAAACTGACACCTCATACAGCCAGGTGCCCCTCTGAGATGAAGCTTCCAGAGGAAGGATCAGGCAGCAATATTTGCTGTTCTGCAGCCTCCGCTGGTGATACCGAGGCAAACAGGATCTGGAGTGGACCTCCAGCAAACTCCAACAGACCTGCAGCTGAGGGTCCTGACTGTTAGAAGGAAAACTAACAAACAGAAAGGAATAGCATCAACATCAACAAAAAGGACACCCACACCAAAACCCCATCTGTAGGTCACCAACATCAAAGACCGAAGGTAGATTAAAACCACAAAGATGGGGAGAAACCAGAGCAGAAAAGCTGAAAATTCCAAAAATCAGAGTGTCTCTTCTCCTCCAAAGGAACACAGCTCCCCACCAGCAACAGAACAAAACTGGACAGAGAATGACTTTAACGAGTTGACAGAAGTAGACTTCAGAGGATCAGTAATAACAAACTTCTCCAAGCTAAAGGAGGACGTTTGAACCCATCGCAAAGAAGCTAAAAACCTTGGAAAAAGATTAGACGAATGGCTAACTAGAATAAACAGCATAGAGAAGACCTTAAATGACCTGACGGAGCTAAAAACCATGGCGCGAAAACTACATGACGCATGCACAAGCTTCAGTAGCCAATTCAATCAAGTGGAAGAAAAGGTATCAGTGATTGAAGATCAAATGAATGAAATGAAGCAAGAAGAGAAGTTTAGAGAAAAAAGAATAAAAAGAAACGAACAAAGCCTC
The DNA here is from genome assembly GCF_000001405.40 of Homo sapiens. Classification (NCBI taxonomy): domain Eukaryota; kingdom Metazoa; phylum Chordata; class Mammalia; order Primates; family Hominidae; genus Homo; species Homo sapiens. The sequence continues at coordinate 99,001,967 of NC_000002.12, forward strand.
CAAGAAATATGGGACTATGTGAAAAGACCATATCTACATCTGATTGGTGTACCTGAAAGTGACGGGGAGAATGGAACCAAGTTGGAAAACACTCTGCGGGATATTATCCAGGAGAACTTCCCCAATCTAGCAAGGCAGGCCGACATTCAAATTCAGGAAATACAGAGAACGCTACAAAGATACTCCTCGAGAAGAGCAACTCCAAGACACATAATTGTCAGATTCACCGAAGTTGAAATGAAGGGAAAATATTAAGGGCAGCCAGAAAGAAAGGTCCGGTTACCCACAAGGGGAAGCCCATCAGACTAACAGCAGATCTCTTGGCAGAAACTCCACAAGCCAGAAGACAGTGGGGGCCAATATTCAACATTCTTAAAGAAAAGAATTTTCAACCCAGAATTTCATATCCAGCCAAACTAAGCTTCGTAAGTGAAGGAGAAATAAAATACTTTACAGACAAACAGATGCTGAGAGATGTTGTCACCACCAGGCCTGCCCTAAAAGAGCTCCTGAAGGAAGCACTAAACATGGAAAGGAACAACTGGTACCAGCCACTGCAAAAACATGCCAAATTGTAAAGACCATCGAGGCTAAGAAGAAACTACATCAACTAACGAGCAAAATAACCAGCTAACAACATAATGACAGGATCAAATTCACACATAACAATATTAACCTTAAACGTAAATGGGCTAAATACTCCAATTAAAAGACACAGACTGGCAAATTGGATAAAGAGTCAAGACCCATCAGTGTGCTGTATTCAGGAGACCCACCTCACATGCAGAGACACACATAGGCTCAAAATAAAGGGATGGAGGAAGGTCTAACAAGCAAATGGAAAACAACAACAACAAAAAGCAGGGGTTACAATCCTAGTCTCTGATAAAACAAACTTTTTTTTTTTTTTTGAGAAAGAGTCTCACTCTGTCGCCCAGGCTGGAGTGCAGTGGTGCGATCTTGGCTCACTGCAACCTCCACCTCCCAGGTTCAAGCAATTCTCTGCCTCAGCCTTCTGAGTAGCTGAGATTATAGGCAAGTGCCACCATGCCCGGCTAATTTTTGTATTTTTAGTAGAGACAGGGTTTCACCATCTTGGCCAGGCTGGTCTTGAACTCCTGACCTCGTGATCCACCTGCCTCGGCCTCCCAAAGTGCTGGGATTATAGGCGTAAGCTACCGTGCCTGGCCTAAAACAGACTTTAAACCAACAAAGATCAAAAGAGACAAAGAAGGCCATTACATAATGGTAAAGGGATCAATTCAACAAGAAGAGCTAACTATCCTAAATATCTATGCACCCAATCAATACAGGAGCACCCAGATTCATAAAGCAAGTCCTTAGAGATGTACAAAGAGACTTAGACTCCCACAAAATAATAATGGGGGACTTTAACACCCCACTGTCAACATTAGACAGATCAACGAGAAAGAAACTTAACAAGGATATCCAGGACTTGAACTCAGCTCTGCACCAAGTGGACCTAATAGACATCTACAGAACTCTCCAACCCAAATAAAAAGAATATACATTCTTCTCAGCACCACATCACACTTATTCCAAAATTGACCACATAGTTGGAAGTAAAGCACTCCTTAGCAAATGTGAAAGAACATAAATTATAACAAACTGTCTCTCTGACCATAGTGCAATCAATCAAATTAGAACTCAGGATTAAGAAACTGACTCAGAACTGCACAACTACATGGAAAGTGAACAACCTGCTCCTGAATGACTGCTGGGTAAATAACGAGATGAAGGCAGAAAGATGTTCTTTGAAACTAATGAGAACAAAGACACAACATACCAGAATATCTGGGACACATTTAAAGCAGTGTGTAGAGGGAAATTTATAGCATTAAATGCCCACAAGAGAAAGCAGGAAAGATCTAAAATCGACACTTTAACATCACAATTAAAAGAACTATAGAAGCAAGAGCAAACACATTCAAAAGCTAGCAGAAGACAAATAACTAAGATCAGAGCAGAACTGAAGGAAATAGAGACATAAAAAACCCTTCAAAAAATCAATGAATCCAGGAGCTGGTTTTTTGAAAAGATCAACAAAATTGACACACCACTAGCAAGACTAATAAAGAAGAAAAGAGAGAAGAATCAAATAGATGCAATAAAAAATGATAAAGGGGATATCACCACTGATCCCACGGAAATGCAAACAACCATCAGAGAATACTTTAAACACCTCTATGCAAATAAACTAGAAAATCTAGAAGAAATGGATAAATTCCTGGACACATACACCCTCCCAAGACTAAACCAGGAAGAAGTTGAATCTCTGAATAGACCAATAACAGGCTCTGAAATTGAGGCAATAATTAATAGCTTACCAACCAAAAAAAGTCCAGGACTAGACAGATTCACAGCCGAATTCTACCAGAGGTACAAAGAGGAGCTGGTACCATTCCTTCTGAAACTATTCCAATCAATAGAAAAAGAGGGAATCCAGATGCAATAAAAAATGATAAAGGGGATGTCACCACCGATCTCACAGAAATACAAACTACCATCAGAGAATACTACAAACACCTCTACGCAAATAAACTAGAAAATCTAGAAGAAATGGATAAATTCCTCAACACATACACGCTCTCAAGACTAAACCAGGAAGAAGTTGAATCTCTGAATAGACCAATAACAGGCTCTGAAACTGTGGCAATAATAAATAGCTTACCAACCAAAAAAAGTCCAGAACCAGATGGATTCACAGCCGAATTCTACCAGAGGTACAAGAAGGAGCTGGTACCATTCCATCTGAAACTATTCCAATCAATAGAAAAAGAGG